>NC_000016.10:47592803-47895833 GCF_000001405.40 Homo sapiens
GGACTGAATGAGTGAGCTTTTGAATAATAAGATCTGAGGAAAAATTTTTTTAAAAAAAGGACAAGGAAACTGCTTACAAAATCAGTTCAACTTTATTGCTATAAACAAATCTTTGACATATCGCCTAACTATAGTTCTTCTAATGTAATTGTTAGTGGCTGGCCACAGTGGTTCATGCCTGTAATGTCTGTAATCCCAGCACTTTGGGAGGCCAAGATAAGAGGATCTCTTGAGGCCAGGGGTTTGAGCAGCTTGGGCAACAGAGGGAGGAGACCACATCTCTGAGAAGAAAGAAAGAAAGAAAAAGAGGGGGGGGAGGGAGAGAGAGAGAGAGAAAGGAAGGAAGGAGAAAGAAGAAAGGGAGAGGGAGAGAGAGAGAGAGGGAGGGAGAGAGAGAGAGAGGGAGAAAGAAAGAAAGAGGGAAGGAGGGAGGGAGGGAGGGAGGAAGGGAAAGAAAGAAAGAGAGAGAGAGACAGAGATAGCCAGATATAGTGGTTTGTGTCTATAGTCCCAGCCCTCCCACTTGGGAGGCTGAGGCAGGAAAAAGGATCCCTTGAGCCCAGGAGGGCAAGGCTGCAGAGAGCCGTGATTGTGCCACTGCACTCCAGCCTGGGCCACAGAGTGAGATCTTGTCTCAAAATAATAATAATAATTTAATTGTTAGTGTAAAATTTAATGTTTTATTTTCTGTTTTAGCTATTTGATGGCATTGAATGTGAATTTCCCATATTTTTCCTTTATATGATGATTGATGGTAAGTAAGCTTTTTCCTGAAATTTAAGCAAGCTTTTTCCTGAAATTTAAGCTGTAGGATTTAAGTGGTTTAAAGAAGAGCAGAAATAAATTATGACTCTTTTCAGCTAGAAAAATAGACTGCGCTTCAGTGATGTTAATTGCCCTGCATTTGTATATACTACTCTTTTGCTTTCTGAGTGAATGCTAAATCATTTAAAGAATTAAAAAAACACTTGGAAGCATTTAAAAAATGATAGCATATATATTTTCTTCATATTTACAAAGAAAAATTTTTATTAGTAGAAATCATTAATACTGTAATCCATGATAATGTGAATGTCTGTAACATTTATACTTAGGAATAGGGAAAATTCAATTAAAATTCAGTTTTCAATTCTAAATGCTAACATGACTTTCTAAAACCAATTTCTTGGAAAAATATCACACAGATTTGCATTTTTTTTCCACTTTAATTTTACCATTGGCATAGAAAATTACCAAAATAATTGTAACTGGGCTAATATATTTTTTCTAAGGTAAAATTTTTGAGATCCTTATTAAGCTCAGCTGCTATTGGATTTTATATTTTATATTTTAGGAGTTTTTAGAGGCAATCCTAAGCAAGTACAGGAATATCAGGATCTTTTGACTCCAGTACTTCATCATACCACAGAAGGTATAGTTGTTTTTTTAAGAAATTCTTCCTACCAACATTTCCTGAATGTTTATTTGAAATGTATAAGTGAGTCCTTTGTAAAAAACAATAATTTGTATTAAATTGAAAAAAATGAATGATCCCTGATATGAAATCAGAAAGAAGATTAAGCAAGACAAAGATGGAAATGAATCTAGGTGGACATGGCAATAGTCATTCCAAAATAGTTTGTCAGGTGGACTGAGTTCCTTCATCTGTTATTTACTATGTAACTCCATTACTCTGTATAGAAAGTGACTAGTTTTTATACAGGTCACCAAAAATGCTATAGTCAGGTGAGTGCCCCTCCTGCGGAGGGCTACCTGGAGAGGTTCTGCTCTTGTCTAAAGGCACTAGAATTGCCGAGAATATTCTGGCCCCCTCTTTGGAGTTTTTTCTGGGGTCCTTAGCATTGTATTTTGAACATCTGCCATGGTGCTAAAACATCGTCCTTTGAGGATGGATTTAATATTTGAGAAATGGTCAGAAGGCCCAGTCTTAGGAGTAAGGGTATATTGGTTTCAGTCAAACACCAGCAGGGACCCTCAAAAAACATAGCTGAATTTTCTGTATAACTGGAAAACCAATTTTCAAAGGAATTCCAAATGAGATGTTCTAGATGTCTTTGGGGCTTTAAAGTATTGACAATCACAGCAGTGAGCCCCATTCCTATCTCACATGAAATTTGTGATATTCTTTGGGGTTTTCCACAGATATCTCAGAGTAAATACTTAATATTATATGCTCACTAACATGCTTGTAATGTTAAAAGTTGTGAAATGTTTATGGATAAACATTGATTTCAAAGTGAATATTAATTTTTAAAAGTTATCTTTGTCTTTATGCTACAAATAATCACTTGTCCAATGTGAGAAATAATGTATTAAATTTTGTAATGCATGTAATATTTGAAATCCTTTGAAGCAGATCTTTTAATATTTAGTATTAGATCTTTGATGCATTGAGATGTAGTAGTTTAATGTACCTCACTTCAGGCTTCATCATGTTCAGAGAGTGATGTTCAAAGTATTATCTGTATATCATAGACCTTCTTACTGATTTTAGACACAAATATTGTTGATTGATATGTAAGGAAGCAAAATTTTAGGGAAATCTGTGCAATTTCATTAGAAAAATTAAGTTTACTGTGGGCTAATATTGCAAAAAGTCTCCTGTAGCATCCTACATAGATTGTTGATTATTTTCCCATTATATCATCCACAAAGATTCTACTATTAAATAATAATTTTAGTTCCTACCAACCCATTTTTAAATGGTCACGGGGGAGATGGCTTTTTCTCTTCGGTGATATTGAATGGTAGATAATGGGCTTAATGTTTAAATGGGGATTTCTTTGCTCTAGCAATGGCTCAGAGTTATAATTCTTCATTTAAGATTACACAGTATCTCATTTGTGAAGCTTCTACAGAATAATCCTATTAAAAATAGCTTCCTCTGTGGCTCTAAGTATTTGCATACTGTGTATTTGTTGATTCATTTAAAGGTATTAAAATTAAATGTTGTTGAGGGAGATTATGTACTCATTGTTAGCCAAAGCATAACAATCTGCTGTTGAATTAGTGTTTTAAGTCAATTTTTTTCTCCATGATTTTCACTGGCAATATCTGAAAGGAACCAGAATATCCAGCTTTCTATAGCTTATCAAATCTGTTGCCTCCTGTATAAGAATTCTCTCTCCCTGCTTTCTAATCATTACAGTGTCTTGAAGGGAAATTTTGGGAAAGACAGTAATTTTGATATGGTTCGGCTGTATCCCCACCCAAAGCTCAGCTTGAATTACAGTAATTCCCATGTGTCAAGGGTGGGGCCAGGTGGAGATAATTGAATCATGGGGGGCGGTTTCCCCCATACTGTTCTCATAGTAGTGAATAAGTCTCAGGAGATCTGATGGTTTTGTAAATGCATAAGCCCTCTTGCCTGCCACCATATAAAACGTACCTTTGCTCTTCCTTCGCCTTCCACCATGATTGTGAGGCCTCCCCAGCCATGTGGAACTGTGAGGCCATTAAAACTCCTTCCTTTATAAATTACCCAGTCTTGGGTATATCTTTATTAGTAGCATGAGAATGGACTAATACAGATTTGTTATATTTTAAATACTTATTTTTAAACTCCATAGGATATCCTGTTGTACCAAAGTACTATTATGTGCCAGCTGACTTTGTAGAATATGAAAAAAATAACCCTGGTAGTCAAAAACGATTTCCTAGCAACTGTGGCCGTGATGGAAAACTGTTTCTTTGGGGACAAGCACTTTATATCATCGCAAAACTCCTGGGTAAGTGGAGAAGATTGGGAATGGTATTTTTTTCCTTGTTATTAAGCTATTAGAAATAAATATGCCTTTGCTGGTGTTTATGTTGGATTTGGGTGGTGTTTCATGGTCTTGAGAGGTCTTTAGGGAGTTTCCTAGTATCTAGTGGTATATTAATATATCTATTTCACTGAATGATGATGGACAGTTTCTGGAAAGAAAGCGAAATAGGTATGGGTACCATTTGTGATCATTTAGGGGGCTGCATTTGGCTTACTATATAGGTTTCCTGCAGAAGATTATAGAAACTTTGAGTTACTTTTATATGATATATTAAAAATTCTGACTTAAGAAAACAGTAACAGTCATGCTTGGTCATACCTTTAGTAGACCACTTGCCAAAATGTATTGGTCATCTCAAAGTTCTTTTCTTTCCAATAAATATATATTGGCAATTTTAGTTGGAGGTTTAATAGGACCATTATTCATTATTCTTTGAAGAATTATTTTTCATCTTCTCCTACAACTTGAACTGAATCATAGCACTCTTGGACACTTTGAAATGAAGACAAATTTGATAAACACAGAAAAAGCATTATGCATTCTTCCTGCAAATTCCTTGTTCAAATTTTAAATGTTGTTAGCATTTACATCAAAAAGGCTATCACTTTAGAGTCAGAATTCCTTTATGGCAAAATATATTGAAATAGGCTAACTGTAAATACTGTACCTGCACTAAAATAACTGCCTACTGTATAAAATACTGTTATGATTTTTGTTGTTTCTAGCATTACTGCATAAATGCTAATAAATTTGTGCCGTAAGAGTAATCATCTTCGGTTTTTAAAAAAATATTCCATTAGGGAAGAATATTTCACAGGACAGATTTCCAATTTGAGCTTTACATAAAATGATATGTAAGAACAGGCAGAAGCTAACCAAATAAGTGAAAACTAAGTTAATGCTGTTTTCAGTTTGCTCCTTTCCTAACTATATTTTCTGGGTCTCCATATATACCTAATGCTAATTTAAGAACATGAAGAAACATTTTCTTCCTCCTTTAAAGGGACAGCTTTTTGACAAGGTGTTGATATTATTTATAGGCTTTCCTTTTAGAATTTCCAAAGCGGGGGGGAAAGACACATGAAATAGTTTTCTTTTTTCTTTTTTCTTTTTTTTTTTTTTTTTTTAGTGATTCCGCTTTTAATTTATAGTCGTATGACTAAGATGTTTTGAATATAAGCCTATCCGTATGCCAGATATAAATTTCAGGAACTCTTAATGTCTCTTTTACAGAAACTCTACCTCTATCCTGATGTAATTAGGTTAAGAAAATTAAAGGCCACGGTCCAGAAAACTAACTTCCACAAATGCAACAAAAGGAAAAATTTCTCCAGTAACCTCTGTGCAATGGGAAATCTTTCTTTTAAGTACCAAGTCAATTTCTTCAACTGTACAATGTATTCTAATTTGAAGGTTTTCAAATATAATATAGTAACAACAAAATATAATAAAATTAAAACTATCAGAAAACAGAGTAAATGGTATAATTCAAATAATGACTAAAATAAAATGACATTATGGATTTTGTAATCAACCTATAATTATATATTTAAATTTTGCTTTACATACATAAGATCACAGCTGAGGTTAACCATAATTTCAAATTTTATCACCAGCCACTTGTGCTATTTTATCACATTTGAAAATATTCACTCATATTATTTACCTCAAACAGTGATCTATAAATTTGTTTAGACTATAATAGTTAAGGACCTTTTCTTCTTCCAGATAACTTGAAAAATTAAATGATGTATTGAACATACTACTAAAGAAACTTTACTTTTTGATTATGGTCTCTGCATTGAAGATCTGTAGGAATTTTTCTTTAATAATTTTCAAATCTTCCCATGACCTCTCTGTTCATAGAAATATCATCTTTGAAATAACCTGTGTGAATACTTTATAAATCAAAAATGGATTCACATGACCATATTACCATAATCACCAATTTTAACACTCTCCTACATATTTTCTATATCACTTTTCTTGATTATAAAATGTCAGTAATATGAACACGCCCTCGATATAGCAGAATATTTAATTACATCAGTTTCCCATCAACACACCAAAGTCACTTAATAATTATATTGGCCATTTCCACTGATCGGCAGGAGGCTCTTCCACTAATGGCGCCCATGGTTTCCACTCCCTCATTTTTCTTGCCAGATTTAGTTCATGTTCAGCCTAAAGAATCACCTCTTCTAATTGACTGCCTTGAAGTTGGTCTTCTAATTTTTTAACATCTGGTTCCGCTTTAACCATAGCCAGCTTCTCATTTGTAATCTGTTCTGTATACTTTCTATATGCTGCATTTTTAGGGATTTCCTCAAGAACGTCAAGAATCTTTGTGTACAATATTCTTAGCCTCTCATGTGGAGTATTGCACACAGCCAATCCCACAAGGCCAGTGGTCTTCTTCAGCACACCCTCCCTGACAGCGCCAACGATTCGATCAACACATGAAATAGTTTTCTTAGAATCAACCCAAGTTGGGAAGGTTATCTCTGGTTAGAATGTTATTTCCGTCTCACTAGCATAATTACAAAGAAGCTTTGTTGTTACAGTTAAGTAAAACATATTTTAGTAGAGTACTAGTTAACTTATGTAAGGATAAGAATTTTAACATTAGAATTATAGGTTTTTATGTTCTATATTTGGAAATTACAAATGAGCATGAGGAATTTTTTTCTGTGATTCTGAGGCTAAAAACTGGCACCTGGGATCTGGGATATGAAATTAAAACCTTCTTTATCCTGCTTTTTGCCATATATCCAGCCTGGGTTTAGTACAACTAGAAAGAATGTTGTTTGAGCAAAGCCTCTAGATAAAATTGACAAGGCTAGTGAATTGAGAAGGTGGAATTGACTACACCCTACATAAGCAAATTGAGCTTTAAAAAAAGAAAAAGATTGACAATAGTATCAGTAAAAAAGCATTGAACTTTCCGTAATAAATGTGTTGAATGTAGACAGGTCTTGAGTGAAGATAGTATTTTCTCATATTAAGACCAGAGTGAACAGAAGTAGTACAGGTCATGCCTCCATTTCTGTTTCATGACCAAAAAGAAGAAGAAATACTGCAGAGCTGCCGTTAAAGAAAGTCAGTTTCTCTTTTCCCTGCTGATCTTCTGAAAAGGCAGTGAGAACATGAAGAAGGTATTTTGCATACTATGAAACCACATACATATCTCCAGCTGAAAAAAAGAAATATTGCATATTCATTAGTAGTCTAGCCTAGCTTTGTTATCTGGTTAACAACCCACTGGTTAAGACAAATAACATCTCAGAAAATTGAATCATTTAGTTGCTCTTAACTGTTGTATACTAGCCCTAAGAACCATCAGACTTCTATGGATTTTCATTAAGATTCCAGATACAAATTTACTTAAAAAGTCTTTATTCATTAAAGGAGCCTCAGCTGGATCTCTGCTTGACAACATTTTGTGGACAGCTAATTGTGGTTACTATTTTTACATGAAAATAATATAACAGTGAATCTTTAAAAATATAGTATATGACTTTCACTAATTCAGGCCAGTTTGTATCTCAGTGAAGTCTAATAATATTTTGCTTTATGTATGCCTAAGTAAATAATTATATAACAAAACTCTGTGACTTCTATTCAATTGTTAAAGAAAAGACACAGTATGCTATTTCCTGAACCAAGGCCTGAACTCCCCACTGTGCTCTTAAAAAATAAGTTAATTATTCACAGTATTTCCTTTTCTCTTATAAAATTTATACTTTTAGAAAATCAATATTTTCTATATAGCTGGTAAATATATTATAAACATGTACACTTTAAACCCCGTAAGACGTATCTTAAGATATATTTGACGTGTCTTAGAATAAAATGGTCATTAGTTATACTTTCAACTGTTATTCAAATTTGAAAGTTTAGAAACCATTCATGTAAGACCAGTCTAAAGAAAGCAGAGTACCTTTTTGAGCTATTTGCAAAAATAAATAACCTTAAAAGTACAGTCATTCATTGCTTAATGGTAGGGCTACATTCTGAGAATTGTGTCATTAGGTGATTTTTAGCCTACGACGTACCTAGCCTATATGATATAGCCTATTGCTCCTAGACTATAAACTTGTAGAACATGTTACTATACTGAGTACTGTGGACAATTGTAACACAATGGTAAGTATCTGTGTACCTAACATATTTAAACATAGAAAATGTTTATACGTGAAGATGTCTATACATGAAGATACAGTATTGTAATCTTATGGGACATCTTTATGCATCATCACATGATTGTATTTATTGCATTAAAAATCACTTGAGGCTGGGTGCAGTGGCTCACGCCTGTGTCCCAGCATTTGGGGAGGCTGAGGCAGGCAGATGGCTTGAGCCCAGGAGTTCGCGACTAGCCTCGCTAGTAGATGGGACTACAGGTGTGTGCCGCCACGCCTGGCTAATTTTTTGTATTCTTAGTAGAGATGGGGTTTCACCGTGTTACCCAGGCTAGTCTCGAACTCCTGAGCTCTGCCCGCCAGCCATGATGGTGCATGGCTGTAGTCCCAGCTACTCAGGAGGCTGAGGCCAGAGGATCACCTGAGCCCTGGAGGTCAAGGTTGTGGTGAGCCATGATTGCACCACTGCACTGTAGCCTGGGCAATAGAGTGAGACCCTGTCTCAAAAAATTGCTTGAAAATCTTGATGTTTGAATTGAAATTTTTTTTGAGATTCAGAAAACTAAAGAAATATAAAGTTAATGATAACATTACTCTAAAACCATTAGATAACCATTATAAAGGCCATTATATAACTTTAATATATGTTCTTATTCACTATGTCCTAAAAAGAGATACTAACATATCAGCTTTTAAAAATCTGACTTCTAGGGCCAGGTGTGGTGGCTCATGCCTGTAATCCCAGCACTTTGGAAGGCCGAGGCAGGCGGATCATGAGGTCAGGAGATCAAGACTATCCTGGCTAACACAGTGAAACCCCATCTCTACTAAAAATACAAAAAATTAGCCAGCCATGATGGCACGCACCTGTAGTCCCAATTACTCAGGAGGCTGAGGCAGGAGAATCGCTTGAACCTGGGAGGCGGAGGTTGCAGTGAGCCAAGATCATGCCACTGCACTCCAGCCTGGGTGACAGAGCAAGACTCCATCTCAAAAAAAAAAAAAACTGACTTCTAGACTTCAGCTTGTCTTTTCCATATATGCAACTAACTTTTCTTATCCTGTACATCAGACATTCATAGTGATGATCTTCATTCAGGTACTACTACATTATCCCAGCTCATTAAAGATTAGAACTTTACATATTGTATAATTTAAGGCAGGTGAATACAATAATTTTTTTAGGGTGGATATTTTGAAAACATTAATAAACATTAATGGTTAAAACAAGATATATTCTCTTGGTAAACTTAAATATTAAGCAATTTTAGTTAACTACAACTTTCTCTCCAATATACACAAACTCCCAGAATACTCAGGTTAATGAAAATTTGCTTGAATCTCACAACAGAATTTTTTTTAAGAGACAAGAGAGTTTCACTCTGTCACCTAGGCTGGAGTGCAGTGGTACCATCATAGCTCAATGGAGTCCCAAACTCCTGGGCTCAAGTGATCCTCCTACCTCAGCCTCCTGAGTAGCTGGGACTATGGCCACAGATCACCATGCCTGGCAGGATCTTTTTCTTTTGGGGATGGGTATTATTTAATTTCCTTGGAACACTAACAAGCTACTTTTAAAGTGATAAAATGGATATAGAAGTACTTTAAAATATCCAAAGTGTTATATATATACGAAGTTCCCAACTTAATTTCTTGGGTTCCCAAAGTTCTTTGGTAAGTGATTGTTTGGAAGCCAATTTATTTTTCCTGTAGAAATTATATTTTAAATGATTATTAACACCCAGCAAACTTGTAACCATGGGGTTACAGATTATTTCTCTGACATTATCATCTTTTTCTTCTACTTTCTCCCTCCCTAGCTTCTCTTCCTTTTTTTTTTTTTTTTTTTTCTTTTCTTACATTTTTCCTGTGCTGTAGTGAAAGGTGAAGAGTTTGTGGATTATGAGCTTAGGAATCAGACAGTCCAGGATTTGAATGTAAAATCTGCCACTTACTACCTGTGTGATCTGAGTTTTCTTAACTTCCATGAGCATTAATTTTTTATTTTTATGTTATAAGGATTAGCTGGTAAGGAAATACACATAAAGCATTTACTATGGGACAAATACATGTTTAAATGGTTCTTCCACTTTCTGTTCATACTTTACCATTCATCTACTTGTTGATCTCTGCTTCTATTTATAGAGGCCTACTCTTTGATAGTGACTATGGATATCCAGTAGCTCACTAACAAGAGTTATAGGAAATACTTCTCTCTGTCTCTCTCTCTCTCTCTAAGGGCAACCTAATTATTCTGACAAACCACTTCCTAATTCCAGTGTATGTAACAAAAATAAGTCCTTTTGCATTTGATTTTATTCATGACATTTCTTGCCCAATTGATCTCAAATATAAAAGCTACTGAGTAAACCTGGAAATCTAATGCTTTTTAAACTTAAAATCATTCATCAAGTGTCCCCTAGTGTATGTATATAAGGACATAAGAAACTGAGGTCTTGATTTTCTTTGATCTGTTGTCTTCAAATGCAGTTGACTCTTCAGGATAGCACGTGGTTTTCTTACTGCTCCGTTCAAGATAAAATGAATAGAAAAGAGTGTACAGGTATATTTTTACATGTTGGTTGCTAAGAGATTTCCCAGTTGTTGCACTTCAGGAAACTTCAAGAATATTTTCATTATCTTTCTCATGTTACCCATGTGATGGCTAGTGACCTAAAGTGGGATTTCTGTGCAGCAGGCATTATAAACATCGGGAAGCACATGTAGTATTACTTTAAAGGCTTCACCTGGGAAGACTTTCTTTAGCTTTATGTATAAATAACTGACTTTCTTTTTTTTTTTTTTTTTGGAGATGGAGTCTCGCTGTGTCGCCCAGGCTGGTGTGCAGTGGCACTATCTCGGCTCACTGCAACCTCTGCCTCCAGGGTTCAAGCAATCCTCCTGCCTCAGCCTCCCAAGTAGCTGGGGCTACAGGTGCTCACCACCACGCCCGGCTAATTTTTTGTATTTTTATTGGAGGCGGGGTTTCACCATGTTGCCCAGGCTGGTCTCGAACTCCTGAGCTCGGGCAATCTGCCCGCCTTGGCCTCCCAAAGTGCTGGGATTACAGGCATGAGCCACCACGCTTGGCCAATAACTGACTTTCTTATATGTCACATTCTGTGCTCTGCCTCTTACAAACATCATCCTAAGTAATCCTCCTAACATCTCTCTGAGATGGGTACTATGTGGCATAGGTGAGGAAACTAAGGCCCATAAGAGTTTAACAACTCACCCAAGGTTACAGAGCTCATGACTAGCAGAGTTTATTGATTTATCAGGAGTCTACAGGGTGCTTGTGTCACCTGTAACCTCTGTGGCATTAAATATTCCTATTAAAAGCAAAAACATTGCTAACCTAATAAGATAATAAATTGAGTCTTGTTTTCATTTATATTCTGACTATTAGAAACATATTTCTTAGTCACTCTTCTGTGAATTGTCTAGTAATTTTTTTTGCCCATTTAATCTTGGTTTTATGGTTTTTCTTATCAGCCTACATGAATGTTTTATATATTAAGTGTATAAAACCTCTCTGATATTTTCCTAGTTTGTTTGCCTTTAAATTTTGCTTTTGCTATATTTTCATGAGCAGAAGTTAAAATCTTTACACACTCAGATCTACCAGTGTTTTCCTATTTAGTTTTTGCTGTGGAATTTACCATTTAATTTTAGAAAGTCCATCCTTGTTAATCAGTTGACTAAAATGCATACACACACACACACACATGTATTTGGAATTTTCTGGTATAATATGAGGTTAAGGATCTGCATTTTCTTTTTCTCCAAATAGCTCATTTCATAATACATGTGTTACTAATATGTGTCACCACAGCTGAGAATCAGCTAGGCTTTGAAGTACATAATTTTACCCTGTAAGTATCTGCTGAGCCTATTTTAGTATGTCCTATGTAATTTTTGTGTTATGACAAAAAATACTTGCTCTGTTAAGTTTTCTTTAAATTATTATTTCATTAAAGAAACAGATTTTTCTTAATATTTTCTTTTTACGCTGGACAGTTTTTGCTTGGGGTGAGCCCAGGGTATATTTTATAAACCTTCTGTGAAAAAAAAATTAATTAACTTAATTCCTATTTTCTAAGGATTTAAAGACAGATATCTCCATTTTGTAGAAATTCTTGATTATCTTGGAGGTGTGGTGCTGTACTGTAAATGTAGAAAGCCATTATCTCTTACCCTCGTTCTTTTATTTTCATTTGAAATATTCTGTAGTTTGTTGGATATAAGTTCTTTCAGGATTGTCACTCTTCACCAGAAAATCAGTTTCATTGAATTGGCACAATAAAGAACTCTATTTTTGCCTCCTGAATGATAAAAATCAATGCAGTGGGGAAAAAATGTGCCCATAAACTTGACCTTTTAATGATATTTCTCACATTTACCATTATGGAAATTAAAGTAATGATTATGGCAATTAGTGTTTCTGTATTTGCTAACCGACTAATTTATTATTCTGCTTAGTAAGTGTATTGAGTGCCTACTAGGTGCTGGTGGCTCTGCTAGGTACTGGGCATCATGTATAAGAAGCATACAGTCTATGAGTTTATACATGAGCACGTGGTGTAAGTGGGAACATCAAGCTAGATGAAGTGTGGCACAAAGAGAAACACGAAGGAAATGCAAAGAAATAAGCTTTTGGAAGACTTGGTTAACCATTCAATTCTTACCAATTTTAATAGATTAGCATTTATGCTTTACAAGGATATAAGGTTTCTTAATTTATCTGTCACTATTTATAAATAACAAAATACTGTAATAAAGATAGAATTTAGTTTCTATAGCATGACAGTGAAAACTTGTTCGTTTTAGAAATTTTTTCACATCTCAGTGATCATACAATTGAGATACGGAAATAATTTACTGCCTATCTAGAATATCAGTGTACTAATCAACCCTGTATCATGAGCTAAACTGAAATTAGTACATTAAAGTTATATGTCGATATCTGCTTTCATTGGTTTGGTTTAAATTTTGAAAAAGTGTATTTTTTTTTTCAGAGAGAAAGGAGAACATTTGTAATATGCAACCTGATTTCGATAGGAAAAATGTAACATGTCTAAATAGTTTTTTTTATTTCATCCTCCTTCTGCTATTATTTTCACCTATGTTATGTAGAATGTCAGTGTTCTTAAAGGGCAGGATTAGTATGTGATTAAGAGCCCAGACTCTGGGAGTCGACTGACTGTGTCTCAGCTTTGCTCTATACCAACCACCAGGAAGTTGCCTAAACACTCAGGTGCCTCTGGTTCATCATCTATAAAGTGATAAGGTTGTTGTGAGGATTAATGAATGAATATATGTGAAATACTTAAAACAATGCCTGGAGCTTAATAACTGTGTAGGTATTGCTGCTGCTGCAGAGGCAGCGGTGGCTCTGGCAGACTCTGCTTCTACTCTTCCTCCTTCTTGTTATTCTACTGTTAATACTACTTTAATTATTATTGAAAAGATCTTCCAAGAGTTACTAAAATCCTTTGGTGATTTTGTCTCAAATAACAATGCAGATGTGCCTGGAAGATACCCCAGGATAGAAATCTAGTATAGAAATATTCCTAAAACTGCAAATAAATTTATAACCATTGGTTCCTTGCTCTGTCATATTCACTACCTAAAAGCAATTTATAAATAGCTATGGAAAATGAACTGTAATCTTTTTAGTAAATATTATACATGGGTACATTTATACAAAACTCAGCATAGTATTGTTTTTAAGTGATCAGTGTAGAGCCAAAGATCAAGAATGAAATAAACATGTTTTATAGCTTACATGCAGTAAAAATGAAGAAGTGTGCCGACTCACTTTAGAAGTTGGATTTTTGTTTTTGTTTTTGTTCAATTAATTTGCACATGTGTGAGCATAACTAAGATAACTTTACAGATGCGGACTTGCTGGGTTGGAAAATACGCTCACTGTAAATTTGTGTAGATAACTGACAACTTGCACTCCAAGGAGGTTTTGCAGAATTGCATTTCAGGGGCTTTTCCTACCACTACCACCCCTCCCCTGCATGTTCTCTTCCAGGCCCATGGAGAAATCCTGCTGTAGTGAGTGAGCCTCTGGTGCTGATGGTTATCCTTCAAGTGTGTTACAGCAGAAGACAGCAGAGAACCACAGACTTAGTGCCTTCCTCCCCACTGCCTCTCACTCTAAATTTCCATCCTCGTTATACCCTAGGATTTTATCAAAAGTTGCCATAAGGAACTACCATGTTAAAAGGGCTTCCATTTTTATAGTGCAACAGCAATTGAGGATGTTGCCTTCATGTTGGTCAGTGCCCCATAAAAAAACGCCCCTTCTCAGAAATCTCTTTTAGAATTTTGTATCAGGAAACATTATTTCTTAACAAACTGATTTCCTTCCTATTATTTTTCTGATTTTTCTGAAAGAAATCTGACTTCTTTCCTATTATTTTTAAAATAGCTTTATTGAGATGTGATTTACATACCATATATTTTACCTATTTAAAGTTTACAATTCAGTGATTTTTGGTATATTTATAGAGTTGTGCAACCATCACTGCCATCAGTTTTACAATGTTTTCATCATCTCCCTGCCAAAAAACCTCATGCCCAGTAGTAGTCACTCCTCATTTCCTTCTCATCACTTCACCCTCTTCCCCCAGCACTAGGCAATGGCTAGCCTACTCTCTAATTCTATAGATTTGCCTATTTGGGACCTTTCATGTAACTCGAAACTGATAATGGACCTTTGTGTCTGGCTTCTTTCACTTAACATAATATTTTCAAGGTTTATCCATGTTGTAGCATGTTTCAGCGATTCATTCCTTTTTTATGGCAGAACAATATTCCATTGTATATATACATTACATTTTATTTACCCATTCATCAGGAGATGAACATTTGGGTTGTTTGCACTTCTTAGCTATTATGAATAATGCTGCTATAAACTTTATATAAAATTATTGTTTAACATATTTTTCATTTCTCTTGGGTGTATACCTAGGCATGTAATTGCTGGGTCTATGCTAAGTCTTACGTTTAACATTTTGAGCAACTTCCAGACTGTTTTCCAAAGCTGCTGTATCATTTTGCTTTCCCATCAACACTATTTGAGGGTTTCTGTTTCTCCACATCTTTGCCAACACTTGTTCTTACCTATTTTCTTTTTTTAATTGTAGCCTTCCTAATGGATATGAAGTGATACCTCATTGTGGTTTTGATTAGCATTTCCCAAATGACTAATGTTGTGCATTTTTTCATGTGCTTATTGGTAATTTGTATATCTCCTTTGGAGAAAAGCCTATATAGACACTGTGGCTATTTTTTAATGGGTTTTTTTTTTCTTTTTATTATTATGTTGTTATGAATTCTTTATATCTTCTAGGTGTAAATCCCTTACAAGATATCTGATTTGTGAATGTTTTCTCACCATTCTTTGGGCTGTTATTTCACTTTCTTGATGGATCTTTTGAGGCACCAGAAAGTTATAATTTTGATGAAATCCAATTTATCTCTTTACTTCTTTTATCACTTTTGTTATGATGCCATAGTTTTGTCTAAATCAGTCACAAAGACTTACTTCTATATTGTCTTCTAACAGTTTTATAGTTTTAACTCTTACATTTAACTCTTTGATCTATTTTGAGTTGATTTTATATATGGTGTGAGGAAAAGGTCCAGCTTCATTCTTTTGCATTTGAATATCCAATTGTCTCAGCACTATTTGTCAATAAAAAAACTTTTTTTGGCTGGGCATGGTGGCTCACGCCTGTAATCCCAACACTTTTGGAGGCTGAGGTTTGAGGCCAAGAGTTTGAGACCAGCCTGGCCAACATGGCAAAACCTTGTCTCTACAAAAAACACAAAAATTAACCAGGCATGGTGGTAAATGCCTGTAATCCCAGCTACTCAGGAGACTGAGGCACCAGAATTGCTTGAACTTGGGAGGTGAAAGTTGCGATTGTGCCACTGCACTCCACCTGAGCAACAGAGCAAGACTCTGTCTCAAAACAAAACAAAGAAAAATCCTTTCTCTCCCTACTGAATTGTTTTGGCACCCTGTCAAAAATCAGTTGACTATACATGCAAGGGTTTATTTTTGGACTCTGTATTCTATTTCTGTCTCTATCCTTATGCTAATGCCACACTATTAATTACCATAGCCTTTGTCCTTTCCAATCTGATACTTTTTATTACTTTTTCTTTCCCAATTTCCCTGGCTGGAACCTCCAGTTCAATGTTGAATAGAAGTGGTGAGAGTGGATATCCTTGTCTTATTCCTGATCCTTGGGGGAAAGCATTCAGTCTTTTACCATTGAGTGTGAGTGTGATATTAGCTGTAGCTTTTTCATAGATTCCCTTTATTAGGTTGAATACATTTTCTTCTGTTCCTACTTTGTTGAATGCTTTTTATTCAAGGATGTTGAATTTTGTCAAATGCTTTTTCTCAGTCTGTTGAAGTGATCACATAGTGTTTTCCCCTTTATTTTGTTGATATGGTCTATTAGTAATTAACTTTGTGATGTTAAGCCATCCTTGCATTTGTGGGATAGATTCTACTTGGTTATGATGTGTAATCCCTTCTTTATGTTACTGGATTGGGTTTGCTAGTATTTTGTTGAGGATTTTTGTGTCTATATTCATACAGATTTTGCTTTGTAATTTTCTTGTGATACTTTGATTTTGGTATTAGAATAATACTGACCTCTTAGAATGAGTTGGGAGGTGTTCCCTCTTTTTTGTGGGTGGGGGGGGGGCACAGTTTGTGAAAGGTTGGTTTTAATTTTTCTTTAACTGCTTGGTAGAATTCACCAGTGACGCCATCTAGTCCTGAACTATGTGTGGATGTGTGTGTGTGTTTGTGTGTGTGTGTGTGTGTGTGTGTAAAGTTTCAATCACTTTATGTACTTTTTACCAAGCTGTTTAGATTTTCTATTCCTTCTTGAGTCAGTTTTGGTAGTTTGTGTCTTTCCGGGAATAATTCATCCATTTCATCTAGGTTATCTAATTTGATGGCATGTATTTGTTGATATTATTCTCTTATAATCCTTTAGTTCTGTAGTAATGTTTCTTTCTTGAATTCTTGATTTAGTAATTTGAGTCTTCTTTCTTCTTTTCTTGGTCAATCTAGCTAAAGGTTTGCAAGTTTTATTGAGCTTTTTAAGAAACTACTTTTGATTTTCTTGATTCTGTATTGTTTTTCTATACTGTTTCATTAATTTCCACTCTAATCTTTATTATTTCCTTCCTTCTGTTGCTTTTGATTTAGTTTGCTCTTTTTCATCCACTGTCTTTTTTTGTTTGTTTGTTTTGTTTTGAGATGGAGTCTCTCTCTGTTGCCCAGGCTGGAGTACAGTGGCACAATCTTGGCTCACTGCACCTTCCACCTCCCAGGTTCAAGCAATTCTCCTGCCTCAGCCTCCTGAGTAGCTGGGATTACAGGCACACACAACCATGCCCAGCTAATTTTTTTTTTTTTTTTTTTTTTTGTATTTTTAGTAGAGATGGAGTTTCACCATGTTGGCCAGGCTGGTCTCAAACTCCTGACCTTGTGATCCGCCCACCTCAGCCTCCCAAAGTGCTGGGATTACAGGCGTGACCCACTGTGCCCAGCCATCTCATCCACTGTCTTAAGGTGGAAAAATAGGTTATTGATTTGAGATTTTTCTTCTGTTTAATATAGGAATTTATAGCTATAATTTTTTCTCTGAGCATTGTTTTACCCACATCCCATTGATTTTGGTGTTTGTCTTTATTTTCATTCATCTCATCAGAAAGTATATTAGAATATATTTTCTCATTTCCCTTTTGATTTATTATTTGACCCATTAGTTATTTAGTAGTATGTTTTCATTTCCACATATGTGTGAATTTATAAGATTTCTTTCTGTTATTGATGCCTAATTCCATTCCCTTGTGGTCAGACAATATACTTTTTATGATTCAGTCCTTTTCTATATATTGAGGCTTATTTTATGGCCTAGTATGTGGTATATCCTGGTGGAGGATGTTTCATGTACACTGAGAAAAATGTATATTCTTCTCTTGTTGGAGTATTTTCTAAAAGTCTAGTTGGTTTATAGTGTTATGCAAATGCATTTTCGATAATGTCATTCCCCTTCTTTTTTTCAGCTGATGAACTTATTAGTCCTAAAGACATTGATCCTGTCCAGCGCTATGTCCCACTAAAGGATCAACGTAACGTGAGCATGAGGTTTTCCAATCAGGTAAAGAATTATTCTATTTCTTGATTTAGACTCGTCCAGAGACATTTAAGCTTAATTGAAGAGGAAATTTTTGTTCTGAATAGGTTTTTGTTGTTCCTTCTGACGGAAAGGTTTCTCCCTCTTCTGGTTAGTTAAGATTTACTTGTGGTGAAGGGCTATTTGTTAATGAGGAAGTAGATTTCAGATGGGTCCAACAAAGTGCCTTGCAGGTAAACATTTCCATCTTCAGAATGTTGAGTTTAAGGTGTCAAGTGTCTTTGAGAAGAAGCAGTGCATCTGGGTGGCAGGAGGACCAATGACTGAAGGGAGTGGGATTCCCCAAAAGGCCTGTGCTTGATGTCTCTCCTGTGCTGTGGCTCTTGACAGGGCTGCGTGACTGACAGTTGTTACAGCAACAGTGACTTGGTGACGTGTTGGGCAAGGAATAGTTTTAAAATTTTTACATTTAGTAGCTATGGATTCAGACTGTGTTGTGTCAACAAAATAAGTGTTTGTAGGATCAGCAAGATTGATACTGACTTGAGCAAACCCTCAAGTATTAAATGATACCAGTAATGAGGACTGTTAAAATGAGAATGTTGTGGATTGTGGAAACTGCCTGAAGAGAAAGGGAATGAACCTGCATGTGTGCCTGGGATTCTAAGCAGTTAACATGCATTTAATAAGATTGGTATCAACGCTTACAGAAGATAGGCTTACAAATGGAAATGTTCCTTATATTTAAAAAAAAATGTGTATTATACACACAAACACACACACACACACACAGAGCAATAAGTGCTTGTTTTAATAAGAGAAAGGGAGAGCCAACAGCCCCGTTAGATTCTATTGCACTGTTTCTCTGACTCTTTTGCTGGTCTTCAACAAAACATGTAATGACTCTGAGTTGTTTATGGATGAGAAGCTATCTGAGAGACTTGTAAATAAATGCTATGGTTTTCTCAAGAACATAAAATTCCTGTGTTAATATGTGATGAAAATTTCTCACTGGCCTGTTAGCTCTTTATGTAAGGGGGTATTTGGCCTTTATCTTAGTTACCGCTCATGTTGGTACAATTGGCAGAGTTGTTCTCAGCACTTGGCGACGTGTTGGGGAAGGAATAGTTTTTAAATTTTTGCATTTAGTAGCTATGGATTCAGAATGTGTCGTGTCAACAAAACAAGTGTTTGTAGGTACAGTGCAAGTGTACAGTCTGTACTGATTTGAAATACACCATTTTACTTGAAGACATGGCAAAATAGAGAATTCATCCAACTTCATATTACCAGTGCTATGACTGAGCCATTTTAAGACTAATGTGTATCACTTAAATAGTATTTCACATGTGTGACCCACTTCTCTAGAGTGATGAAACCTCAAAGCCTTTTCTTAGAAAATAAATTAATAGGTCACAGATTTGAGGTGTGCAGACAGGAGCCAGAGAACATCAAAGCATTTCATAGGCATATGGCTAACAAAATCATCAGTTTAAACAGTTGTTTCATGCTTGACACATATAATGATGGCTGTGGGTTATGTGTAAATTTTGGTGTACAATATACTACTTGCAACTCTTTCTCTCCTGCTCAAGAAAGCTTATCAGGAGATGAGTGACTGAGAGTGAATTTTAAAGAGAATTCACTCTACAGGTATGTTTTATCTCAAAATTACTTTGTACTGCTGCTACTGAATTATCTGTGTCATGCCTCCCAAGTGGAGCCACATCCTAGCTAAGAGAAATGCTCCTCTCCTGTAGCCACGTGGCAGATTACCTCTGTGCAGTGTTGTATACAGTTTCCGAGAGGGAGGTGATGGGGAGATTTGCAGCAAAAAACTACTGGGAGTGGATATGTCCCCATGTGGTTGGCAGCTTGGTTGTGGTGGTATATAAAATACTGAAGCTGCCTTGCCACTTTCTCAGCCATTTTAAGCAGTAGGCAAGACCTGGCATGCCCATGTCTGTTCCCGGGGCTGGGTGAAGTGGACTGATGAAATAGAGTGGTCAGACATATCCCCAGATGTGCAGCCCTCTGTTTGAAATGTTGGTGTCAGTAGCCACTTAGTCATGATTGACCAGGTCAGATTTTGTAACTAACTGATCTTTGGGAATTCACTAGGTGCTTTAAACCCTACCACAAATTAGGAAAGTAAATAGGGAATAGTAAAGTCCAAGCAGTTTCTGAAAATGGTAGAAGTGCTTGTTCCCGAAAGAAGGTATGTCAGGGATCCCATGACTGCCCTCAGCCACTGTAATTCACTAGAGGACTCACAGAACTCAGAAGCTGTTACACTTAGACTTAGGGTTGATTACTGTGAAAGGATACAGAATAAAATCAGCAAAAGGAAAAGGCATGGGGCAAGTCCTGAGGAACCTCAGCACAGGCTTCCAAGTGTCTTCTTCCAGTGGAGTCAAATGAGATGCTCTTACTTACTGTAGTGAGGATATGTCAACACATGCATAGTGTTGCCAACCAGGGAAGCTTGCTCAAGCTTCATTGTGTATAGTTTTTACTAAAGGTCGGTTATGTAGGCATGCAGCATCTCAATTGTTTAAGCACCAGCCAGCCCCACAGGGAAAAACCAGATGTTCACCATAAACCACATTGTTAGTGCCAACTCTCTGGACAAACTGGTACACTGTGGCCCAAGGCCTCAGGCATGCAAAACACTCTTATCATCTTGTGAGTCTTTTACTTTTTCTCAAATGTTTTCTGTTTCTTTATTTTTGGCTATATTTTACATTAATTACATTTTATTAAAATTTTGTGTAATTTTGTGTAACCACCGTCACGGTCAAAATACTTAATTGTACCATCCCATATCACCATAAGGCTTCCTTGTGTTATTCCTTTATAATCATACCCACTTCCTTCACCCCAGTTCTTAACCCGTTGCAACTACTAATCCGTTCTTTATTTTATAATTTTGTCATTTTAGGAATGTTATAAAAATTGAACTGTACCTAACCTTTTGGGATTGGCTTTTTTTCACTCAACATAATTTCCATGAGATTCATCCAAGTTGTTGCATGTATCAACAGTGTATTAGTCCATTCTCAACTGCTATAAAGAAATACCTGAGACTGGGTAATTTGTAAAGAAAAGAGGTTTAATTGGCTCATGGTAATTTGTAAAGAAAAGAGGTTTAATTGTAAAAGAAAAGAGGTTCCACAGGCTGTACAGGAAGCATAGCAGCTTCCAGGCTTCTGGGGAGGCCTCAGGGAGGTTTTCCTCATGGAGGAAGGCAAAGCAGGAGCAGGAGAGTGAGGGGGAGGGCCTACACATTTTTAAACAACCAGATCTTATGAGAACTCACTGTGCAGTACCAAAAGGGGATGGTGCTAAACCATTCATGAGAACTCCACCTCCATGATCCAATCACATCCCACCAGTCCCTACCTTCAACACTGGAGATTACAACTAGACATGAAATTTGGGTGGGGACATAGATCCAAACCATATCACATAGTTTGTTTCTTTTTATTGCTGAGTTGTACGCCATGGTATGGTGGTACCTTTGTTTAACCATTCACACATTGAAGAATATCCTACAGGTTATTCGAACATTTCTTAGAATTCCACTTTAATTATTCATAATGTTCATTTATAATGTTTTTTCATATATCACTTTTTAAGTTTTCATTAGTTGGTTGTTCTAGGAATTACTGTATACATACATAAGTTATCAAAAGTGCAGTGGTATCATTTTGCCACTTTAAGTGAATTATAGAAACCTTACTTCTTCCATTAGTTTCCCTTACCTTCTTCATTTCTTAAACATAATTTTTAAAAATATTTCCTCTGTCTTCATTGAGCAGCACATCAAATTGTGTGAAAATTTTTGCTTCAACCATAAACTTTGATTAAAGAAGTTCATGGGATGATGGATAGTCTATTGTACTGACCTCAGTTTTTACCATTTATGTTCTTTCCTTTCTGAATGTCCCAGCCTTCTTCTGTTATCATTTTCTTTCTGTTTGGAGACCTTCCTTTAGACATTATTTATGGGTAGGTCTGCTAGCAACAAATTTCTTAGTTTTCCTTTGTCTGAGAATATCTTTATTTCACCTTCATTACTGAAGGGTAGTTACGTTGGATATAGGATTCCTAGTTAACAATTGTTTTACTTCAGCACTAAGAAATATTGTGCCACTTCCTCTGGCTTCCGTAGTTTCAAATGAGAAATTCCCTGTCAGTTCAAATTTGTTTCCTCTACAGATAATGCCCCATTTCTTCTTGTCCTAAGTCTCCTTATGCCACTGGGTAGAGGGCCAGAAGCTACCAGGCTCAGGTGACATGGGAGGATCAACCTAATTGCTGTTGCCCCTGCTGTGGAGCAGGGGTCGAGTAGACCTGTCATTGCTTTGAACCCTCTGCAGGTGAATTGGACTGCCCAAGGGTACCTGAGTAGTAGAACACTGTGGAGTCAGGAAAGCCGTCTGGGGCTTCTTTGTTGATGCTGCAAATATGTTGGCCCATCAGCGCTGTGGTTGTGAAGCAGAGGTTGGGTTGGCTCACCAGGACTTTGAAGTTGCTGCTAAAGACAGATTGATTGGCCAACTGGTACCTCAGTTGAAGAGCTGAGATTAGAGCTCCCCACTTGGTCTCTGTTGTGCTTTGCATTTCCCTATCCTCTGGTGAGAGAAAACAGATTTTTCTTTTTTTCTATGCCTATTGGTTATTTCAGGCTGCAGACTCCTGCACTGCCCAGCCTAGCATATGTGTAGTCTCAAGAGTCTCACTGCATTGCCATTCTTCAAGTGCTGAGGCCTCTGGCCAGTCCAGTCTGCTTTCTTTCCAGCTTTCAGAATCCTTTAATAGTTATCTGTCTAGGCCATCTTGTTCCTACTTCCAATTTTTATAGTGGATAATGTATGTTCGTAAGTCTTTCTACAAGTAAAAAAGATTTATTCTGTTCCTTTACTCATCTTTTTTCTTCAGAGTAATTTTTTAAACAATAATGGCTATCATTTATTGAGCATTTATTTTTTAATAGCAGCTTTATTGAAGTATAATTTGCATCCCATACAATTCACTAATTTAAAGCATGCAATGAAATGGTTTTTAGTATATTTACCAGAACCAATTTTAGAACATTTGGAACTATTCAGATACTGCGGCCATTTTTTAATTGTTTCTTTTTATTATTGTATTGTAACAGTTCTTTATGTATTCTGAGACCTTTATATGATTGCAAATATTTTCTCCCATTCTGTGGATTATCATTCCAGTTTCTTCTTGGTGTCATTTGAAGCACGGAAGTTTCTAATTTTGAAGAAGCCTCATTTATCTATTTTTTTCCTTTAGTTGCTTGTGCTTATGGTGTCATGTCTAAGAAAGTATTGCCTAATCCAAGGTCATGAAGATTTGTGTCTGTGTTTTCTTCTAAGAATTTTATAGTTTTAGCTCGTATACTTAGACCTGTGATCCATTCTGAGTTAATTTTATATACGGTGTGAGGCATAGAGCCAGCTTCATTCTTTGTATGTGGTTATCCAGTTGTCACCATTTGTTGATTCTCCACAGTAAATTTTTTCTTTTTTTAAATAAAGTAAAATATATATGATATATAATATATCAATTAATATATATTTTATATATTTATATGTAAATATAAATATATATTTATAATATATAAATATAAATATAAAACATATGTTAATATATATTTTACATATAAATATCATATATTAATATATAATATTTTACATATAAATATCATATATTAATATATGATATTTTACATATAAATATCATATATTAATATATAATATTTTACATATAAATATTATATATTGCCCAGACCAGCTCGGCTGTGTAGAACCTAACCCAGCGGTGCTAGAGGAATTAAAGACACACGCACAGAAATATAGAGTGTGGAGTGGGAAATCAGGGATCTCACTGCCTTCAGAGCTGAGAGCCTTGAACAGAGATTTACCCACATATTTATTGACAGCAAGCCAGTCATAAGATTTAAAGGGATGGGCTGAAATAAAGGGATGGGTCTGGCTAGTTATCTGCAGCATGAACATGTCCTTAAGGCACAGATCACTTGTGCTATTGTTTGTGGTTTAAGAACACCTTAAGTAGTTTTCTGCCCTGGGTGGGCCAGGTGTTCCTTGCCCTCATTCTGGTAAACCAACAACCTTCCAGTGTGGGCGTCAAGGCCATCATGAGCATGTCACAGTCCTGCAGAGATTTTGTTTATGTCCAGTTTTGGGGCCAGTTTATGGCCAGATTTGGGGGCCTATTCCCAAGAATATATAATGTATAAATATACATTATATATAAGTATATACTAAGTAATATAAATATATTTATATAATATAATGTATATAAAATATATAATATTTATATATAATATAAATTTTTTTATATATTTACATATAAAACGATATATATCATTTCAGTCATTCATAAGTGTACAAGTCAGTGGCAATAAGTACATTTACAATGTATCATTGTAGCTATTGCCTCTATGTATATGAAAACCTTTTTTATCATCCTCAACAAAACTTCTGTACCCATTAAGCAGTGACCCTCTTTCTTTCCTCCCTCCAGCCCCTGGTAATCTCTATTCTACTTTTTGTGTGTATGAATTTGCCTATTCTAGTTACCTCATATAAGTGGAATCATGCCATATTTGTCTTTCTGCGTGTGGCTTATTTCATTAAGCATAATTTCCATACTAATGTTTGTGTGTTTCATTAATATGGTGTTTTTCTTTCCTCCCACTGGTTATTTTGTCACATACCTGGTATTTCTCATCATTCAATCATATATTAGTGTGATAAGTGGGCTGATTATTCTCAGTGTATTAAGTAGTAGTCTGCTACTCCCACCATCCCATCCAGAGGTGACGGAAATGTGATGGGAGTTTTGTCTCCTGGCTAACCTTATTGATGAGTCAGGGATCTGGTTGGGAACAAAGAAGACTCTTATCACCCTTGCCAAATGCCAGAACATGAAAGGCTTTAAGAATCTGTTGTTTGCAGTGGAAGCCTTAACTCATCCCAGCCAGCTTGTTCTATATATTTGGAGAAAAGCCCTGCTTTATTGCTGACCGTGATTCCCTGTGTGGTACATGGGGCTGGCCACTGTGGCCTTTAATCAGTCCTTCTATTCACTTCCGCTTCTCCCACCTTTACTCCATTGTGCTTGCAAATCCAGTGCCCCTCTGGGGCCCTTCTAGTTGGTGAGTCAGCTCCCATACCTGCTGCAGCACTTTGGTGATACTCTAAGTGGTATCGTTTGTTTTATGCAAGTTTTCTCTGCTCTGCTTTATTCGTTAATGCATTTTTATTTGCCATCTTTTACACTAGAAATGTATTTAAATACCTTGTTGTCTCATGACCTTCTTTCTTTTTTTCATTGCTCTGGCTTAGTCTTTTTTGTTTATTTTAAATCTGTAACTGGTCTTTTCTCTGGGGTCTGAAGAGAGATGAGAACTGAGAGCATATGTGCACTCTGCTCTCTGGAACTAGGAGCCCAGGCCTCACCTGCTGTGCTTGAGTCTTTCCTCGTTATTTCTGTTGAGTGTCTTTTTCTCCTTCTATACTCAATGTTTCTTCAGATCTTAGGGAATAAACTGAACACTGTGATATATATGAATAGAGTAGATATTTACTAAATAATTATGATGTCCCCAAATAGATACAAACCAAGTAAATTAAACACCAGACTTATTTATGTTGTCTGAGAAAGTCATATTTGAAAGAAAATTTACCCCAAACTGTTCGTTGGACCATCCTTTATTCTTATAAACAGGTGTTTATTCTTATAAACTTTATTCTTAGAAAAACAGTGTCTGCTTTTCTACCCCCACTTTTCTATGTCACATTTGATTTGGGGAAAATAAATTATACAAAATACCATATTATCCCATCCTATAAATTACTCCCGGAAAACAAGTCATGTGTTTAGAAGCTGTGCCATTAAGACTGATTTCTTTTGCATACTTTGTGTTACAACACTTGTCACTATTGCAGTTGTTGGTTTACATGCCTGACTTCCTCAAAGAGGTCCTGAGAGTAGAGAATGTGTCTTACTCTTGCCTTCTCTTAGCCTAGTTTGGTATTTGACAGGACCAGAGAATAGAAGTGATAGATACAATGATAACTACTATTGATTGTGTTTCTTTTGTTTATAGGCACTGTACATGCCACTTCTACCCACATTATATCTGATTTTAACATTTTTTTCTGAGACAAATATTATATCCATTTTACAGGTAGACAACGTGAGTCTCAGAGAGGTTTAGTAATCTCTCCAAGGTCCCACAGTTGTCAAGTGACAGAACCAATATGAAGGCGTTAACTGAAGAATGAAAGGAAGGAGGGAATGTCAAGCATTTGGAAGCAGTGATTTTTGTAATGGTGTGAAGGAGTTAACAGGAGAAATAGCTTGTTCTTGAACAGCCTGGCTGAATATCACATCATAGGAACACAGTTGCACCGGTGCCTTAGGATGCTGAGAGTTCTGTGAAAGTGATCTGAAAAATTAAACACAAAGATGCCCCATCAGTACAAAATGTATGCTGGGATTCATTATATCATCATGTTAATTATTTCCTTCTTTCTTCTTCCCTGTTATGCTAGGATGAAACCAAGTCCACAAATCTATAACAGTAATTTTAGTAGGGATTTTCTTCTTCCTTATCCAAAGGAAAACGCTTTCAGGAGGTGTTTACTCCCTCTCCCCATTCACCCTAACTTGTTCCTGTTAAAGGGCCCATCATCTTCTGTTGCCTAGGTAATTCTAGTGCCCACTGATTATCTACGAATGATACCTTCGTTGTTCATACTGCAGCGCCTCTGCCATGCTAATGTGAGATAATGGTTTCTTGAAGAGTGTTTGTTTCCAGCCTTTGCAGCTCATTCAAACTTGGGAGAGCTCTGGTTGCAGCAGAAACTGCAAGCAGCTGGCCATATGCATTTTATTGATTTATTGTATTTTGCGTTACAGTTGTCCACTAGGTATAAGGTGACCCTTAGAGAACATCTATTTATAGTAACTAGGGGTTGGGTTTCTGGAGTTCTATAGCAAATGGACTTATTTTTACATGTGTATTATACTAATTAGAATACAGAAGATTCCTGGTTAAATAGGAAAATACACCTAATACCTTTTTAAATGTTTTTGGAATATTGTCTGAAACTATTATATTTAACAGGCAATAGCCAGCCAGGAATTGCTTTTTTCTCCCTTCATTTTGTTTTTAAACCAATTTAAGAAAAATTGATGTTTTTTCTCAAAATAGATGTTGTTGGATGCAGCAGAATTTTTACATAAATAAGCCATTCTAGTGTCAAAGGAAGAATTATAGAAAAAAATATTCTGATATGAAAATGCTATTTCAATATTCAAGAGTACAAATAGGAAAGGTTTCATATTGTTGGATGTTCTGCCTAGCAAAATGGTTAAGAACACAGGAGGCACACTGCATGCTTCTGAATCCAACCTTGGGCTTAGCAGTTGTTGTTACTTGTATTTTGATAGTTCCAATGCAGACATGACAATTAATTGAGGTGCCCAGTAGTTAATATAAATAAAAGATGCAAGATTGTATTCTATTGAACATGGTTCATGGTGGAAATTAACCTATGGGAGCAGACAATTCTTGGAAGGCCAGGCTCCAGGCTTCATTCTTTCCCACAGTATAGGTAATGCAGATGCTGGAGTAAAGAGATGTTCTGGCCGGGCATGGTGGCTCACGCCTGTAATCCCAGCACTTGGGGAGGCCGAGGCAAGTGGATCACGAGGTCAGGAGTTCAAGACCAGCCTGGCCAACATGGTGAAACCCCGTCTCTACTAAAAATACAAAAATTAGCCAGGTGTGGTGGCGTGTACTTGTAGTCCCAGCTACTCGGGAGGCTGAAGCAGGAGAATTGCTTGAACCTAGGAGGCAGAGGTTGCAGTGAGCCAAGATTGTGCCACTGCAGTTCAGCCTGGGCAACAGAGTGAGACTCTGTCTCAAAAAAATAAAAAATATAAAAAAAAAGAGATGTTCTAGGAAGGGCAGGACAGTATAATCTAGCAAGAAGTTTAAAATGGTATAAAGTGTAAAGAATTTTGATTTCTTGGTTCAGGAAGGCTGACTACCTCATTGGCTGGGAGGAGCAGCAAAGCACTGGCAGAAATTCAGGTACTAGTTCTTTAGACCTTGTGTGATTCACTGCAGTATAATCTGGGGAAGGACTCCTAGCATCTCTGGAGTGTAGTTCTCTAATCTGTAAAATTATTTGGCTGGGTTTAATTCGTAAATCCCCTTCCAGCGCTTCTGTTGCTGGCTTCCATAATCTAGGTTATTGGTAACCTTTAAGTGACTTTAGTGGAGTAGTGTGCCCAGTCGCCAGACTGTAGGGAGTTAAAAAGGAATTATATGGTGGAAGACCATCTGCTCAGGAAGTTGAGTTTACTGCAATCCAAGAAAGGTTATAAACCCCTCCTAATTTGGTAGATACATTATATAGCACTCCTACAATATGGACTTGTAGCGATTTCCCTTTTTAAAGTTTTGTTCTAAATCTATTCAGTTTTTAAAGATTTATTAGTCTTTAAAAAGATTTAAGGATATTTAAGGTGATTTAAGGAAATCATGCATGTGGCTCAGTTTTATCTGGCTCAGTGTGTTCTAATGCTCTCAAATAGTTTAACCAGTTTGAGACATAATTTCTACTTAAAAGATTAAAAAATAACAACAACAACTTCACTAGCTTGGCAAAGAAATAAAGCGTTTGTGTGGGACCAAAAACCCAAGCATGGGAGTGAATTTGAGTACTGAATAGAAGTTCTTATGATTATCTTAGTAAAACAGAATAAAATAGTCAAGGCATCAAAGATGCTTCTGAGAGAGCCTAGCCTGAATATGCCACAGCCGCACAGAGTTTCTCCTCAGGTAATTCTGTCTGCTGTCTTGAAGGGTAATGAAGAGTCTCTTATCAATTGGTATTTATACCTGAGCCAATTAAAATTCAATGCCTTGATAAAAAAAATCCAGAACTGAGAAAAGTTGAATTGGAAGTCAAAAAAATGAGCTTAAACACATTTAATAACATCATTCTAATTAACCCATTTAACCTATTAAAATTAAAAGTTTCAATAATAGGCATGATGTATAATGAAATATTTCATCTACAGGATGGAAACTTCTTATACTCATGGCTAAAATGTAAAAGAAGGAAAAATAGAAGTAAGAAAGCAAGATTTATGGTCCAGAATAAAGATATACAAGGATTATTATGATCTAGTATTGTTTTAATGAATCTATATTTCTGACATTTTTCTCTAAGGAAAGAAATCTCAGTTATTCATAAATATGAATAAATTTGTGAACTTAACCTGAAATTTACCTACTTCACGTTTTTTCCTGTTTTGAATCTATTCACATTTTTAAAGGTCTAGTGATCTTTGAAGAAAACCTATCAATTAACGCCTTCTAGCTCCACCTTGTTTAATAATCTATATCCTGACAAGTTGCCCCCTTCTAAAACAAAGGATTGGGCTTTGGGAGTGTCTACTTTCTTGAGGAATGATTTTTCTCTCATGAGGTCCTTGGAGAGTTCCATGTATTTTTGCTGTCATGCAGGTGAATAAAATACAAGTATTTTTGGTCAGCTACTTGAGGCAATATTTTACTTTAATGGCAGAATTATTATGATAGAGCAGATCATGTGTATTGACACACCCTTGAGAGAATTCAGTTTCGCATTCAGTGACACCCAAGCTTTGAATCTGTGAAGTAGACTAGCCCATTTAATATGCCAATTAAAATGGATTGATCTACTTTGACAGTCTTTGGAGAAAAGGCCAATATGAAAGGAATGCTTTTTAGTCATAAGAGCTTATTTTCTGTGCTGCAAGTTTCCAAATTGAGGATGAAAGTCAGTACTTGTTTGCTAAATCATGTACATATTTATATAGATCTCAGCTAAAAACATATAGTACACTTGGTCTCTCATTTTTCAAATTAATGAGGAAGTGGGAGTTTCATGCTTTCTCCTCTAAATATACAAATGCATAGAATTTTGCATGAATTACTTTCTTAAAGATCAATGAACACTGCATATATGTGTAATAAATTTTTGTTTTTAAGGAAGTAATATAGTATAGTGGCTTTGCATCTCATACAGGCCTAGCTATAAAACCTGTCTCTTCCACTTATTAAATGTGTGACCTTGGACAATTGAATTAATCTCTCTAAGCCCCACTTTTGTCATATTTTAAATGGGAATAATGATCCCTAACTCAGGGTTGTGTTTATGATTAAATGATAGTTTATGTAAACCTCTTAACCAAATGTCTGACACATTATGCAAGCTAAATAAATATTATTGCTGTTTTTTATTTCAATAATTTATTATATAAGTAATATTTCTTTCTCATTAAAGAGATGAGAAAAAATCCTAAAAAGTCTAGAGGAAAACATTATATTTTCAACATTTCGGATATATTTTTTAGTCTGTATTCAACTTAGAAAGAAATTGAATGTTTAGCATTTAACCTGTTAGATTTCTTTTATCCCTTTGTGTGATTAAGACTATCACTGTATAGACAGAAGCCATTGTTTTAATGGCTTTTGAACTTGGTTTTTTTTTTTTTGGTTCCATTTTTTAATGGAGCTAATTTTTTAATTAGCTCCATATATTGACAGTTTTGATTTTTTTTTTTTTTTTTTTTTCTTGAGACGGAGTCTTGCTCTTGTTGCCCAGGCTGGAGTGCAATGGCTCACTGGAATCTCTGCCTCCCGGGTTCATGTGATTCTCCTGCCTCAGCTTCCTGAGTAGCTGGGATTACAGGGACCTGCCATCATGCCTGGTTAATTTGTTTTTGTATTTTTAATAGAGATGGAGTTTCACCAGGTTGACCAGGTTGGTCTCGAACTCCTGATCTCAAGTGATCCACCCGCCTCAGCCTTCCAAAGTACTGGGATTACAGGCGTGAGCCACCTCGCCCAGCCTGACAGTTTTGATTTGTTATAGATAAACCTTAATTGCTTATTTCTTCTTCTCAGATTACATTATTCTGTTGTGTCCTATACTTCTTAAGAATGGTATTGAATTAGAAATATCAGAATATAATGCCTAAGAAACCTGCCTTTTGAAAATGTTTTGTAGAAGCTCAATGAAGGCTACATATTCATATAATTCCTATAATTTTTGTATATTTTCATGAATAATTTTCATAAACTTTACGAATCTCCATGAGTTTTGAGCAAATATTTATATTTTAATGTTCTCCTCATTTATTTCTGTGAGCATCTTTATTGTTTCCCCAACCTTATTTAAAAACATCTTTTATGGGATCCTGTGGTTTATAGAACCAACTGGTTTATGAAGATGAATTGAAAGGGACACTGTAACATGGTCAGGTATCTGGACACTAATTATGGCTCCTAATCATATCATTAATCAGAAGAAACTATAAATTCAGCCCAAGAAGATGAATTTAATATGGCAAAGAAGAATGAATAACCCTATGTAGCAGAACATGAGCCCTTCCTTGTACTTAAGTCAAAATTGTGCAAAGTGGGAGATGGAGCTTTAATTTCTCAGAAGGGTTTATAAAAGTAAAATTAAAACTAGACTAATGGGTTCTAGTACATGCCAAGATCATTGCTTCTAATTACAATTGGAACTCTTCCTCTGAATCCCAGAAGACTAAGAAAAACCTCTATCCCCAGGCATTAACTCACCCAGCTTTTTTCCCTCTACCTTTGGCTGTTCCAATTGATATTCAGTCTTTCCTCTATATTTTGTACCTTTCTCTCTACTTACTTCTTTCCCTGACTGTATTTAAGTGCTCCGCAGCTATTCACCTCTCTCAAGGGCCTGTCTTACTTCCCTTCTTTCCTTCCCTTTCAGACAGCTTAGAAAAATGCTTGCACCATCTTCATGTCCTCAGTTCTCAGTCACTCCTTGTAATGCACAGTCTGGCTTCTTACACTGTCACTCTACAAAAACCACATGCAACAAGTTATTAATCTCCTCCTAATTTGATAACTCCAATGATCTCTTTTCAGATGCCAGTCTATTTGACTTCAAAGACATTCAACACAATTGAACACTCCTTCCTCCTTTAAACCCTGTAAAAGCATAGAATTAATCTTTGATTCCTGTCTGCCTGCCTCACCTCTTCTCTTCTAAATCCAGTCCTATCAGAATTCTGTTTTCTAAATAGTCCCCAAATATTTTCACTAGTTCCCTCTTCCCGCCTCTTCACTTCACTATAGTCCAGGTCACCATTATCTCTCAACTGCAGGCTCCAACTAATCTCCATATGTCTACTCTGCCCCGTGCAAGTCATCTCTATATGGCAGCAAGAGAGCCACCATCATGTGAGTTAATATGTATGTAAAGTGTTTAGGCAGGGCCTGGCCCATATAAGTACCATATATGTGTTTATTACTATTGTTGTAGAAATGTAGATTATATTGAGTCTTTTCCTTGTTTGAAACCCTTTTAAGTAGCTTTTCATTCCACTTAGATGAAAGCCAAATGCCTTGTTGCCTGTAGGGCCCTGTGGGGCCTTAGCTGTCTCCACCCTTATCTCTTGTCACTCTTTTGCTTGCCTGTTATGCTCCAGACACACTGGTCTCCTCTTAGTTTCTCCAGCACTTCAGGGTCTCTCCTCCTCAGGGCCTTTGCACACTCTTCCTTCTGCCTGAAGTGCCTGTTACCAGACCTTAGCACACTCCTTTTAGTCTCTAAGTCTCAGATTTAATGACACCCTCTAAGAGTTACTTTCTGACCATCAATCTAAAGTAGCCTCTGTCTTCAGTTACTCTAATATATTACCCTTTACTTTTATTATGTTTATTTATATAAATTTAATCATCTTTCTCACTGAAATGTAAGTTTAATTAGAGGACTTTATTGTCTTAATGACACATAGTAAAATCACTATTAATTGAATCAATTCATTAATGGCAAGTTTTTATCTTCGAGAACAGCTCAGATACCTTTTCTATAAAGTCCTTGTCAATTCCCTGAGGCTAAGTTGGATGCTCCCTGTCTTGCCCTCAAAGTACCCATTAAGAGCATCGTATTTAATATCCTACTGAAGTCCTTACGTAGTTGTCTTCTCTCTTATATGGTGAGTTCATAAAGAATAGAGAAAATGTTTCATTCATCTTTCTGCCATCCTAGTGCTTACTAAGTCTGGATGCATGAAAAACTCAGCAAACTCTCAAGGGTTCCTCACTAGCAGAAACCTTTCTAGTGTATAAAACTGTTAAATTCTCTCATTGATATAGAAAACCCTTAGGTTTACTTGCAAAGAGTGATGGTGGAGTATCTCCTCTGCAGTTGGGTCCCCTGTGTGAATCCGCACTAGAAACAGTTTGGCCTCAACTCAGTGAAGATGGCTCTGTGGTGCTAAAGGCTTGTTGGATTCTAGAGCCTGCTGGGTGCCTCTGTAGTTGTTGGGTTTGACCCAGTGATGATAAATCTTGCCTCAAGTTGGCCCTTGCATTATCTTTCCAGCCCAGTCTTTTTGTCATTTAGATGAGCATCAAGTGCCAAAGAAGAAAGTAGAGCAGGTTTTCATGCCCTTCCCCTCCAAGGCCTCTCTTCTTAGGTGGCTTTCACACTGTAATAACTGCACATATGGCCTTTGCATTCATTTCCACTCCTAAGTGGAATGCTGCACTTGGCAATTCTCTAGTGAACTGAAAAGTTTATGGTACAGCCAGTAAGATGCAGCAGTCTGACTTAGCGAAGAGAACTCTAGAACAAGTCAGTCCAGAAACAGAGATTCTGCTTCTGGGACTGCCACTAACTTGTAAAGGGACCTGGGCTATTTCCCCTCTCTGGGCCTCAGTCTTCTCATCCATCAAGTGGATTATGATTTTATCAAGGAAAGCCAATTTTCAGACAAAATCTTAAGTAGAATTTCAGCATATAAAATAGTTGTGCTGCTCTGGCTGAAATGGAGTCCTGCCACTAGTCTCTCTCGTAGACCCCTCCTACAGCCAAATGATAGAAATGGCCCCCTCCCATCTCTGACATTTTCAACTCAAATCCCAGGGAACAGATCCCGTTGGTACAAGCATCCGAAGGAGAAAAATTAAAAACACATCGGTTTACTGGACTTGCTTCTTTTTCTCCCATGATTCTAAAACCTGGTTTCTTATGGTTTACCACTAGGGACCTTTCTTTGCTTGTAACCCACCACCTGAGGTGTTTCTAAATGACCAAAAAACCTGAGAGTTAAATGACTGGATTCTTGGAATCTGTTCTCCCCTTTCTGCCTCTTCCTGCTCTGTTTCACCCTCATCTTACTTATCTTTCCTGATGTTGATCTTTCCTGTTGTGTTTCTATGGCGTTCTCGTCATTTGTTCTTCCCCTTTGTCATGATTAAAGCTATGAGAACACCGTAGGTCAGAGTTTCTCCACCTGGGTTCATGTGGCCATTTTGGCATTGTTTCTATGCAGTATGCAAGACTGTTAGCACTGTCATTTCCTTAAGATAAAAATATAGAAACACCAGTTACAGCAAGTACTTAGAAAGGGGTGAAACAGTTTTACAAATTACAAATCAATTCATTGTGACAAAGCGTTCGGTATTCTCTTCCACTATAATCGCAGTCATTGAAAGAACTGCTGTCAAAAAGCATTGCCTGATTTATTCATTTGGGCATTTGAAACAATGTGTTTGAGGTCTGGGAATACTTTTAAAAATTCATTTGTTTTCCTCTTAAATAGAAAGCTTATATAATCACTAATCCAATATATAAATACACAGAGCCTAAAGGACCATTTTCTCCCAGGCCAAGTTGACTCTTGAGCCAAGTTTAGCTTTTTAACCATGCTTGATATTGTTATTCCTCTGATATTTCTACTTAACTTTCCTCTGCTTTCCTATTAATTTTCACATGTTGCTGCTTTGGCTTGGTTGGAAATGTCAGAACAAGATGCCAGTGTGTCTCAGTCAGGACATGGCTGTGTTCAAACTACTGTAGCCTGTTACTTGGCTTCTATGGGAAAAATACTGGGGGTGCAGTGTTTCCAGTTGGAATTGAGATGTATAAAGCATCTGCCTGATTTCTTCAGCTAATGAGGTTTTGCTGAAAAATGAGTGTAATGAAAAAATGCTGGATGTTGGCAGGACCTACTGATGAAGTCTAATGAGCATAAATGAGTGTTCTGTAAGGCCCCCAAAGCAGAGGCATAGAATGTTTCAAATACACTGCCCTTGAGCAAGACCAGCCTGGAGGATGCATTTATTTGTTGGCTCCTTTTTCTTTCCTTCTCTCCCTCCTCCCTTGCCTTTCTTTCAATAAAAGACCTATGTAAGCCAGACACAGTAGATTATTTTATGCAATATAGGGCATATTAAAAATAAAACTACTGGCCGGGCGCGGTGGCTCATGCCTGTAATCCCAGCACTTTGGGAGGCCGAGGCGGGTGGATCATGAGGTCAGGAGATCGAGACCATCCTGGCTAACACGGCAAAACCCCGTCTCTACTAAAAATACAAAAAATTAGCCAGGCGTGGTGGCAGGCACCTGCAGTCCCAGCTACTTGGGAGGCTGAGGCAGGAGAGTGGCGTGAACCCGGCAGGCAGAGCTTGCAATGAGCCTAGATCGCTCCACTGCGCTCCAGCCTGGGCGACAGGGCAAAACTCTGTCTCAAAAAAATAAATAAATAAAAATAAAACTACTTAGACTAGGGCTCAATACAATTGCAAAAATTAGAATTATGAGCTTTACATGCTATATGATTTAACAGAAAAGGCAGTCGTTTTTATATTTGCTTATCAAGAACTAAAGAATTTAAAGTTCACATGGAACCAAAAAAGAGCCCGCATCGCCAAGTCTATCCTAAGCCAAAAGAACAAAGCTGGAGGCATCACGCTACCTGACTTCAAACTATACTGCAAGGCTGCAGTAACCAAAACAGCATGGTACTGGTACCAAAACAGAGATATAGATCAATGGAACAGAACAGAGCCCTCAGAAATAATGCCGCATATCTACAACTATCTGATCTTTGACAAACCTGAGAAAAACAAGCAATGGGGAAAGGATTCCCTATTTAATAAATGGTGCTGGGAAAACTGGCTAGCCATATGTAGAAAGCTGAAACTGGATCCCTACCTTACACCTTATACAAAAATCAATTCAAGATGGATTAAAGACTTAAATGTTAGACCTAAAACCATAAAAACCCTAGAAGAAAACCTGGGCATTACCATTCAGGACATAGGCATGGGCAAGGACTGCATGTCTAAAACACCAAAAGCAATGGCAACAAAAGCCAAAATTGACAAATGGGATCTAATTAAACTAAAGAGCTTCTGCACAGCAAAAGAAACCACCATCAGAGTGAACAGGCAACCTACAAAATGGGAGAAAATTTTCACAACCTACTCATCTGACAAAGGGCTAATATCCAGAATCTACAATGAACTCAAACAAATTGACAAGAAAAAAACAAACAACCCCATCAAAAAGTGGGCGAAGGACATGAACAGACACTTCTCAAAAGAAGACATTTATGCAGCCAAAAAACACATGAAAAAATGGTCATCATCACTGGCCATCAGAGAAATGCAAATCAAAACCACAATGAGATACCATCTCACACCAGTTAGAATGGTGATCATTAAAAAGTCAGGAAACAACAGGTGCTGGAGAGGATGTGGAGAAATAGGAACACTTTTACACTGTTGGTGGGACTGTAAACTAGTTCAACCATTGTGGAAGTCAGTGTGGCGATTCCTCAGGGATCTAGAACTAGAAATACCATTTGACCCAGCCATCCCATTACTGGGTATATACCCAAAGGATTATAAATCATGCTGCTATAAAGTCATATGCACACGTATGTTTATTGCGGCATTATTCACAATAGCAAAGACTTGGAACCAACCCAGATGTCCAACAGTGACAGACTGGATTAAGAAAATGTGGCACATATACACCATGGAATACTATGCAGCCATAAAAAATGATGAGTTCATGTCCTTTGTAGGGACATGGATGAAATTGGAAATCATCATTCTCAGTAAACTATCGCAATAACAAAAAACCAAACACCGCATATTCTCACTCATAGATGGGAACTGAACAATGAGAACACATGGACACAGGAAGGGGAACATCACACTCTGGGGACTGTTGTGGGGTCGGGGGAGGAGGGGGGGATGGCAATGGGAGATATACCTAATGCTAGATGATGAGTTAGTGGGTGTAGCGCACCAGCAAGGCACATGTATACATATGTAACTAACCTGCACATTGTGCACATGTACCCTAAAACTTAAAGTATATAAAAAAAAAGAACTAAAGAATTATATTCTATCAAAAAGCAGATAAGGCCTGTAATCGTAGCACTTTGGGAGGCCGAGGTGGGCAGATCACCTGAGGTCAGGAGTTCAAGACCTGCCTGGCCAACATGGTGAAACCTTGTCTCTACTAAAAATACAAAAATTAGCCGGGCATGGTGGCACATGCCTGTAATCCCAGCTACTCGGGAGGCTGAGGCATGAGAATCACTTGAACCTGGGAGGCAGAGGTTGCAGTGAGCTGAGATTTCGCTGCTGCACTCCAGCCTGGGTGACAGAAGGGAAACTGTCGCAAAAAAAAAAAAGAAAAAGCAGATAAGAAAATAGGTTTGTAAACAATGCTTGGAATTGAGTTTTCTTAAAACCTGATCTCAGGTGTCTGAAGAAGAGACTGTTGGTGAGATTTGGCAGACTCTACTCCCCATGAATGTAGCATGTTCCTGCACCCATGTGATTGTTAATTTTACATGTCAACTTGTCTGGACCACAGGCTGCCCAGCTATTTGGTCAAACACTATTCTGAGTGTTTCTGTGACAGTGTTTCTGGATGAAATTAAAATTTAAATCAGTAGACTGAGTAAAGCTTATTTTCCTCCTTAATGGGAATGGGCCTCATCCAATCAGCTAAAAGTCTGAAAAGAACAAGGCTGACCCCCGCTGAGGAAGAGGAGGATTCTGCCTGTGAGACTGCCTTCCAGCTGGGACATGGGCTTTTTTCCTGTCTTTGGAGTTGAACTGAAACATCAGCTACTCCTGGGTCTGAGCCTGCCAGTCTTCAGACTGGAATGACACTGTCTGCCTTCCTGGGTTTAGGCCTTCGGACTCAGACTGAAACTAAACTGTCAGCTCTCCTGGGTCTCCAGCTTGCCAGCTCACCTGCATATCCTGAGACTTGCCTGCCTCCGTAATTGTGTGAGCCAATCCATATGATAAATCTCTTTCTTCTTCTTCCTTCCTCTCTCTCTTTCCTGTTTCTCTAGAGATCTCTGCCTGCTATAGCAAGCAGCACATAATCTGTGAAATACGTACTGTGACATGTGCCATATTGATTTCAGACCTGGACATACGTGCAGTCAGGTTAAACTCTATCACTGACTAGATGTGTAACCTTTGACAAATTATTAAACCGCTCGTCACCTCAGTTTCCTCATCTTTAAAATGGGAGTTCTTGTGAGAATACTCAAAAAAGCTCTTGAATAACACGTGGCACATAGCAAGCTGTCAAGATGTATTAATTCCTTAACATTCCAAACCAGACTACAAAACAAATGTAAGCAAGAACATAATGAGATAACTCTTTTTTTATTGTACTTTAAGTTCTGGGGTACATGTGCAGAATATGCAGGTTTGTTACATTGGTATGCATGTGCCATGGTGGTTTGCTGCACCTATCAACCCGTCATCTACATTAGGTATTTCTCCCAATGCTGTCCCCCCGCTAGCCTCCCACCCTCCGACAGGCCCCAGTGTGTGATGTTCCCCTCTCTGTGTCCATTTGTTCTCATTGTTCAACTCCCGCTTATGAATGAAAACATGCAGTGTTTGGTTTTCTGTTCTTCTGTTAGTTTGCTGAGAATGATGGTTTCCAGCTTTATCCATGTCCCTGCAAGGGACATGAACTCATCCTTTTTTGTGGCTGTATGGTATTCCGTGGTGTATATGTGCCACATTTTCTTTATCCAGTCCATCATTGATGGGCATTTGGGTTGGTTGCTATTGTGAACAGTGCCACAATTAGTTCAACCATTGAGGAAGTCAGTGTGGCTATTCCTCAAGGATCTAGAGTCAGCAACACCATTTGACCCAGCAATCCCATGAGATAACTCTTATCAACAAGCTGTCGTGTATTTCCATATGTTGTAAATGGATGTCTATGCTTCTTTCTGTGTCACCCTCCTAGAAAAGACTCAGACACTTCTCACTGCCCCCTCCCCAAACCCAAACCTACTGATCTTTTCTTATAATAGTCCTCCAGTTACCCACATAATCCAGTGGTAGCAATGCCTCTGAATGATTTAGTTTGAGTGCTTAGTCTACTTTTATAAGCAGAATTAAAACCTGATGTTTAATGGTGCCACTGTGTAACCATAACCATTTCCAGAGATTTCAGTGTAAAAGGTTGACTAGCCTTAATTGATTATCAAAAGGTGTAAAGATGACATTAGTACATATGGTACATCTACAAAATGGAATACCAAGCAGTTAGAGTGAAAATGAGGACGTGTTCTATGTGTTAATATATGAAAAGAGTTCCATGATATACAATTATTAACTAGAAAAAGGTGCTGAGAGTAACTTTTGTGTAGAAATGTAAGAAAATAATATATATTTGCATTTGCTGTTGTAGGCATGAGGAAATGCTAGAGCAAGGCATAAATAATCATAGCAGTGATTGGTTGTTAGATGGAGGGGAACTGTGGGGATGAAGGCCCCAAATGGGAATGACATGTCACCAAAAACTTTTTCATAATTGTTAAATTTTTGAGCCTTATGAATGAATTATCTGTTGAAAAAATTAAATTAGAAAAAAAGAGCAAGGAAAAGAAACACTATTAGGGCACATTCACATTAAGTTTTCTCTGTGTGCCCTTTGAAAGTTGTATTACACTGTTTTATTTATAGCCCCCAGCTGCAAATATCCTGGCTTTACTACTTTGACCTGATTTGAGTAATTTAAAAACTAGAATCTAGACAGATAGACATGCAGTGTCTTAATTACCGTAGTTTTAAATTTTTAGCATGATGAGTTGCAATATTAATATAGTTAGTGCCCAGCTTATAGAGAAGTTATGCTATAAAAGTTCCTCTTCCACCGTACACTTAAAAATGGTTAAGATGTTAAATTTAGGTTATGTGGGGTTTTCTTTACAATGAAAAAATCTTAGAAAAATACAATCTGACTTTATAGAAATGAAAATTTTGAATGAGAATATTTCTAACTACAGGGTTTTGGTCCTAAACCATATTGTTACTCTGACATGTACACTCTTTTATAGTGTATATAAATGTGTACATTTTACTGATTATTTTCTTTTGTTAAAAGTATCCTTGTTTATATTTGCAAACATTTGTTGGGTATGCTCAAGGGAAGATTTGTGTATTGCTAATAAATGTAACCAGCAATACTAAAAAAAAAAGTTCCTCCTCCAAACCGTCAAATGAATAACAATTGCTTTTCTTTTAGTGCAAGGTGGTTCCTACATCCTAAGTGAGAAAAGTAAGCATGAGGGGCCCCTGTAGTTTCACAGACCACTCATACACATTCTAAAAGCTAAATAACCCTTCCAAAGGCATGGCATGAGGTGATCCAAGACTCGTGCCAAGTGTCTCATACAGGCAGTGCCAGCTATTCCTAGTAGGGACAAAAGATATTTGGATACCCTGGTGTTTGGGGGAGTTTGGGAGGAGACTAGGTTAAAAGAGCGAGTCAGGATCTGGATAGATAAAGGAATGGAGAGAGCAGTCCAAACGTAAAGGGACAGTGGACAGAAACATAAGATGGACATGAGTGAACTGTTTTTTAGTGGAGTACTCTAAAACAGATGGGAGACCAACAGGGAACAGCAGGTAGTCCCTGAGCTGTAAAAGTCCTCGAGAAGTTTGGGCTTTATTTGGGAAACATTAGTTTTGGGGTAGAGGTAATATCCTAAATATTGCATAACTATATCTGTTTACTAACTCTTCTCTGTCTCTTTTCTTCATGCATTCAAGAAATATTTTTTGACCACCTCCTTTGTGCAAATCATTGATACAAGAAAATGAACCTGACCATAAATCGCAGACAATGGGCAAAGGCAAGTGTGGAGCAGAAAGCTGAAGAAGCCTATTGCAGTGACCCAGGGTTGTGGTTGTGTTGCTGGCATTGATAGATGGCTAATTTTTTTTGGACACTTACTATAGGCCAGTGTTAAATGCTTATATATTATGTATTATTCTCATAACCCTAGGAAATAGTTATTTTTATTATTCTCAATTTATAGATGAGGAAACTGCAGCTTATTGAGGTTAAGTGACATAGTGAGTCACACAGCAAATAATAGTATAAATATCATTGTGTAACAGATCAAAGTTTGCAAATATTTTACATGCCCTCTTTTGTTTGATCCTCTCCTTTTGTGGTAGGCACTGTAAATATTTTTCCCATTTTACAGACAAGCAAAGAATTGAGAAACTTGCATGGGCAGTCATTCATCAAATAGTAAGGATGCCTACTATGTTCCATGTGTGGGGAGGTGGCAGTAGACCAGCTAGATCAAGTTCCCTGCCCTCAGGGAGGTACTTTCTGAAGGGAATGAATAACAATAAATGATATAATTTCTGTATCGGACAGGTACTATGAGGCAGACAAAATAAGGTAAAGTGGTAGACTGGGGTTGGAGATGCCTGAGGAGAACAACTTTGGCCATGGTGGAGAGAGGAGGCCTATGTGGCAGGGATGATGGTTGAGACCTGTATGACCAGAGAGCATTCATTCTGCAACCTGGAGGAGAAAACACACCAGACAGCTGTAACCAGTGCACTTGATGGGAATATAGTTGGTATGTTCAAGGGACAGAGAGGACCCAGGGTGGCTAAAACATGGTGAAGAAGAGAAGGGAGAATAAGAAAGCAGAGGCAAGCATGCCAGAGCTAGATCATGGAGGGCCTCTTGGGCCTGATAAGCAGTTTTGTTATCATTTTACAGGAAGTTACTGGAGAGTTTTAGGCAGGGTGTTCATAAGCATGTGCATGTGTGGGTGGGGTGGAGTAGTAGTGAGATGATCTGATTTACACTTTTTAATTACTGTTTTCAGGATGGACTGCTGTGAATGGGTGGGATGGGGTTTAAGACTGAGGTAAGTAGACCAGTTACTTAACCAAGTAAAAGATCATGGTTACTTTAAGTAGAGTAGTATTAGCAGTGGAGAAGGAGAGAAGTGGTGTGTTTGAGACATATTTTGGAGGTAGAGCCAATACGAGTTCTTCGTGAATTAGCAGCACGTCACAGAGGCATACAGTATACTATAATGGATAAGTAGATTGGATTGCGCATGTTTGAATCTCCATGTTGCCACTTAATAGCTTTATGTATTAGCTGTATGATGTTGGATAAGTTTTTTAACCACTCTTTGCCTCAGTTTTCTCATCAGTAGATGAGAATAATTATAGTAACCTACCTAATAGGGGTGTTTAAGAGTATATAATTTAATATAGCCACCTGATTCTCAATAAGTGTTCTCAGTTTTTGTCACTGTTTTGTTTTGGTTTTTTAGCTGTTTTTGGTTATGGGGTTTGAAGGAAAAAGGAATTTAGGATGACTTACACATTTTTTGGCCAGAGCAAATGAGCTCATAATATGGGGTCTTATAGAGATAAGGAATGCTTTGGGAGTCAGTAGATTTAAGGATGGAGATCAGGTCAGTTTTGTCCACAGTAATCTAAGGCACCTATCAGATGAGCAGGATCATTGCTGGAGGAAGTGACAAGATAGGACTTGTAGGTAGATCTTTCAATCTAAAGTCTGCCTGCTTTCTGCTCTTTGAGAGGCAGGATAAGTGAGTGACTATGAGCACAGAATCTGCAGTCAGACTGCCTGGGTCTGAATTCTAGCTCCGCTAGGTCTGTGTCCTTGGATAAATTGCTTAAACTTTCTGTGCCTCATTTTTAAACCTGTAAAATGGGATAATAGTTTGATAAAGCACTTAAGCAGTTCCTGGCATGTGGAGTATAGTTATATAAAGTGTTCGCTGTTGTTGCTACTTTTAAATCCTGAATATTGCTATAGAAATGCAAAGAAAACAACATTCAAGATACTGTGTGAAGGAAGGACTAACAGGATTCTGGTGACTAATTGCATATGGAGGTTATGTAAAAGGCATCAAAGATGATTCTGAGGTTCTGAGCTAGAGTGACCCATTAATTGAGGGTTAAAGGATAAGAACCTGTTTGGGATGGAGGTGGGGTTGATGATGAGGAGTTGAGTTTTCAATCTATTAACTTTGGAAATAGCCAAGAGAAAATGTCCAGAAAACAGTTTAAAATGTGGGAACTAGAACTTAAGAGAAAGGTCAAGACCAGAAATATAAACATGGAAGCATCTGCTTATAATAGCAGTGGCAACCTGTCTAGGGCAGCCACTGTGGGGACACCAGCTGCAGCAGGGGAAGTGTGGCCAGGGCTGCACACTTCATGGAGCCAGAGGGGGCCAGGAGGAGGCAGGAGCCCCACTCCCTACTGAGTTGGTGGGGCAGGGGCCCCATGCTCTCAGGTGCAGCTGCAGCTGCCCAGCCGCAGCTCCAGACCCAGGCATCACTGCACTCTTGGGGGCCTGGGAAGCCCCCGGTCCCCACAGGTTCAGAAGTGCCTGCTCCCATTCCCCACTCCCAGCACCTGCAGCAGTACGGAACAAAGTTGTGACTGAGCCTGGGTGCTGATGCAACACAGCTGGGTGTGCGCACGCTCAGGGCAGTGTTGACATGCCATCCCCCTGCTGCCTCAGCCCCCTCTGGGCTTTGAGCGCCGATGAGCACAGGAGGGAGGCCGGTGGGGCTAAGGGCAGCTTGTTGTGGGCCTGCAGGTATCCCTTGGCACAAACAGCCTGGGCACCATGGACAGCATGTTGATGATGGCAGGAGGAAAACAGGCTCCTGGGCGGGTCCCTGGTGAAACCCTGCCTTCAAACCAGGGATGACCTGAAGCCTGGGGGCCGGGCTGCCACCCCTGGGTGGAGTCTGCAGCCCAGAGTGAGAAACTGTGCTTTTTCCGGGCCCACCCATGGCCGCCCATGGACCGATCAGCATGCGCTTCCTCCCTTCTGAGCCCATAAAAACCACCAGACTCAGCCAGACTTGGACAGATGTAGGGACTACCAGCTGCAGGAAAGAGTTACCCACTTCAGGTCTTCAGGTCTCCTTGACTCATTGGGATGAGCTGCCTGCAGAAAGGAGCTCCCACTGCGGGTCTCCTCTCAGCTGAGAGCTGGACACTCATCGGAATGGCCTGCCTGCAAAAAGTAGCTACCCACTTTGGGTCTCCTGGGAGCTATTATGTCACTCAATAAAGCTCCTCTCCGCCTTGCTCACCCTCCAGTTGTCTGTGTACCTCACTCTTCTGGACATGGGACAAGAACTTGGGACTCACCAAATGGCAGGACTGAAAGAGCTGTAACACAAACAAGGCTGAAACACGCACCCCCCACCCAACACCTGGCTCACCCTCGGCAAGTGTGGGATCCAGGCTGGTAGTGCAAGCTGAGCACAGCCTACAGGCCAAGTGGGTGGAACGAGCCCAGTAGGTGTGGGCAATATTCAGGTAAAAGGCTCCACCAGCCACAGAGGTTTCTGGCTGGCAAAGCAACACCCCAAGGATCCCATGACACTTAGAGATAATAGCTTAAAGCTACTAGAGTGGATGAGATTTGAGAAAGAGAGAATGAATAGAATGAATATGTGACCATAGACTTGTGTTAGGATTATGTATCTCCAAAGACAGGGCAGGATAGATTGTAGAGGGCAGAAGTACAGAGGCAAGAAAGGTAAGGACATAGTTATAGTCTTATATTTGAGAAATGAAAGGAAAAAAATGGGTAGTAGCTAAGTGTCTTAGTTTGTTCAGGTTGCTATAACAAAATACCATAAACTGGGTGGCATATCAACATCAGAAATTTATTTCTCGCAGTTCTAAAAGCTGGGTGATCCAAGATCAAGGTGCTGGTAGATTGAGTGTCTGGTGTGGGCCTTCTCTCTGGTTCATAAATGGTGCCTTCTCCCTGTGTCCTCACATGATGGAAAGGGTGCAGGGCCTCTTTTATAAGGATACCAATCCTGCTCATGAGGGTTCCGCCCTCATGACCTAATTACCTCCCAAAGCACCCCTCCCCATTCCCCAGCCCCTTATCCCCTGCCAATACCATCACCTTGGGGGCTAAAATTTCAACCTGAATTTCAGGAGGAACATGCACATTCAGACCATAGCATTAAAGAAGGTGTTAAGTCACCTGAGGATGTCTTTAAAAAGATGTTCAGAATCATTTGGGGAAGAACTAGCCATATAAAAAAATAGGATGACAGATAATCCAAATGTCTTAGAATGGTGGAAGCCAATGGGATCTAGGGCAACATAGGCATTATAGCAAATCTAGACAAGGAAGAGGGGAGCCGCTGTCCAAGGATTGGTGTGAAGATAGCAATAAGCAAATGTGCAACTACAGCAAAAATTAACATCCTTTATTGAGTGTTTTTGTGTGAAATACTGTGCTTAGCACTTTGTTCTCTCCCTAAGTCTTCAGTAGTTCTCTGAGATAGGGACAATTATTATATTCTCTGCAGAAATGAAAAATTGGAAACCACTTAAATATCCATCAACATAAACATTTTAAAAATAAAGTATGGTATATCCACAGTATATCATGTCCTTCAGTCACTTTTTTTAAATGAGGTAGATCTGCCAAAGAAAGATACCAGTAAAATACTTTTACGTGATAATAAACACACATGTGAAAACTTATCTGTTATCCATCTCTCCTAGTAGACTGAACTCCTCAAGGAGGGACATTGTGTCATATTCGTATTCTAACATGGAGTCTTGTGGATTAGTGTCCACTTGATCAGATGAATGAGCAACAAATGCCTGTAAAATGGAGATTACTGGTACCACACAGGGCTTGAGTATGTGTATATACGTGTGTGTGTGTGTTTGTCTGTAACCTATAAGCAGAAATTATTACAATATTGTTAGGAAAAATGCCATTCAGAAAAGAAGGTATTAGTTACTATTAGGAAATTAACAGAGAGACTTAATGGGTTTTGGACAACAATGGTGGTGGTTTGCTGGATGCAGTGGCTCACACCTGTAATCTCAACACTTTGGGAGGCCAGTGTGGGCAGATCGCTTGAGCCCAGGAGTTCAAGACCAGTCTTGGCAACATGGTGAAACCTGTCTTTACAAAAAATATAAAAATTAGCCAGGTGTGGTGGTGTGCACCTGTAGTCCCAGCTACTTGGGAGGCTGAGGTGGGAGGATCACCTGAGCCCAGGATGTCTAGGCTGCAGTGAGCCGTGATCACTCCACCACTCCACTACACTCCAGCCTGGGCAATAGAGTGAAAACCTGTCTGAAACAAACAAACAAACAAACAAATCAATGGTGGTGGTTTGAAGAAAATGGTAAAAACAGAACAGATAGTTTCAACTTTGGCAGTGAAAGGAAGAGAGTTTTACGAGTGGGGCTGCCCGTGCTGAATTCTTTCTCTCAATGGTGAATGGGGCAAAAGGTCCCACTTGGGCTGGAGTTGTAAGTCCAAGCTCGTTGTGGTAGATGGTTTGTGAACCAGACTATTTGAAATGCTTAGTTTTTACAACAAAAGAGCTCTTCAGCCATCTGATAGTCCCCTAACTAGATGCTCAGTATGATTCAACATGTATAGAGGCCATTTTAGATCTGAGTACTCTGTCATACAAGTGGAAACAATATCCTAAACAGGCCTATGATTCAAAAAGAAGATTCCAGTTTGCCAATTACAATCTATAAACTGCCTTATTTATTGTTATTGAAATATCATCTGTATTCTGTATGTTTTCATTTGCTTTTTATTTAAGAATCCCACAACTGTCCTGAAGATTGTACATAATGGCCTATTCTAAGGTTACTCATCCTTTTAAAGCAGTAAATACTAGATCTCATCCAAGAGAAATAGGGCTTAATTTTTTCATTTGTTAGAAATCTTGATGAGGCTTTGAAAACAAGTTTTTTCTCACCCTTTTGGAAAACATTTAATTGTGAGGTCTTTATCAAGTAAAAACAGAATTTATAACATTTTAAATGGGTATTTGTTTTTGTTGGATTGTTAAATCACATTTTCTCTTACACATTCATTTAAATCACATGAAAGTCTGCGTGAAATGGCACTTTGACGATGATTCTGGGAACCATCCCTTTGATTGTATGGTATTTACTGCTGATATATGTATGCTGGTGTTTCTTGCCTTCCATCATACATAAATTTCAGTGTTATATTGAATACCATAGAGAGGAACTGATTGATGATAAATCAAATATTTTACAGCATATTATTGGGACTGTTGGATCCATTACTATAAAAGAGTTATGTTTGATCAGTATTTTCAGAGCTCCCTAATACTGTAATTTATTGGTGCTTCTTAATGTTCTCTGTTAATTATATACAGGTTTCAAAATTGGGTTCAATTTAACAATGTATAATACATGTTATAGCGAATCTTTATCACACAAAAAATGAGTAGCAAATATCCAACACTGTCTTTGATTAGAACTATTAAGTCCAACAGCTTGCATTTAATGAATATAATGTAATTACATAGTCAACTGGGTAGTTCATGCTCTATTATAAGAATTATATATTAGAATAAAGTTATTTTGATGTATAAGGTGCCAAAGGAAAACTGGTTAACAAGAAAGGGAATAACCTTATATGTGGTTAAGATGTCAAATGAACAATTTTAACTATCATTTTTTTTTTACAGAGAACACATAAATTGGGTTTTTATTTTTAGTTCCTCCTCTTCCCTTTAGAGTTAAATGATGGAAAATGACTCTCGGTCCCCAAACTGCTCTTATGCATCATTCAAAATAGCCCTGACAGGCTAGCCCCTGTGGTAGTGATGAGGTTTATGGCTTTCCATTCCTTTGTGTTCCATTACTCTGTCTATATCATCAAATTGATTAGTAGGCAGTGGCGAGCAAGGAAAGAAAGGTGGCCGCTGAGAGCCAGCTGGTGTCCATCATTTTAATGAACTGCTTAGAGATGGTTAATATTGTCCTTGTTTCTCATTGTAGCTGATGATGACCAGATCTTTTAAAATGTTTTCCCCCTCCCTTATTCTGCATTACAGGGCCCACTGGAAAATGACTTGGTAGTTCATGTGGCACTTATAGCAGAAAGCCAAAGGTATGAAATCCAAGTGGGTGGTGTGTTTTTTTGTGGGGAGGGGAGGGGAGGGGAAATGATTGCTTTATGTTTACAATATTGATTATGGTAGAAGAGATTAACTTCAGAAACTCCTTTACAGGCTTTCAAGGATATCATTAATATCACTTTAAATGACCAGCATATTCTTTTCGTGTTTAAAAATAATTTTGTTTTAGTTGAGGTGAATATTAAAGACTGACCAGTGCCAGTGTTGCCTGGGTTGTAGTTTCGAGAAATTCATGCAAACACATGGGGATTACCAAAATCAGTGCTTTCCCTCCCTGTCAGCCCCTAATGTTTCCATGTGATGCTTCATGGAGGATCCATATGGGCCTCTGAAATCTAGTGCAGATGGCAAATTGCTAATACTAACAAATTAATAATGCCCTCCAAGTTAACATGTTCCCTTTTATCCTCCTCCTTCACTGCTTCCTAAACTGTAAATGCATTGTCTTAAAACGTCTCTTTTTATCCCTATGATCTTTAGACTTCAAGTTTTTCTGAACACATATGGTATTCAAACTCAAACTCCTCAACAAGTAGAACCCATTCAGATATGGCCTCAGCAGGAGCTTGTGAAAGTAAGTGATTCTGCCTTTTACTTTCCTTACTTTGTAGAGGTACTAGAGCTTGATGGTTGGACTTAGTTTACAGACAAGTCACACAGTTAAAATCTGATTCTGATATAGGACCAGTAATCCAAAAGCTTCTAATTAAATTGAGAAGTCCACTTTAATGGACATTGTTACTAAAAAAAAAACTTTGCACTGTGTATATGTGTGTGTGCATGTGTGTGTACGTTATGTTTATAGGTCTTGTTGATTCCTACTTCTTTCTAAACTCTATTACTAACCTAGGCTGAGCAGTTAAATAACAAGTTAGTCTTAATTTTAATAGGAATAAAATTATTCTTATATTTTGATTTGATTTTTTTCCTCTTATCAAAATGTATTCTTACATTTTGATTTGGTTTTTTCATCCTTTTATCTTTGATTTTTTCGCCTTTGATTATCAAAAAATATTTAGGTGTGAGAAGGTTTGTTTAAAAAAAACGTACTCATACCTAAATATTTTTGATATTCACTACTTTCCTTTTTTTCTCTTGCCTTACTGTTTGGTGTCTGAAGTAATTTCAACCTCTTTGGTTTGCTGGGTCTCAAAGCAATTATAAAGTAAAAGTAACATCTGTATTTATCATTGATGTAGTTCAATACCTATTTGGGATGGAATTAAAAGGTGACATTTGAGGCCTTTTGCACGCACTGCTCTGCAGATGGATCCATTATTGCCTATGCTTGTGAATGTTCTTGCTCGTTAGAGACACGACATTGTTGACTCCTACCCACTACTTATTTATACACTGCCATTTTTATTTAGTAATTGTTAAAAACAACATAAGAACAAACTGCTCAGTGTTTAGTAGAAGTCTTTGTAACAGTGTATCTCAAGTGGACATGATTAAGTTTATTAGGTTAAATATAAATGGTTGTAGTCAAAGTCTTGTTGCTATAACAGAAAAATGAAGGCTTAGAGAAGAGAGGTACATGTTACATGGGAAAATGCAGGACTCCAGTATCAGGCCTGGATCTTGACATTAGGCAACACAAACCAGAACCTGGGTGTCAGGTCACCAAGAGCACCAGCTCTTGGAGAGTCCTTATACCTTCTCCAATAAATTTAACCACCACTACCCTGCCAAGAGATAAAGCTGAAAATACAAGGATCCCTAGAGTAGGTAACAATTTAAACTCACGCCCAGATGTACATAATGGTACAAGGCAAGGAGCGGAGGCAACGTGGAGGGAGAGAGAAGGATGCCAAAATCTAAGGCTCTTATGCTGTGCTCTTAGTATTCAGCTGCAGGCTGTCGGCTGCTAATACACTTTTATGCTCTCCTGCTGAAAGCTCTAGAGAACGCCAACAAAGCTTATTCTTTGATAAACATACTCTTAAAACAAATTAACCCAAATCTGTTTTTTCTAGTCTAATTAATATTAGCAACTTATTTTAATAGTAGGTGAGTTTATATCCTACCAGACAACATGCAGTCAAGATTTAAAAGGCTAACATGGTGAGCAAATGACTTGAATGTGGTATTCATTCATTCAGCAACAAACACATGCTATATGCAGAGCACTGTGTAGGACACTCATATGAAATGACTTTGTCCCTGTTCTCAGTGACCTCTGGGTTTATTGGTTTGACAGGAAAAAAACAGTGAATTACAGTTCACTTTGATAACTGTTATAATAGATGTTCATACAAAGTGCTTGTGAATCAGAGGCAGTAGAAGGCATTCTGTTACAGAGCAAGTAAAGACTTACAACAGTTCCTGGCTTATTTTACATCTTGTTTTAAAAATGGTGTTAACAAATGACTTGCAATTTTGGTGTAGTGTGGCTGAAAAGACAGACTTGTGAGCAAGAGCCAACCTTCCTGTGCATGTGTTGAGATGGAAGATTGTTTTTTGGTTGTAGCTGTAGCCTCTGTGTTCCTAAGTAGCTGCTCTTTGGATATATACTAAGATATATTGCCTAGTATTCTGCTCCTTATAAGTCTGCCTTTTAAAAGTAAAGGTGTTCCCTCAAATCTTAGCTGATGCACATATTCTTATGCCAGCGGTTGCTCCCTTTCTTCTGAGAAGCCACTCCCTCCTTCAGCCCACTGAAGAGGATGTGAGGGCAGACAGCTGAGAGCAGGGCTTTTACACAGCATGTGGTTAATATTCATGATGTGATGACTGTAGTGTGATTTGCTTCATGGGGATCTGAATACAGAATTCTGCTCTATGTATTTCCGGGTAGTTTCTGCTCTATGTATTTCCGGGTAGTTTGGTCACTACTGTGTCTTTCGGTGCACTAAATGGTATGAATGTGTACAACATGGGGGCAGTGTTATATGCACCCTGGAATGTGGGGAGCACTAAATAAATTGTCACAGACCTGCCATACCATGGTTCAGAAAGTTGAGAATCCTTTTACTGTAATAAAGAGTAGTATTTAAAGGACGCCCACCTAGATCAACACATTTTACCATACATTTATTTCTGAAAATTTGAAACTATTAATATATGAGGGAAAGGGGGCTGCATCTAGTGTTATGTGCTATGGTTTCAGTGCAGCTATGCAAAATAATGCTTACAAAGCACTGTTTCTGGCCAGTTGACTTTGTCTAAAACCACTGCTATTCCAGAATCAATATTCACAGCATGTGTGGCTCAGGAGAACATTCAGTTGCTCCCTCATTCATCTATCAAGTATTTCCTGAGCACCAGCTACATACTAGGCACAGTGCCAACTTGGGCTGCTGTTCTACAGGAATGTACAATTCGAAAGGAGAAAGAGATACAAACCCAACTCTCACATAGATGTGTGCACTATGTCAGTGAACAGAGAGCTCTGGCAACACCACTAATTTTGTATACAATGAAGTTGTTATTTGAAATCGGTCCAAATCACAATCAGTAGATTGTGTAGAGATAGTTGGTTTGATTTTCCATTTAGGAAAATATAGGTTAGATGTATTTCTGTCATTAAATGTAAAAATAAATTGCAGACAGATCAAAAATTGAAAACTTTTAAAATTATTTAAATATAAAAGCACTAGAATAAAAAAATAAGAGAATATGTTTTAGCTGTTGGGAAGGGAAGTCCATTTTTAGAATGATACCAGTGCCAAAAAGCCATTGAGGAAATGATTGACAAATACTGTATAACTAAATATAGCAAACAGCCTGGCATATCAAAGGTGCTTGTGAAATTTTCTAGTAGAAAAATGTTTATATTGAAATACCACATGTTGAAATGAGATTCCACCTACTGTGCAGTCATTCTCACATTTCATAACAACACTGAAGAGGAGCAAACTGGGCAAAGTATTTGATTTAAGGGGCAATACTCTTAATATACCAAGATTTCTTGAAATAAAAAAGAATGCCAAATTCCCCATAGAAAAGGGAACAAATGAAAAAAGTTTGAGTTCATTGTAGATTCTGGATATTAACCCTTTGTCAGATGAGTAGGTTGCGAAAATTTTCTCCCATGTTGTAGGTTGCCTGTTCACTCTGATGGTAGTTTCTTTTGCTGTGCAGAAGCTCTTTAGTTTAATTAGATCCCATTTGTCAATTTTGGCTTTTGTTGCCATTGCTTTTGGTGTTTTGGACATGAAGTCCTTGCCCACGCCTATGTCCTGAATGGTAATGCCTAGGTTTTCTTCTAGGGTTTTTATGGTTTTAGGTCTAACGTTTAAATCTTTAATCCATCTTGAATTGATTTTTGTATAAGGTGTAAGGAAGGGATCCAGTTTCAGCTTTCTACATATGGCTAGCCAGTTTTCCCAGCACCATTTATTAAATAGGGAATCCTTTCCCCATTGCTTGTTTTTCTCAGGTTTGTCAAAGATCAGATAGTTGTAGATATGCGGCATTATTTCTGAGGGCTCTGTTCTGTTCCATTGATCTATATCTCTGTTTTGGTACCAGTACCGTGCTGTTTTGGTTACTGTAGCCTTGTAGTATAGTTTGAAGTCAGGTAGTGTGATGCCTCCAGCTTTGTTCTTTTGGCTTAGGATTGACTTGGCGATGCGGGCTCTTTCAAAAAGTGGGCGAAGGACATGAACAGACACTTCTCAAAAGAAGACATTTATGCAGCCAAAAAACACATGAAGAAATGCTCATCATCACTGGCCATCAGAGAAATGCAAATCAAAACCACTATGAGATATCATCTCACACCAGTTAGAATGGCAATCATTAAAAAGTCAGGAAACAACAGGTGCTGGAGAGGATGTGGAGAAATAGGAACACTTTTACACTGTTGGTGGGACTGTAAACTAGTTCAACCATTGTGGAAGTCAGTGTGGCGATTCCTCAGGGATCTAGAACTAGAAATACCATTTGACCCAGCCATCCCATTACTGGGTATATACCCAAAGGACTATAAATCATGCTGCTATAAAGACACATGCACACGTATGTTTATTGCGGCACTATTCACAATAGCAAAGACTTGGAACCAACCCAAATGTCCAACAATGATAGACTGGATTAAGAAAATGTGGCACATATACACCATGGAATACTATGCAGCCATAAAAAATGATGAGTTCATGTCCTTTGTAGGGACATGGATGAAATTGGAAACCATCATTCTCAGTAAACTATCGCAAGAACAGAAAACCAAACACCGCATATTCTCACTCATAGGTGGGAATTGAACAATGAGATCACATGGACACAGGAAGGGGAATATCACACTCTGGGGACTGTGGTGGGGTCGGGGGAGGGGGGAGGGATAGCATTGGGAGATATACCTAATGCTAGATGACACGTTAGTGGGTGCAGCGCACCAGCATGGCACATGTATACATATGTAACTAACCTGCACAATGTGCATATGTACCCTAAAACTTAGAGTATAATAAAAAAAAAAAAAACATTAAAAATAAAAAATAAAAAAATAATAAAAAAAAAAAAGGAAAAAGTTACAGAACATACAAAGAGTCATTAAATATATTAGAAAATGCTGAACCACAAAATATTTTAATGTAGTAGTTTAAAAATAAAATGAAATATTATTTTGACCCAAGAAGGTGGCAAGGCCTGTACACAGTTAATACCAATGTAAATTGGTACATTATTTCTAGAGGGTGACCAACCTCACATTACATTTCAAAGAGAATGTATTCTCTTTGATCCAGCAAGTCCAGGAAATTATCCTGCAGATATAATAACACACTGTCCAAAGATGTTTATTGAATTATTTTTAAAATAACAAAAAATTGGGAGCTATCTTTATCAGGAGATAGGAGTTTAAAAAGGTAAAGGGGCTTCTTGATTAGATTAAGTGCTCAGCTCTGACATTGATTAACTCCTAATTCATTCCAAGACTATCTGTTTTTAACCTTATAGACATTCTAGAAGTTTCTGCTCCACTGTGGCACCCTTCCCTATTTTGTAATACTTCTGCAGACTTTCCCCCTCAGTTTTTATTTATTTATTTATGTATTTATTTATTTATTTATTTATTTTTGAAATGTAGTTTCTCTCTTGTCGCCCAGACTGGAGTGCAATGGCACCATCGTGGTTCACTGCAACCTCTGCTTCCTGGGTTCAAGCAATTCTTCTGCCTCAGCCTCCCAAGTAGCTAGGATTACAGCCATGTGTCACCACGCCCGGCTAATTTTTGTATTATTAGTAGAGACCGGGTTTCACCATGTCGGCCAGGCTGGTCTTGAACTCCTGATCTCAGGTGATCCACCCACCTCAGCCTCCCAAAGTTTTGGGATTACAGGCGTGAGCCACTGCGCCCAGCTTTCCCCTTCAGTTTTAATATTTCTTCAATCATTTCAACATTGAAATGTACAGAAAATGCATAGACTCATTTTAACATCTTTTTTTTTTTTTTGAGACGGAGTCTCGCTCTGTTGCCCAGGCTGGAGTGCAGTGGCTCGATCATGGCTCACTGCAAGTTCTGCCTCCTGGGTTCATGCCATTTTCCTTTCTCAGCCTCCCTAGTAGCTGGGACTACAGGCACCCGCCACCACGCCTGGCTAATTTTTTGTATTTTTGGTAGAGACGGGGTTTCACCATGTTAGCCAGGGTGGTCTCGATCTCCTGACCTCGTGATCTGCCCGCCTCGGCTTCCCAAAGTGCTGGGATTACAGGCGTGAGCCACCATGCCCAGCCCATTTTAACATCTTGAAACTGGAATACCACAATATTAAGTTTAAAAAATGGGACACAGAATATATATGAACCCATTTATGTAAATATACACACATATTGACCTGTGTATAATATGAGTATATATTTATTGATGTACTTTTAAGAGTCTTTAACCCTATCTTGGTGCCCCTTAGGGATCATACAATGAACTATATATACCCCTTTCAGCGTATACCAGAGAAATAGTTGTTGCAAAAGGGATTGTGAAAATAAACAGGAACATTCACTTTGAGTACGTGGTTTGAATATTTCATAAAATGTATATAATCAGAAAAAATCAATGAAGCCATTTTCATTTTGGTGGGAAATACTTAAAGGTGGAAATTTAGTAGGAGATTATGGCCCTCGTTTTTAAAATGTTAAACAACTGGATTTTTTTAATGATACAGGAAGCATTAGCCTCTGTGTTCTTTTACGATCAGAGCCATGCAAGTTGTACATTTATAGCAGTATAGGAACAATATCAAATTTAAGAATGTTGCTAAGTAGATCTGCAGAAGTTTTGCTCTCAAATCTCTCAGTAATCCAAAATCTAAGTTGACATCTTTGGTTAGCTTGTCTTCCTACAAGTTTTTGGATTAGGGTTCCCTAGCTTCTTTCTCTCTGGAAAGATCAAAAATTAACAGGACAATACTCAGGGGTGAGAAAGTGACATGGATTCTTACCTGACTCTAATTTACAAACTTGTGTCTTACAGGCTTATTTGCAGCTGGGTATCAATGAAAAGTTAGGACTCTCTGGAAGGCCAGACAGGCCCATTGGCTGCCTCGGGACATCAAAGGTACTCATGAAATGTCCTCAAAAAGTAGTTTTTGGATTCTAATACCGCATACTGAAATGGTGCTTGACCTGCTATGCATCCTTTTTCATTTTCATTATGTACTCAGACTACTTATCTGAAGTATTATTTTCTGCTAGTAAACATTACTTATTTAGCATCATATCATGGAAGTCTTATAAATATGAAGGAGCACCTCACTGCTAAATATATTTTTTCTAAGCTTTGTAAAATATCTAATTATAACAATATTTACTCACAGACTTTTCCATCATATTAGAGGTAGACTGCTTTAAGTTTATTGGTATACTGATTCCATCAAGAAACTTAAAAATTTTTAAATATTATCTGGATGTCGCAAGCTATTAATTTATGTGCTTATTCAGAATTAGACATCAGTTTTTATTTTTATTGAGACTTACAGCACTGCACCTTTGCCTTTGGTATGTTCTTTAGTTATTTGTTTTAAAACTTTTTCCCTTACAGATTTATCGCATTCTAGGAAAGACTGTGGTTTGTTACCCGATTATTTTCGACCTAAGTGATTTCTACATGTCTCAGGATGTTTTCCTGCTGATAGATGACATAAAGGTAGCTTCGGAACACCTTTCTTAAAAATGGAATGAGTTTGTTTCCACTGATTTTATCATATGTTACTATATTGAGTACTCCCAGGTATCTGTGACACTGGGTTAACACAGTGTAAAGCATGACAGTAAAACCACCTGCATAGCTTTGGAGAGTGTAAATTACTTGCAGCATTGGCATAATAGATGACCTCGTCTTATATACAGTTGTATGACTGCCCCTTGTGCCTTTATACAAATGAAAAGATACAATTCAGAAAAACAGGGGGACCTATTTTGAAAAATATGTTCATATGACAGTTTATGTCTTTTTGAACAAAAGGTAAATTAGCAAAATAATTTTATTTATGAAAAATATCCAGTAAAACCTCAACTAACTCATAACTCCATGAGTTAAAATCTTCACTCCCTTTTCTACTGACAGAGCAGAGAAGGTTAGAATCATGATTTAGAGCATGAAATCTGGAGCCAGACTGCATTCGTTAAAATCTTGGCTCTGCCACTTGCCAGCTGTGTGTTCTTGGGCAAGTTACTTAACTCCTCTGTGCCTTGTTTTCCCATCTGTAAAACTGAATAATAATTAAGGGGTGTTCTGAAGATTAAAAGAATTAATATATGTAAAGTACTAAGAATAGTGCCTGGCATATGGTGAAGTATTATGTAAGTTTTTGATGTGATGATGATGATTTTATGTAAGTCTTTCAGATGACTGATTGATTGACAGATAGATAGATAGATAGATAATTTAATCAAATAAAGAGCTCCCTCTACATTGCTAATGGTCTGTATAAATTCAGTCCAGTCTCCTCCACCTGCTGTAAAATAAATCCCTAGTAATATGAAGTGAGTTAATCTTCTGGACGGCTGGCATGATTGTTCCCCCTGAGGCCATTCTTGAACTGTATTTTGTAGGCTTTTTTAAAAAAGGAGGCCAAGTGCATTGGCTCATACCTGTAATCCCAGCACTTTGGGAGGCTGAGGCAGGTGGATCACTTGAGCCCAGGAGTTCTAGACCAGTCTTGGCAGTCTCTAAATAAATAAACAAATAAATAGATTAACATTTAAAAAAAAGAGGGGGAAAACACATTAAAACAAATGTAGCGTGATTACTTTTAAGAATAAAGTTTGAAATCGTTGAACTCAAAGTGGTGTTCAGCATAACTTGCGTGTACCCAGAGAACCTGCTAGAGTACTTCTACCCCTAAGTAGTCTAAGTTATTCAGGGTTGGATTGTGAACTGTCTTGCTACATAAGAATTTTGTTGGCTCTTTGGCACTCATGGTTGAGCATCCTGTTCATCTTAGATACTGTGCCATTACATCCTACCTCATTCTGTTTGACAGAATGCGCTGCAGTTCATTAAACAATATTGGAAAATGCATGGACGTCCACTTTTCCTTGTTCTCATCCGGGAAGACAATATAAGGTAGGTTGATAAAAGAAGTAAGGTACGTGTGTCTCACTGACATGAACACAGTGAGCCCTTGGGAAGAAAGGCCTCCTTGGATGTTTTTGTATCCTTCTTAGTATGTGGTGGAATACTTTGTATATATAAGGGGCACTTAGTATTAGATTATTAATTTACCATTCTGTTGTTAATCTGTACATTTTGTTTATTTATATTTTTTAGAGGTAGCCGGTTCAACCCCATATTAGATATGCTGGCAGCCCTTAAAAAAGGAATAATTGGAGGAGTCAAAGTTCATGTGGATCGTCTACAGGTAGCCTTCTGATTTTCAGTATGCATCTATTTTCAGGACAGTTAATCTACAATACAGCTATGTTTCTTAATGTATGGTCTATTTAAGGTTTTTGACTTAAGGTTTTATTCTCCACCTATCTTCCTATTCCTATTGTCACTTTTCCAGTTTATCTGATCCCACCAAGTCAGATGCTTGAACACTTGCAGCAATTTCCTGTGCAGAATTTTAGACTTCAGTAGCTCATCTCTAAAAGCTAGGTCCATAGTGGTGTAGTGACCTGCTTTATAACCTTGGGCTTTTAGGGGCAAGTTGGCTGACTGTTGGTCCAGTACTCTTTTCTGTGCTCTATACTAACATCCAACCTGGGAATAAACCTTTTTCCATTCAGAACTTCACAGCATTATCTTCACAGCTCCTAAATTACAGAAACATTCTTTGGTTCACTGTTGGTCATAACAGCCTCTCTGTCCACAGTTCTCTCCTACTAAACACTCTTTGTGCTTCAGCCAATACAATAATTACTGTGTCTTGAATTTTGTGGGGTTCTGTCCCTCTGCTCACACCATTTTCTCTGCCTGGACTATCCTTCCTTCTTTCAAGGTCACTGGGCTTTGAGGTCTTACCAGACTTTAAGGGCAGCTCTACAAAATCATGCAGACCACAAATATACTTCTATTCTTCACCATGCTTTCGTGACCTTTAACTTAAACTACTAAGACTGCGGTCTATTATATAGGCTTATATACTTTATTTCTGTAAAATAATAATGATTATTCCATGGGGTCTTTCACATAGTAGGTGCTCAGTATTAAATAAGAAAGAGGAAAGTTTATAAAGAAAGACCTACGTAGTAGTATAAATGGCATGTTTATATACTCATTCCCTGGTGATTGTATTTTGCATACTTGATTTTTACCTAAGCATTTATCTTTTTTCCTTTATTTTCTGTTGCTTTGTCTTTTTGTAATGCCTCCTGGGGCAATTTCTTTGATTTTTATCTTGCAGTTCTTCTATTGAGTTTTGCATGTTGGCTATCATGTTTTAAATTTTCATTTTTCATAGTATTCTGTCCTATGGATGTTTCATGGCTGTCATATTTTATCTTTTCTGAGGATATCAACTAGAGGTTTTCTTTTTTTTCTTCAATTTTCCTTTCCTCTGTATTATCTCTTTCGGGGTTTTTTCCCTCAGTCTTTCATGTTGGAGGCATTTGTCAGATGTCCGGTATTCTTTAGCTATTTATTCATTTTTAAAAGTAAAGGAGTAAAAAGTTCATAGGAAGCTGTGTGCTTGGGTACAAAGATTCTTTTTTTCTTTTCTTACTATTTCAGCTTTTATTTTTGATTCAGGGGGATACATATACCTGGGTATATGCATGATGCTGAGATTTGGGGTGTGAGCGGTCCCATCATCTAGGTTCTAAGCACAGTTCCCAATAGTTTTTCAATCCTTGCCCTCCTTCCTGCTCTAGTGGTCTTTTTTTTTTTTTTTTTTAATACATACACAGTAATAGGATTGCTGGGTTGAATGGTAGTTCTGTTTTAAGTTCTCTGAGAAATCTCCAAACTGTTTTCCACAGTGGCTAAACTAATTGACATTCCCACCAAACAGTGTATAACATTCCCTTTTCTCTACAGCTTCACCAGCATCTATTGTTTTTTGACTTTTAATACTAGCCATTCTGACTGGTGTGGGATGGTATCTCGTTGTGGGTTGTTTTTTTTGTTGTTGTTGTTGTTTATTTCTTTTGTTTGTTTGAGAGACAGGGTCTCGCTCTGTCCTCCAGGCTGGAGTGCAGTAGAGTACACAGCTCACTGCTCCCTCGACCACCTAAGCTCAAGGGATCCTCCCACCTCAGCCTCCCAAGTAGCTGGGACTACAGGTACATGCCGCCATGCCCAACTAATTTTTTAGTTTTTTGTAGAGACAGCATCTTGCTATGTTGCCCAGGCTGGTCTCAAACTCCTGGGCTCAAGTGATCCTCCTGTCTCGGCCTCCCGAAGTGCTAGGATTACAGGCATAAGCCACTGCAACCAACCTCATTGTGGCTTTGATTCGCATTTCTTTGATGCTTAGTGATATTGAGCTTTTTTTTTTTTTTAATGTTTCTTCCTGTGTGTAGGAGAAAGATTCTTGATGAATTCACTTATAAGGTGATCTGATGGCAAAAGCTCCTTTTTGTTGTAGAAAGCCTCAGATGCCAATATTTGGAATTCTTTTCTCTAAGGCTTTTCAGTCTGCCCAGAAAGTACATCTCTAACCTCATGACCAAAGGACATAAACTTTGTTTCCATGTCCTGAAAGCAGGGTGGAGGAAGGGAACCAGGGATCCCACTGTGAAGTATGCAGTCTCCAGCCAAATCCACTGTTTAATCCTTGTATCTCCTGCTCTCCACTGTGCCTTATACTCTTGAGTGCAGTGTCTTTAACCAGAGAAAAAGCCTTTTGTCTCTCAAAAATCAGGGAGCTGGAAGCAGATAGTAACTCCCTAAGTGTTTAGGGAATGGAAAGGAACTTTTGGACCCAGTCTTCCTATGTGGAGCGTCTGTGAATCCCAGCAGTGTCTGGATCTTAGGGTCCTGAGGCTCTTTCCTGTTCTCTTTGTCCTAATGGATTTATACCTTAGTGGGTTTATACCTTAAACATTTTTTTCCACTATCATTTTTGGGATTTTAGGAAAAACAGGAGTTAAAGATATGTCTTGGTCATATTAACCAGAAATCTACTTTTGATTTTATGCTTAAGTGTCCCTCCCATTCCAGGATGTACCTAGGCATTTTTCTATTCCTTTTAAGAAATATGTGGGCCTATATGGAAAAAAAAGACCTAGATAATTTTGAAGAGAAATATAAGATTTGAATAAATAATGGGCTATACCATATTCTTGGATGAAAAGACTATTACAAAAATGTGAGTACCTCCTAAATTAGTCTACTAGTTTATTATAATCATGGTAATTTCAGTGGAGTAGAGCTTTTGGCAATTTCATATGGTTAAGGACAAAAATCAGAGTTCAGGGCCCACCAGGGAAGAGGGATTTCAATAAATACTTCAGACTTCCAGATGACCCTCTTGAAAAGCTATACCTTTGACTAAAAGGGAATCAGAAATAGTTCACTCCTCACAAAGAGTAGTAGATAACATTATCCAGAACCTCAAAGTATTTCTACAAATATGTGCAGTGTCTGTCTTTCATTCAAAATTATCAGGCATGCCACGAGTGATCAAACAACAGAGAGCCACCTACATTGGTTCAGATATTAGAGTTATCAGACATAGACGTCAGAATAACTACGATCAATATGCTTAACTGGCCATCAGAGAAATGCACATCAAAACCACAAAGAGATACCATCTCACACCAGTTAAAATGGCGATCATTAAAAAGTCAGGAAACAACAGGTGCTGGAGAGGATGTGGAGAAATAGGAACACTTTTACACTGTTGGTGGGACTGTAAACTAGTTCAACCATTGTGGATGTCGGTGTGGCGATTCCTCAAGGATCTAGAACTGGAAATACCATTTGACCCAGCCATCCCATTACTGGGTATATACCCAAAGGATTATAAATCATGCTACTATAAAGACACATGCACACATATGTTTATTGCGACACTATTCACAATAGCAAAGACTTGGAACCAACCCAAATGTCCAACAATGATAGACTGGATTAAGAAAATGTGGCACATATACACCATGGAATACTATGCAGCCATAAAAAAGGATGAGTTCATGTCCTTTGTAGGGACATGGATGAAGCTGGAAACCATCATTCTCAGCAAACTATCGCAAGGACGGAAAACCGAACACCACATGTTCTCACTCATAGGTGCGAATTGAACAATGAGAACACTTGGACACAGGATGGGGAACATCACACACCAGGGCCTGTTGTGTGGTGGGGGGAGGGGGGAGGGATAGCATTAGGAGATATACCTAATGCTAAATGACGAGTTAATGGGTGCAGCACACCAACATGGCACATGTATACATATGTAACAAACCTGCATGTTGTGCACATGTACCCCAAAAACTTAAAATATAATAAAAAAATAAATAAAGAAAAGAAAAAAATTAGATAACAAGTTGGAGAATTTTATTAGAAACTTTGATAGTACATTTAAAAAGAATCAAATAGAAATTCTAAATGAAAAATTCAGTCACCAAAATTGAGAAGTCAGTGAAACAATGTAGTACTTATTCACTATAATTGATGGCAGAGGATAGGTAAACTCAGAAAAACACCCCAGTATACACACAGGAACTTAAAATAATATGTAATCAAGGAAACAATAAATTAATGGTGGATGTATAGATTATTTAATATATACTTTGGGAAAAATTAAGGCAGTTAGAGTATCACCTCACATCGTACACCAAAATACATTTCAGGTGGATTAAATGACTTAATTTTAAAAGATGTTTATTTTAAGAAGAAATCAAAATACTTTCAAGCTTTTACTTTGGGCATATCATAAGCTATCAGTTTTAGCCTCTGATGTTGACAAATTCTTAGTTTTGTGATGACTTTGAGTTGAAAATAATTTTACTTTAAAGTTTAATATTCTGCCATGTTGTGGAGAGTTTTCATTTCATTTGAAGAGTCATAGACAAATTACAAAGACAGTGCAAAGTGTGGTGATTTTCTCTCAAGTCAAATTGAAGGTTTCTCCTTTTCTTTTTGTTTTATTTTAATGTCAAGCACAGCATAGAGTTTTAAAGTCAGAATGATATCCTTTTTAATCCTGTGTCATCTGAAATTGGGAAACTTTTTGCTTATATATCCTTATACACAAAGCTCAAGTTGGTCAAGACCTTAAGATATTTCATCTAATCTTCTCATTTTACAAACAGAACTAGAGCTCTTTGTAGGACAGTAACTGTCTGTAGTCCTAAGACTAGTTACTGCAGAAGGGAATAGAATTCATGGTTTCCCATTCCTAGTTCACTACTTTTTATACTCAAGCACCTGAACTTTCATCACTTTCTTTTCAGCAGCAGAGTTTAATGTCTACTTCACTACCTATCTCATTTTCCCATTTTTAGTTGTGTTTCAGAAATTATAGGAGAAAGAGGTCAGTAGTTTTGTCATGATTCAAAGAGTTTTACTTTTTTTTTTTTTTAATTGAGACTGAGTCTCACTCTGTTGCCCAGGCTGGAGTGCAGTGGCGCGATCTTGGCTCACTGCAACCTCCACCTCCCAGGTTCAAGCGATTCTCCTGCCTCAGCCTACCGAGGCAGCTGGGACTACAGGCATGTGCCACCATGCCAGGGTAATTTTTTGTATTTTTAGTAGAGATGGGGTTTCACCGTGTTAGCCAGCATGGTCTCGATCTCCTGACCTCATGATCCACCCGCCTCAGCCTCCGCAAGTGCGGGGATTACAGGCGTGAGCCACCGCGCCTGGCCAAGTTTTACATTTTTTAAAAAATGTAAATGGAAGTTCACCATTTGTGTTTTTACTTTTTCCTTCTTTTATTTAAATTAAAAATATTTATCAAAAGCAAAATGTAAGTACATAACTGTTCTAGACTTACAGTCATCAGTAACCCAAAATGTCAACAATATTTTTGAAGATCTTCTGAATTTAAATATGTACTTTGCCATCTCTAAAAATTGTGGTAAAACATGCATAACATAAAATTTGCCATGTTAATCATTTTTAAGTGTCCAGTTTAATGGTGTTAACTACATTCACTTTGTTGTGCAAACAATCTCTAGAACTGTTTTCATCTTGCAAAACTCAAACTCTATGCTCATAAACAACAGTTCCTCATTCCCCCCACACTCCAGCCTCCATTTTTTTTTTACTAATATAATAAATGAAAATGGCATCTATATGCTCCTCTTGGGTTTTATTTCAGATCCTTTCAAATTTCCTTATCCCCTGATCCACAGTTTCATTCATTACTAGGATCCCAGCCTTCTCTCCCAGCCCCATTACCCAGGACATCTCTCCTTGCAGTTCGTTGCTAGCCATGCTTTCCATGCCCCAAATATACTTGGTTTCCAAATCTCTAAATGTAATTGGAGATTTTTCCCCTCATGCTATGATGGTATTTTAGAGTTGCCTTTTTCTTTTTTTGTTTCTATGTCATACTTTAATTTTACAGCTTAGGTGACTGTTTCCTCTTTAGTGAAGCCTCGGGGACTGGAATTAATTTCTCCTTTCATTGTCCTTCTATGACATTTTGCTTGAATGTTTGCTATGGCTCTTCTTTCATTTTATGTTTAGCTAGTTTCTTCTGCCTGCCTCGCTCTGTGGTTTGTAATCTTTTTCAGCTCAAGGTTCACTCATCTCTGCATCCCCAGAGTACTCTCCTCACTACTGTTATCTGTGGGAAATATTTAAATATTGGCTCATTGATTCAACAAATATTTATTGTGCTCCGACTGTAGGCACTAGGGATGTAGTGTTGAATATGATACACAAGGTTTTTGACCATATGGGACTTAAATTCTAAAGGGAGAGCCCAACAGAAAACAAAGGTAGGTTGGGAGAGTGATGGGAAGGAATGCAATCTTAGGTAGGATGGTCTGTTGGAAAGGACCCGGTGGGATATAATTGAGTGTTTTAAATATTATATTGCGTTTGACACATACAGTATTATTTAATTACCATCAGAAATAGAATACTAATGCCTAGCAAATTTGTTGTTAAGTATGCTTTTTCCAATACTAATATAGGAGCTTCTACAACCAACTGAATTTTTTTTTTAATCAAAAGCCCTATAGATTATTAATGGAATTTAGCATTTGTCTATTAACTCAGAATAAACATTTATTTTATGGGCTGAATTAGAATATAAGGGTGAGTAGGCTAATAAAATGGAAATTATTAAATAGAATTTTTTTCTGTTTCAGCATTAGCTATCAGCTTTAAGAATTAAGTAATTCTTGACTCTCTCTTTCTCTCATACCCTGTGTTACAATTTATTATTAAATCCTATTGTCTCTATCCTCAGATTGTATCCAGAATCTAACCACTTCCCATCACCTTCAGTGCTATTATCATGGTCCAAGCTACCATTGTCCCTCACCTAGGTTTCCAGTCATCTCCTAAATTCCAACTAATAAAACAGTCTGTTCATGCTCTACCTGGTCATAAGCAGATTAGGTCATATATCATAAGCCTCCAATGACTTCCTCTCTCACACAAAGTGGAAACCAGAGTTCTTCAAATGGTCTATGTGCTCTCCATGATCTGGACCTGCATCTCTGATTTCATCTCCTACCAGCTGCCCCATCTACTCTGTTTCAACCACACTTTCCTCCTCGCTGCTCTCAAAGACACTAAGCATGCTCCTGCCTCAGGACCTTTGCACTTGCCACTCCCAGCCCTGTACACTCTTCCTTCAGATCCATATCATTGACTATAGTCCTTTCTTCAGTTTCTGATTGCATGTTACTTTATTAGAGAAATCCTTTCTGATCAGCTATATGAAATGGCTAACAACCCTCATCCTACTCCCCTGCCCTGGTACTCCCCATCCCCTACCTTTCTTATTTCTACTTTGCACTTATCACCATCTGACATAATAAATACATATATGTAGTATTAATATATATTATAATAATTATTGTATACACAGAGAGGGTCATATGTGTTTTAGTCAATGATGGACCACGTATACAATGGAGGTCTCATAAGATTTTAATACTGTATTTTTACTGTACCTTTTCTATCTTTAGATACACAAATATCATCGTATTACAGTTGCCTACAGTATTCAGTACATGTTTGTAGCCTAAGAGCAATAGGCTGTGCCATATAGCTTAGTGCTTAGTAGGCTATGCCACCTACGTTTGTGTAAGTACACTCTATGGGTGTTCACACAACAACGAGATTGCCTAATGATGCATTTCTCAGAATGTATCTTGGTCATTAAGCAATGCATGACAGTGTGTGTGTGTGTGTGTGTGTGTGTGTGTGTGTGTGTGTGTAGCTTTTTTATTGTCTATCCCCTACACATACCTATAAGAACAGTTTCAAGAAGGCAAGAATGTTATGTATTTTGTTCATGCTGTATCCTCAATACCTAACATAGTACCTAGTAGGCCTTCAATAAATATTTGTCTAACAAATCATTTAACTAAAGAGCAAGATGTATACATGCTAGCCTACATATTAGGAAATATCATTCAATGAACCTGCCTAGGCACAGACCCTGCTCTTAGGGAACTTACTGTTCAAGAGTGACCTGACTATAGCCAGGCTAGTAAAAATGTGTAGATCAACTGCATATTCGGCCTTTCTCACTCAAACTCAAGGAAGCTTTATTATGATTGCTATTAATACGTCCATCCTACCATCTGTAAATGGGCATTTGTTGATCTACTTTGTTTATGAGTTTCCGCTAGAGGAGAAGGCACTACTATTCTGGGTAGTTAGCCAACAAAAGCAACATTCCCTGTGTCCTGTTTCTTCACATTTGAGATGAACAGTGAGAAAATAGAGAAAATAATATATGTTATAAATATTTTATAAATATGTAATAAATATTGCCTTATTTTTAATTAATAATTTATGGCCTGCTTTTTATGAGTACATTTCTCAATTTTCTCTGACAATTCATCAGATAATTAGAAGTGACACATAATGCTAAAAACCATTGTAGGTTTATCATTCATTTATACTGTTCATACTGTTCACCATGAACCACTGACAAACACAAACAGTGTTTAAGGTCATTTAGTTTGTTCAACCTATAATCAGAAACTTATGGAAAATAAAATGGCCAAATATGGGTAGCCATATGCCAGAATGCAGAGAAGCATTAGCCTGGATAACCAATACCTTCATGTTCCTGAAAAAAATGGAGACTTGTCGGTATCCTATCATTGGATGGCCCAGAAATACATTACAGTAGCAGAATCCACAGTGCAATTTCACATCTTTTCCCAAAGCAATTTTAGTATTTTATGTTTTTCCTAATTTGGATATTTTATTTTATTTATTTATTTATTTATTTTTTGAGACGGAGTCTCACTCTATTGCCAGGCCAGAGTACAGTGGTGCAATCTTGGCTCACTGCAGCCTCCACCTTCTAGGTTCAAGTGATTCTTCTGCCTCAGCCTCCCGAGTAGCTGGGACTACAGGCACATGCCACCACGCCCAGCTAATTTTTGTATTTTTAGTAGAGATGGGGTTTCACCAGGACAGCCAAGATAGTCTTGATCTCTTGACCTCATGATCCACCCGCCTTGACACCCCAAAGTGCTGGGATTACGGGCATGAGCCACTGCACCCTGTCAGAAATGTTATTTTTTTTAACATTTTAATGGTTACTGAATTATTTTAATTCCAGATTAAAAGTAAATGCCTGCAATTCTAAGAACAGAGAGTCCATCTCATGTTGACCTATTTATAATGACTCATAAACTTGTAACGATGTGTATATTCTATTTTAGGGTTTTTTTTGTGTGTGTAGAAACCTGTGTGATTTTAGAATGTTCATTTAAGAATTGCTTCAGAATTGTATATATTTTTAAGCAATTTTTTGAAGTATTACTTAATTACAGAAAGGTATGCACACAGGCCATTAGAGTATGGCTTGATGTATCTAAGAGTTTCTAATCTTTTTCGATCACGTTTCAGACACTAATATCTGGAGCTGTGGTAGAACAACTTGATTTCCTACGAATCAGTGACACAGAAGAGTAAGTCCCTTTGGGTTATTTCATTTTTGGGTTTTTTGAAATTACATTAGAAAAGCAGAAAATATGAAACCTTTTCTTTTAATTTTTAGGCTTCCAGAATTTAAGAGTTTTGAGGAACTAGAACCTCCCAAACATTCAAAAGTCAAACGGCAAAGCAGCACCCCTAGTGCTCCTGAACTGGGACAGCAGCCGGATGTCAACATTAGTGAATGGAAGGACAAACCCACCCACGAAATTCTTCAAAAACTGAATGTGAGACAGATGCACTTCCCACATGGCCCTAAGTGAGGTTGCTGGAGCAGAAGCTCCCAGAATCAGACCATATGTCTTTTTGTCCTGTCAGTGAAGGTAGCAATTAATCTGGAGGTGGATGACTTGTCTACTCCCAGGGCAATCATGAGAAGTTGTTCTCTTGGTCTAACATCTGCATGGATATCTTTAAAAATGCTTAAGAAGTGCAGGTGAATATGTTTGTCTTGGATATACAAGTATGGTATGAGCCATTAAAGAAGTCAATGATAGTTGCCTTTGGGTTCTCCAGATTTCCCTTTCAGTGCCCTCTTTCTCCCTTTCTGCCCCCATCTTGTCCCCTGCCCCAGTGTTTAGGTCTAATGCTTGCTTTAGGTCAGTCCTGTCACTGAGTAAAGCAATCCTTTCACTGTGCTTATAGCACAGTGCCCTAATATGTAATAAACACTCTAAACAAGTCCCCTCCTATCATCCATCTCTTCACAACAGTTTGCTAGCAACATGGTCTCCCATTTACCAATAAGAAGAATCAAGAAGGGAGTGGTTAAATGACCTGGCCAAGTCTCTCAGAGAGTGGCAAAATCAATGTTAATGCTTGTAGATAAAATATTTTCTGTTCATTACTTATCTTGTTTTCTGGCAAATTTAATTATTAAATTCTACCACCCCAGGAAGCCAGCTTGTCACTTGTCTACCCTCTATCTCTAAGATATCTAAGATAAATATGAATCGTTGTATAATGTCATCTTATGCTTGATATTATATCAATGACATTTTATCTTCCCTCAGTTACATAGTAAAGTGTTTCTTCTCTGCATCATGTGGTTTTGTGATTAGTTACCCTCTGTGGTAACTGCTGTACCCATTTCATTCCAGTTCCTCACCGTGATTTATATTTTCAGGATTGCAGTTGTCTGGCTAGCCAAGCCATCCTGCTGGGTATACTGCTCAAAAGAGAAGGCCCCAACTTCATCACAAAGGAAGGTAAGCATGCATGTCTAGGAGAACATTTTAAGAGGACCTCTCTAGCCTTGAACATATATCAAATATGCATAAGCTATCCACTAAAATGTTACAAGTTATTTCCCCTTTCATTAAACCTTCTTTTTCACTTTTGAATGGAAAATGTTCATTCATACCCCCTAGAGTGGAGGAGACTGATGTATGAACCCCTAACTGGCTTTCATGCAGTGATGCTTGATTGTTTCTCTGATTGTCTGAAAAGTATTGGAGCTTGGATTGTGCCTGTGACTGTTAACGTCTGATGAATTCCATAGTTGTTTATTGACAGTTTCTGTTTCCAGTTTTATCTTCTCTAATTTTTCAAGAATAACATTGAATTGTTATGTCTATAAAAATTAGCTCTCTCATGGTCTGCAGCAGCCATTTGAAATGGAACATGGCATTTAATAGAATTGTGCTCTGAAGATGGTTAATAAAAATAAATCATTTGTAATCATGTCTATGTCCACTCTGCATTAAGGATGAAAACCAGTTATCCCCCAGATTCACACTTGCATGTGGAGTCACCACTGTAAGGAATCTTTAAGTTCTCCACCATGGTCCGCTTCTGACATTTTATAATACAGAATAATACAGAATACAGTTCAAGTACTTAATGTCTAGCTATTCAAAAATGTTTGGCTTATTTGAAAATACTCTGTTAAGAGGTGTGTGTTGATATGGTTAGAACTGAAAAACAGCAGTGGAATTAATAATACGTATAGTTCTGGTAATTAACTGAGCATAGTTATTTATTCAAATGAGATCTACTTAGTTTTTGCCTTATTATAGCTAAGAGATAACCTTCTTCAGTATTATAGATGTGAATTGAATAGTTTTCAATTTCTTAGCTTGTTAAAGGCAGAGGAACTTTTAGCAAATTTCAAACAGAATCTTGCATGTTTCTAATTAGTCTTAAAACTATAAGTATAAGCAGAATCTCAGTTATATTTAGGACATTCATTGAAATTTGCACTTTATCTAAAACAGTAGGATTTTTAAAAATCAAACATTTCATTAGAAACCTAGAATTCAGAATGGCTGTTTTTTTAATTTAAAAGTTTTAGTGCTTTTAAATAAAAGAAAATTTATATAAAATAGTTTATAATGAAAATGCTAAGGGAATGATGTTGTAAACCATTTTTATAAATTTGAGAATAATATTCATTAAATGTTTTAAATCTATAAAACCTTATGTGAAACTTTGAAAATCATATGCATCTACAGAATCTGAATATAATTTTATCCAATTTGTTAAAAGGCTGTAAAAAGTTTAGAGTAAAATGTTAAAGATCTTGTTTTTTATCATTGTTTTCTTTTTGGCGCTCTTTCCTGTCACATTGTGATTTTACGGGCAAAATCAGTGGCCAAATAATGAAACCCACTGGTGTCTTTTGAGCAGTAGCATATGTTGGAATGATCATAGCCCCATGTACATAACAAGGCCTCAGTAAAGTTTTATTGAACAAATAAATGAAAACTCATATATATTAGAGTCTACAGTATTTGTTCAATTGCTAATTATTTTACTATATTCTCTTTTCTTCTTTTCTGCAGTAAATTAGAATAGCATTTGTATTTGTTAAAAGTTTAGATTGCATATTAATTAGGAAAACAGTTGAATTTCGAGAAATAAAATACCTATATTACATACTCAGACTAAATAGTATCAAGTGCTGGGGATAGTCACACTCTATATATTTGAGTTACATATTTAAATATGTTAGTTCAGAACATTAATGGATCGATGTATCAACTCTAGTGAAGCACAGTGAAAATGAGTACTTTTAAGAGGAATAAATGTTGTGCATTTAATTAAAAGCTTTGTTCAACAAAGACTCTATTATCCAATGTCTAGGTACCGTTTCTGATCACATTGAGAGAGTCTATAGAAGAGCTGGCAGCCAAAAACTTTGGTTTGTATTAGTGTCCTTGTTGTTATGTTTTATTTTTGTGTTGTTATATTCGATAGCCTAAAGAAAATGGACCAATATTAAAGATAGTTATTCATCCTAATTTTTACTTTTAACCTCCAAGGTTACAGCACTTTCTAAGAATGTGCCTATGTAGCATGTCTGTCCCCCCACTGCCTCCACCAAAATTCTGAGAACAAAGACACTGTAGGGATTGAACCTGAAGAGTATTCGCTGGAATGGTATGCTAAGGTTTCTTTCCTGCTGTACACCTCCTCTGCCCCAACAAGGTGCTTTAAGTTCTGTTTTTTAATTTAGGAAACCTGTTCTGCTATTATAGAAGGCCATGAAAAGAGACCAGTGATTTATCTAATCATAAGCAAAAATAGTAGAAGGCTATTGTCTTGTCACTTAAGTTGAATGAATCCCAGTGATTGTAGTTGCTTCACGAAAAATAACCAATTTGTTCTACAGAGGTAGTCTGTTCCCAGAGATTGAAAAAAAAAAAGATGTAGGAAAGTTTAAATAAATAAAATTGTTTAAATTCACAATGGAGGGCCAATTCACATGGCCCTCTGCATTTTGATGTAATTCTAACAGTTTTACTAGCAGAATCTAACAAATTTTGAAAGTCAGAGCGTATGTATAGATATATATACACATGCACACATTTTTTTAATGATACGTTATCCACTTAAAAAAAAAAGTCTCAAGAATGTCATAAGAAACTCCCTTAACCTCAATGAGCCTCAGGTTTCTAATCCCTAAAATAAGGGGATTAAACAAAACAATCCCTTAGAATATTTCAATTCTATTTTTATAATAAATATGCCGTTCCTCCTCAGAAGAAATAATGTAATAATCCTATAGTTAAATCTTTCAAATTTTCACTGTAAATTTTCAGTACAGTAAGACATCAAGCCAATAAGTGATAGTTCTGGTAAACTTTCTTAGCCAGTAAGTTTCAAGTGTGGTCTGTAGTCTTATTTTTGATTAAGCACATCTGTTCTTGCTTTATGTATTACACTTTATGCATTTCAGATAAATCATTAACTAGCAAACATTTAGAATGCTGACTGTTATGTTTGGAAGAACTCCTGGAAGTTTTATTTACTCTATTTTCCCTTTTATGGCTTTCCACTGACACACCCAGGTTGGCGGTGCGCTACGGGGCTGCATTTACCCAGAAATTTTCTTCCTCTATAGCCCCACACATTACTACTTTTCTGGTACATGGGAAACAGGTAACATGCACAGAATTTGAAAACCCAAGCTGCTTGAAATGTGTGGGCTTATTTGCACTCTGAAGGTTAAATATGTCTTTTGGTCTTATAGTGTGTGGGTGAAAGCTTCTCTAGAAGTAGGAAGTGTTTGTTTCACTAACTTTATTAGTTATTGACTTAATTTTCTTTTAGTCATCTATGTTGAAATTAAGGAATATAAATGCTTTTTATAAGTCAGCTTCTGTGGATATCCTGAAATACATGAAGATTGCAGCCAGTTTCAAACCTACATTTTTATTTCTCTATCTAAAAGTTCCACGAGAATTTTTACTTTTGAGGGAAAAAAATTGTCTTATGTATTGCATGTGCTGTACTTTAAAAAAAAAAAATCTGTTCTCCCTAGGTTCTAAGACTTTTTCAGTAATATAAAAATAGCAGTGTGAATTCCTTCCCCCAACATTATGGCTTTATCAGTAAAAAGAAATACTGGTATTTCATTGTAGCACTTTCTAAAATTCAGTACTAAGTGAATCCTCTAATCCAGAGATTTGGTTATCTAGGCACCAAAAGAAACATGATTTAAAGTGGTTATAGAAATAGGTCACATGTACTAGTGACAGATTTAGTAATGAACTTGTTAATGCAAAATCAGAATACCCTCTTAATCCCTCCTATACACCCTCCCTCCCTAATCAAAATAATAATTAGGTTTTCTTTTTTTGCTTTTTATATCAATAGTGTCATCAATAATATTTTTGTCACAGCTTGGTGGCAGGGATGAGGTGGAGGGATCCCTCCCTAATTCTGAATGGTCCTGCAGTCTGGGAAATTTCAGCTGTTAGGTTCAATGTCCTGGGCAGTGTTTCCTCCAAATGATGATGTGAGGATTCCACTGTGTATATTTTAAAGACTACCCAATCAGGGCCCCATGCATTCCTCATCTTTTAGATTTGTGAACATCTGGCCTGCTCTCTTCTTTGCCCCCAGGTCGGTTGTACGCCGTGCAGCAAGTCTTTTAAGTAAAGTAGTGGACAGCCTGGCCCCATCCATTACTAATGTTTTAGTGCAGGGCAAACAGGTAAGTATTTGCTTTTCAGACACTTATTTGGTCCCGGTTGCAAAGATTTCTGGCTAGGACCCTTAATTTTAAGTCTGGCAAACCTCAATGTCATAGGCCTCTTACAATCAGATTTATAAGGGCTCAGGCACTTTCTATCAAAGTCTCCTTCCCCAAGCAAAATCTAGTCAGAAAGTTATTAAATGGGCCTTCCCCTTTCCTGCTGCACCTTAAAGCTATAATCTTCAACTCCTGTGTTGAGATCAATGCAGATGCTAATGTAGAAAATGGACCAATAACTACTGAAGTACTCCAGACAGGTTTCGGATAGGCAGAACAGAGGTAGGTGAACAGCAAAGGGCGCATCTTCCCTTCTGCTCCACATGAGATCTCCCCACTTAGAAAGCATGGTGTTCATGCCCAGCCAGGGTCTTTGCGTGCCAGTGCTGCTCCCCAGATCCCCTGCCCCAGGCCATCTCTAACCCCAGCTCCTCCCCATTCACCAGGGCCAACTCTGTCACCTCCTCCTCACGGAGCCATCTCCAGTTAGCAGTGGTCTCTCTCTCTGGATTCTCACAATAGGTCTGTGACAATTCCCACAATCTGTCCTGGGTCCCAGTTCATTTGAATGTGTGTCTCTCACCTCATGGTAGGCTGTGAACCCCCAGGGGTCAGAGTCTGGGTCTTGTCCAGTACACGTCCCAATGTGCCCAGCATGGGGCCTTGTTTGGAAAAAGCACTTGGTGAATGTTGGTTGAATTGAGCCTTGCATGTGGGGTGTGGCTACTCATTTTCTGTTTTGTTTTCTATAAGCTCTAATTTACCTGGCTGAATCATCCTTTGATTAGAATGAAAACCTGTCCACTTACTCTCTGTCTCTTCTCTGGGAATATATGTGCTTTATTGTGTTTTCCTGAGAGTTAATCTGGGGATATAATAATCTTTAGTAATATGAAGTATTTTAACTCTCTTCAATGGAATCAACCCATTGGTCATATTTCAGGGCTCTTAATTCATTAAGATTAAAATTATTCATCCTTACATTTAGCTTTTGAAATGTTAGAATAATAAGCTATTTATTGTTTCCTGTAATATTTAATAATTAAAAATAATTGTACTAATAAAAGATAAAAGATTCCTGCTGGGCATGGTGGCTCACACCTGTAATCCAAACACTTTGGGGGCCAAGGCGGGAGGATCACTTGAGGCCAGGAATTCGAGACCAGCCTGAGCACATAGCAAGACCCTATCTCTGCAAAAAAAAGAAAAAAAAAATAGTTGGGCCTGGTGGCACATGCCTTTGGTTTCAGTGCCTTGGGAAGCTGAGGTAGGAGGATTGCTTGAGCCCAAGAGTTTGAGGCTGTAGTGAGCTGTGATCATACACTCCAGCCTGGGCAACACAGCAATACCCTGTCGTTTAAAGAAATTAAAAAGAAAAAATACAAAAACTCCTAAGAAAAAGTTAAATCACTTCATATATGTTATTTTCTCCAAATTATTGAGAGGTAGAATTTTTATCCCTGTTTGTTGGCTAAAACAGACCAAAATACAGGAAGTAACTTATCTAGTGCCTTTTCTCACCAGAATTCTCACCTCCAGCCAGAGTCTTGTGTTTTTACCCTGAACCAAGCCACCTCTGAAAGAAAGTTAAACAGGCTTTGAGAAGATATTTTTCCTTGGATTTTAGATCCTTGTAGCATTTCTGAAAAGAGAGTTAACTCTGCATATGAACATTCAGAAGCTTTTGGAGACCTTCAAGGTCATCAGCACCTGACACTGGGAGAAAGGGTGGGTTAGGGTTGGTTCTGTCCAATCTACACAATATCTAAAGGGGGCTTGCAGCCTGTGGTCCTGAGATCCTGCTCCTACATCCTGGAAGCCTCAGAGCCTGCCCTAAGGTTGTGCCTGGACCATTGCTCATCACACTAGCGTGTCTCCCAGGGTAACAGTCACTTACAGAGCTGGGCAAGACTCGGAGGCCAGTAGCTCAGCTTCATTACCAGAGGCATGGAGTCCATTCTCTGACCGCATCTTACCTCTTTACAAAAAAGAAATGAGAATGGAGCATTCAGAATTTTTACTCGTGCGTTATTCAAATGCCACCCTAAGCACTGAAGTAATATTGTTTCTACCAAGCACATTCGGATCACCTCAAGCTCTGTGGAATGAAATCATGGCTTAGTCATCATTGCTTCTAGAGGCAATGATGTGCCTTCTGTTTGTTTTCTTCTTTACACACTGACATTTTAATAAAAGTATTCACACGCAGACTAACTGGTTCATGCCACTTGTGATATAATAAACCAGCAGTTCACAGTTTTCACTCCATTACAAAATTGAGGCAATAGACTCCATGTTCTGCTCTCTCCCCTCATCTCTGTGGCCTTTGATATGCTATTCTTTTTTCCTGCCTTTTATAATTGTACACTGTACATGAAAAAGAGATGGAAAGGGGTATTCAGGGAGAAGGGCGGCCTGCAGAGTCCCCTGGGAGAAGAATGCCAAGTATAGAGGAGAGAGAGAGACCAGCTTATTCCCCTTGCCAGCTTCAGCAGCATTCTGCCCAGAGTTTTTTTGGCCATTTCACTCTATGCTGTCTCCTGTCCCAGGCTGTGGGCAGCCTGTTCCTTCCCCTCCACAGGTGAGAGATCTGTCACCACATATTTTAACCCTCACCAGGCACCTTGCATTATGCCCAGAAAAATGAGGGCTACACAGGAACTGGGTGGCCTCACACCTGCCTTTGAAAGGTTATAGTGTTGCTGAGGCAAAAGGATCTGCCTGAGAAACTATAAAAGAATCAAAAAGTTTATCTCTCAAATACCAAATTGTGTAGACTGCAGTAAAGTGAAACTCTTCAACCTATTCTGGTTTCTCTGGGGAGTTTCTAGTACTAAAGTCATTCAGAATAATTTTAACTTAATTTATATTCCTTCCCTGCTTTTATCCACTCACCTCCACTCCCCTAACTGGAACCCTCACCTGCCCTTATATTTTAGACTAGACTGTGAACCATCATGAATTCCAGTGGGAGTCATGCTTTGAAAGCCATTTTAATAAATACCAGGAACAGTTATTCTACCTAATTCCCTAGCTTATATAGAGTAATTTCAGCCTGCCAGTCATTCTGAGCCTTGATTTTTTTTTAATTTTTATCTTTTAGTAGCTAGGAGAATTTTACAATAAAATTCTGCCACTTGTAGGTAACTCTGGGTGCCTTTGGGCATGAAGAAGAAGTTATCTCTAATCCTTTGTCTCCAAGAGTGATTCAAAACATCATCTATTATAAGTGTAACACCCATGATGAGAGGGAAGCGGTCATTCAGCAAGAACTGGTCATCCATATTGGCTGGATCATCTCCAATAACCCTGAGTTATTCAGTGGCATGCTGAAAATACGAATCGGGTGAGTGAAGTCCTTTGCATTTGCATAAAGAGAATTGTTCAAGTTGTCCTCTAACAGACCCGGCCTCTCCAAGTGAAGCAATGTTCCTGGTGTCTGGTGAGTATTCAGCAAAGAGCACCTGTCCTCTAAGCCATGCAGGCAATATCTGGGGGTATGAAAAATAAATGCCACTAGCCTGAAAGAATCCTTAACGTTTATTTCACACCCGAGTTAGACATAGTGAAGTAACTCCTTTGTCTGGTAAAATCAAACCCCAGAAATTTCAACAGCTGTGTCGTGTAAAACGCTAAGCACAGTACTTGCAAAAATTCCTAGAAATAAAATGGATAGGCCTTAAGAGAAGAATGATTTTCAGTAAAACTGTCAGGAGGACACATCCAGATAAAAATTTGGTCCTTTTAAGAATATTCTATACCCATTTTCTACTGAAATCTATTAATTGATTTTTAATATTGTTGTTCTTGGAGAAGAAATCAAAATAAGGCTCTGATGATCTTGAATATTTGTAATCAAGGATTTTATGAGGCAGCATGGTGTAGGAAAAATTAACCAGGCTCTGGAATTCAGCAGAACTGAGTTCAAGTTCCAACTGCCATTGTTGTCTCAGTAACCTTGGGTAAATGACTGAACCTCTCTAGCCTCACTTTAATACCAGTTTGTTTGTTTTATATGAAAATGAAATGAGATATGTTTTAAAAGTCTATGACAAGCTAAGGAAGTATAAATGTTTCTTTTTTAAATACATTTTTTATTGTACAAGTATCGTGAGTATGTCCTATTGTAAAAGAGCCCAATGATATCTGAGCTTATAGTGTAATCTAACAAGTGGCCAACTTTGAGGGTGTTTCTCAAGTGTTTGAAAAGAATATACATTCTCTGTTGGGTGCAAACATACATGTATGTGTATGAGTGTGAAATAAGTATATGTAGCTTGCTAACTGTAAAACTGGAATTTTAACATCTTTACTATCTCTATTTGGTCATTGCTGATAAAACTCTTAATTTCTCATTATAATTGTGGTTGTATCAATTTCTCCTTGCATTTTTATTTGTATCAGTTTTGCTTTATGTAGTTGTTTTTTGTTTTTTGAGATGGAGTCTCATTCCTATCACACAGGCTAGAGTGCAGTGGTGCGATCTCAGCTCACTGCAACTGCCGCCTCCCAGGTTCAAGCAATCTTTCCACCTCAGACTCCCAAGTGGCTGGGATTACAAGCGTGCGCCACCACACCCAGCTAATTTTTGTATTTTTAGTAGAGACACGGTTTCACCATGTTGGCCAAGCTGGTCTTGAACTCTTTACCTTTAGTGATCTGCCTGCCTCAGCCTCCCAAAGTACTGGGATTACAGGTGTGAGCCACCTCACCTGGCTGCTTTATGTAGTTTAAAACTTTGATTTTGTCCATGTCTCTTCATAACTTTTACCAATATATCTTCATGTCATTGATTACTTTTCAACTTTTTTTTTAAACTTCAAACATTTACAAAAATACGGAGACTAGTATAATACAGACTTATGTGCCCATACTATCAGCCAGCCTCAACAATATTATCATCTGGTCCGTCTTACTTCACCCATACCCCCATCTACTACCCACCTGCTCCCACAGTACCCTGTCAGTTTTGAAAGGCAAATCCATATCTTCTAATCTGTAAATACTTAAATTTGTATCTCAAAAACATAAGAACTTTTTCAAAGCATAAACACAGTACTGTTACCATGCATAAAAAACAATTGAATTATGTTTGTCAAATATTATTGCCATACCTTTCTCCATCTGTCATTATTAGCTTGCTATATTGTCTTCCATCCTTTTTGCATTCAATGTTCTTTTATAATTTTGTATGTATTATGTATGTTTTTATATTCAGCACTATGCTGTATTTATTAATATACTCTGAGAGCATCTTATAAGAAGCATGTAACATAAAATTTACCATCTTAACCATTTTTAAATATACAGTACAGTAGTATTAACTATATACATAATGTTGTCTTTTAATAGAAATATATATTTCATAATTGTTTTCTTTCTTTTACATTTTGACCTATTTCTATATTTTATACTTTATATTTACCATGCTTTCTTATAACTTTTTTCCTTTTCTGTTTATTGTTGGGTTGAGCTCCTTTTCATTCCACTAGTTTTACACATAAATGTGATGTACTTTTTTAAACATTATTACCCATTTTTTCCTTCAAAATCACATGTGAAAAATGCATTGCCTATTTGGCAATATCTGCATACATCGTAATTCATCAGTTCTCATCCAAGGAGTTCACAGTATTCACACAAGTACCATAAAGATATATTTTGCAGCAGTCTTCCTTTCAGCATTATCCGAAATAGTGAAACATTGCGAACAACCTAGATGTTCATTAGTAGGAAATAGTTTGAATAAATTGGTTTTTAGCCATATAAAAAATGCTGTGCTACCTACAGTGAACAAGATAAAGTCCTATATACCGACATTTATGAATGTCCTAGATAAATGTAAAAAAAGATGCAGTGTATTGTTCCACTTTTTATAAAAGAACAATAATAATACCATACATATATCTGTGTAATGTATGTGTGCAAAAGTATCTGAAAAATATATATCAAATTGGTGTCAGTTACTTTCTCTAGGAGATTTCTACTTTCTAAGTTACATTTTTCAGTATTATTTTAAAAATTACTTTAGCTTATTATTTTTAAGTGATTTGCCTGATTTCAACTACAGTATATTTCAGTCAAATTTCCTTATCTTTGTCTCTTCTTTCTTTTGATTGAAAGTAAATTACCTGCATAGAATTTGACCTTCACTCTTATCCCTTAAAATAGTTTCTTTCAAAGATTCAGAGCTATTTTGAATCAGTTATAAGAACTTTGAGTTATATCCTGATTTGTTCAGTCTGTTTGCCCTGATATTTTCAACTCCAACCTCTTGACTCCACATGAGGATAGAGAAATGGTTCTTTCATGTGAGCTAACTCCAAATGAAAAGAAATGTGATTCTCCATCTCTGTACATGGTATAAAAGTACTCTATTGTCACAGACTCAGGCATTGATCTGAGACAGACTGAGAAGTATAGGTTATAAGTCTTCCAAAGCACATTCTTTGAAATAAGTGTAATAAGTGTTCAGGGAGCCTTTTCAAGTGACAGCCATCCTTGCAGAGGTTTCAACAAAGCCTTAGAGTGAAGGTAAACAGTTTCCCAAGATTTTACACTGCTGTGTTTTTCAGTCTATAGTAGTTTTTCCTTTACTGCTTATTCAGCATTTTAAGCTAATTTAGGTCCTCTACAAATCTCATGTAATTCCCTTTCTTGAATTCAACTCTAACCTGATGCTTCTTTCTATTCATGGGAATGGATATTTATTCTAAAAATAGCATTCTTTCTGTTTTTATATCTGTTACTCTGTATGTTTGGTGCTTTCCATGAGAAATGACATACCATTTTTCCTTATACTGTGTTACCCAAAGTAAAAATGTCAGGTGGCAACATGTGACTTAGTATTTAACAGTCAACTGACTCATAAAGAAATTTGCTATGAAACCTTAATTATTCACCGTCCTGAAACTCATTCTGGAATTGTGGCATTATATTCTCATTGCGAGTATTAATAGTGTCCCTGCCTGACTTATGATGTACATTTCACTCTTATGTGGGTCTCACGAGATCAGTTCTAACCACTGGGACTATTTCAGTTGGGGAGCAATCTGGTATTTTTTTTTTTTTTATTAAGGAGTTATTTATTTAAGAAATTTCCTTCTGCTAAGGATAGGAACTAAATCTTGTATTACTTCCCATCTGTCTTACAGTCTCTTTCATCAGAGATACTCAATAAATATTGGATTGTTTAACATACGGTATATAAGCAGAGTCAGGTGGTTTGCTTTGAGCTAGTAATGTGGAATTTAGGAAAAGCAAAAAGAGAGCATGTCTCTGTACTCTTAGAGAAGTAAATGGCTCTTAATTTTGATAAACATACTTGGTTTTGTGCCACATGATATTGGAATTAAGTATAAAAGAAGATTTAATTAAATCATGTCCTTCAGGAAATGACCAAGTTAAACAGGGCCTTGTTTTTATGAAAGTCCATTCATATATACAGAAGATATCAGGATGTAGCACTTTTCTCCACGGAGTTATTAATGGAATGGTGTAATTAATCATATCAGAGTACAGGACAGGTTGCCTTACAATCGTACATCTCTTAGCAGTGTTTCCAGTAACGATCTAAGAGGAGACAAGTTTAAATAACGTGATCATTGCACTCAAAAGATCACTCTAGTAAACCATCCTTCTCTTCCTCCATCACTATAGCCACAAATATTATTCATTGAATATCTGTTATATGCTAAGCAATGAATAATAGAAGAAGAATAAAAATTCTTCACATATATTATCTGTTTTAATCCCTACAACAACTTTGAAGTAGGCACTAGAACCACCATTTTACAACAAAGAAATTGAGATTTGGAGAGTATACATGGGCTGTCTTTGTCAGTAAGTGGAAGAACTGGGATTTACACCCAGGTCTGCCTGACTCCAGTGTTCTTATTCTTCAGTCTTGAGTACTTTCTGCATGTTTTTGCTTCTGTATACTATTGCCATTATCTCACAGAAACAGGCTTTAGTGTTTATTTCTAAAACTTTATGGCCTTTATGATCTCTCATACATGATTTCAATTTATGATCCATATTGTATTCAAGTTCATGTAGTAACTATGATGTGCCAGATGCCAGATTTTTTTTTTTTTTCGTCTTTTGTCTGCCAGGCCTCCAATCTAGGATCAGTACTGTTGAGCATTTTACAGTGTAAGGAACTTGAGTAGGTACAAGTTAACAGACCGAATAAATGAGATTTTGCACCTTTATTCATCACAAGGCAGAGAAAATGGGATGATTCTAAGTTGGCCGCTTGTATACTACAGTAGATATATTGTGTTGGTGCAAAAGTAATCGTGGTTTTTGCCATTGAAAGTAGTGGCTGAAACCACAATTGCTTTGCACTAACCTAATATTAAGACGCTATGAAAAGTTCAGAGAAGTCTAGAGCAGACTTTTCACTTCCTTGTAATATTCTAGGATACCTCTGGCAAATACAGAGCCTCATTATGTTAACCACACAAAAAAAGCTTTCTGAAATGTAAACCTGCCTGCCTGTTGCTGCATCAACATTGGTTTAGGAGGCAAAGCATAAGAATAATTTGAAATTATATTTTGTCATACTTTCAAGGTCAGTATTTGCAGAGGAAATAATATTTTCCTGAAGACTAACCCGTCTTTGTAGGTCCAGGGTAGATGTCATTGTTCGAAGTTAACAGCCAGTCCAAAATGTGTGAGCCAGTGAATATGCACTGAACCCTTGGTACTGTTTACTGGAACCAGCAAAGATAGAGACACTGGGATAAGGACAAATGGTAGACAGTTGCCGTGTAACTCCTCTACGGAAAATCTTCCACCTCCCCTAAGGCAAAACCAGCCCTGCCACTGAATTCAGCTCTCTGGATAACACCAATTTGAGAGTTACAAGTGGAAAGCCTTGAATTTTATTCCCATTTCTGCCAGTAACTTAAGTGACTATCTCAGGCAAATGAGTTCCCCTTTCTTATGTTCAGAGGAAGAGATCTAATGTTTGCTGAGGGCCCATTTTCTAGGTGCTTGCCCTTTGGGTTATCCCAGAAAATCCTCAACAAAAACTCTGTAAGTTTACACACAAGCTGCTTGAAATTCTGCAAAATTAGATAACTTTCCCAAGGTCACAGGCCAAGAACCAGGATTTGGAACTAGTGTGAGTGACGCAGAGTTCATGCTCCCCAACCCCTCTTCCACCCCTGTTACCCTGGTCAGTAACAGCGGGGCTATGCCTGCTTTGGTGTCCTCGTTGGATGTGGTGATTCTGGGTAAAAAATGTGAAGATGTTTTGCAAGGGCAGAGCTTCAACATTATCACTGTGGTATTTGATAATTTGAGGTCTTCTCCCCATGACATTTGGAGAACAGCTCCATCTGAGGAGTGCTTTTTACACACCACAAATCTCAAGGTGCCGTAGGAGGAACCTCCCTCTTCTCCCAACACACACACACACGTACACACACACACACACACACTCTCTCTCTCTCTCTCTCTCTCTCTCTCTGTCTCCATCTCACTCATTCTTGTCTTCTGGTCCTAGGTTTGCAAAGGCCGTGTGCTCTCACAAGAGAAGTTCACCTTGGAGGAGGGGGCCCTTTCAGCCATGGTTGAGTCCCCTGTAGGCCCAGTGGAATGATCCCAAAGCATCTCATATGGAAACTCCATCTCAGAATCCCATTGGGATGATCTCTTGCCATCTAACATGATGTCACCTCTCCGTCACCTGGTAGACACTCACGACACCTGTGGCAAACACCCTAAAATCCCTTCAGACCTACGCCCACAGCACTCTTCCACCACAGTAATAAAGGCTTGGGAATGCTGTTTCTGCCCTAGGGATATCAGACAACTTCAGATAACTGTCATCCTGTCTGTGGGGCTTGTGATAGTGCCCCTCTGAAGAGTAAAAAGATACTTTTGTGTCTTCTATGTTTTTATTAGACTTCATCCTCAATAAATTATACTAAGGCCTCAACCCCTTTAAGTGAATGGGCCCCTTGCATATTTGTTTATTAGCAGCAGCAAATACATACTCAGTATGTTTCTTTACAAATTTTACCTTGAATTAGTCCCTGGAAGGTTTTTAGTTTGCTTAAAATTGGTGAGCAAATTATTCATTTATAAAGTCTTTGAATGTCAAATTTCCTATAAATTGTTGAACATGTAACTGTTTCTGAGTTAGTCCTTTGTGTATTGTAGTGGTTGTAGCACAATTTTAAAAGAAAGGGAGGGGATTTATAGAATGTATTCTTTTTTTACTGCCTTATGGTACAATAAGCACATCAGACTCATTCTTACTTGGCTTTTTGCTATTGTTTCTCTCTTTTAAATGTTAATTATGATTAAAGAGATTGATTGATTGGTCATGTTTTGATACCATATTCTTCTTGGATGCCAGCATTCACTAGACTGAATGGCCATAAGAAATAAGAACATTTGCCTTAATCATGGTACATCTTAACCAGAATTCCCTTGCATTGAGTATACTTTTATCTCAGGTTTAACTACTCTCTCTTAGTGTTTTTTTAAATTTTATTTATTTGCATTACCCACTACTTCAATTGCTTTTAAGCCAATAGCACCATGTTTCTTTTCTCTTTTTTCCAAGGTTAATCTTGCCAATGCAATTTCTTCAACTTTACTGCTATCAGGCACTCCAGTGAACAAAATTAACCTGCTCACAGGAATGGTATTCTGGTCTGATAATGATTTGATTTGCTGTCTCATTATTGATTTGTGCTTCAGCTTTCCTGTTGAAATAGATCAAGTTCCTGACAGGCCCATTACTGTAAAGACCTCCAATCAACTACTTTCTGCTGCAGGTCTGTCAGTCAAGCTTTACTTACAGATAACCCCAGAGGATATGTGTTATCAAGTATTTTTCATCTCTGCTTTTCATACTGCCAGGGCATCCTCTGTAAGCAATTATGATCCAGACGTACCTTGTCCTCTGATGCCCAAAACCGTATCTGTGGATCACACATCCGAAGCTTAGAGAGAGCCATTGTTGTCATAGATAGCAGACTATAACATTGCTTATGCACTAAAGGAAAGAGAAAATAATTACAGCACCAAGTTCATTAGCACGGTTCTGATACTCATTCTGAGGTCTTTGCTTTTGACATCTGATATGAGGTAAGGAGGTGAGATGATGAAGCTCCCCAACCTCTATTCTATTGTGATTGGATCAGTGATAGAGGGAATCCACATCCTTCAGTCACCAAACAGATAGCTCAGTTTGCCTCATCAAATTGTATTCCTCTCCATATTAATATGAATCAAGCAAAAAAAGTCCCTTCTTGCAGCTTTCCATCGTCTGTCATTTGGTGTATCAGCTCTGGCTTCCATAACAAAACGCCATACATGGAATGGCTTAAACACAGAAATTTATTTTCTCACAATCTGCAGGCTGGAAAGGCCAAGGTCAGGGTCCCTGCCAATTTGGTTTCTGGTGAGGGCTCTCCTCCTGGCTTGCAGATGGCTGCCTTCTGTGTCCTGTGTCCTCTGATGGAGAGAGAGAGCTCTCTGGTATGTCTTCTTATAAGGTTACTAATCCCAGCATAAGGGCCCCAACCTCATGACCTCATCTAAACCTGATTACCTCCCAAAGACCCCATCTCCAGATACCATCACACTGGAGTTAGGGCTTCAACATTTGAATTTGGAGGGGGAGAAAGAATTCAGTCCATAGAATATGGCTTAGTTAAATGCACAAAATCATCTAATTTTTTTTTTTTTTATACTTTAAGTTTTAGGTTACATGTGCACAATGTGCAGGTTTGTTACATATGTATAGATCTGCCATGTTGGTGTGCTGCACCCATTAACTCGTCATTTAGCATTAGGTATATCTCCTAATGCTATCCCTCCCCCCTCCCCCGACCCCACAACAGTCCCCGGAGTGTGATATTCCCCTTCCTGTGTCCATGTGTTCTCATTGTTTAGTTCCCACCTATGAGTGAGAACATGCGGTGTTTCCTTTTTTGTCCTCGCAATAGTTTGCTGAGAATGATGGTTTCCAGTTTCATCCATGTCCCTACAAAGGACCTGAACTCATCATTTTTTATGGCTGCATAGTATTCCATGGTGTATATGTGCCACATTTTCTTAATCCAGTCTATCATTGTTGGACATTTGGGTTGGTTCCAAGTCTTTGCTATTGTGAATAGTGCCACAATAAACATATGTATGCATGTGTCTTTATAGCAGCATGATTTATAATCCTTTGGGTATATACCCAGTAATGGGACGGCTGGGTCAAATGGTATTTCTAGTTCTAGATCCCTGAGGAATCGCCACACTGACTTCCACAATGGTTGAACTAGTTCAGAGTCCCACCAACAGTGTAAAAGTGTTCCTCTTTCTCCACATCCTCTCCAGCACCTGTTGTTTCCTGACTTTTTAATGATCGCCATTCTAACTGGTGTGAGATGGTATCTCATTGTGGTTTTGATTTGCATTTCTCTGATGGCCAGTGATCATGAGCATTTTTTCATGTGTTTTTTGGCTGCATAAATGTCTTCTTTTGAGAAGTGTCTGTTCATGTCCTTCGCCCACTTTTTGATGGGGTTGTTTGTTTTTTTCTTGTAAATTTGTTTGAGTTCATTGTAGATTCTGGATATTAGCCCTTTGTCAGATGAGTAGGTTGCAAAAATTTTCTCCCATTCTGTAGGTTGCCTGTTCACTCTGATGGTGGTTTCTTTTGCTGTGCAGAAGCTCTTTAGTTTAATTAGATCCCATTTGTCAATTTTGGCTTTTGTTGCCATTGCTTTTGGTGTTTTAGACATGCAGTCCTTGCCCATGCCTGTGTCCTGAATGGTATTGCCTAGGTTTTCTTCTAGGGTTTTTATGGTTTTAGGTCTAACATGTAAGTCTTTAATCCATCTTGAATTGATTTTTGTATAAGGTGTAAGGAAGGCATCAAGTTTCAGCTTTCTACATATGGCTAGCCAGTTTTCCCAGCACCATTTATTAAATAGGGAATCCTTTCCCCATTGCTTGTTTTTGTCAGGTTTGTCAAAGATCAGATGGTTGTAGATATGTGGCATTATTTCTGAGGGCTCTGTTCTGTTCCATTGGTCTATATCTCTGTTTTGGTACCAGTACCATGCTGTTTTGGTTACTGTGGCCTTGTAGTATAGTTTGAAGCAGGTAGTGTGATGCCTCCAGCTTTGTTCTTTTGGCTTAGGATTGACTTGGCGATGCGGGCTCTTTTTTGGTTCTATATGTACTTTAAAGTAGTTTTTTCCAATTCTGTGAAAAAAGTGATTGGTAGCTTGATGGGGATGACATTGAATCTATAAATTACCTTGGGCACTATGGCCATTTTCACGATATTGATTCTTCCTACTCATGAGCATGGAATGTTCTTCCATTTGTTTGTGTCCTCTTTTATTTCATTGAGCAGTGGTTTGTAGTTCTCCTTGAAGAGGTCCTTCACATCCCTTGTAAGTTGAATTCCTAGGTATTTTATTCTCTTTGAAGCAATTGTGAATGGGAGTTCACTCATTATTTGGCTCTCTGTTTGTCTGTTATTGGTGTCTAAGAATGCTTGTGATTTTGCACATTGATTTTGTATCCTCAGACTTTGCTGAAGTTGCTTATCAGCTTAAGGAGATTTTGGGCTAAGACAATGGGGTTTTCTAGATATACAGTCATGTCATCTGCAAACAGGGACAATTTGACTTCCTCTTTTCCTAATTGAATACCCTTTATTTCCTTCTCCTGCCTAATTGCCCTGGCCAGAACTTCCAACACTATGTTGAATATTAGTGGTGAGAGAGGGGATCCCTGTCTTGTGCCCATTTTCAAAGGGAATGCTTCCAGTTTTTGCCCATTCAGTATGATATTGGCTGTGGGTTTGCATAGATAGCTCTTATTATTTTGAGATACGTCTCATCAATACCTAATTTATTGAGAGTTTTTAGCATGAAGTGTTGTTGAATTTTGTCAAAGGCGTTTTCTGCATCTATTCAGATAATCATGTGGTTTTTGTCTTTGGTTCTGTTTATATGCTGGATTACATTTATTGATTTTCATATGTTGAACCAGCCTTACATCTCAGGGATGAAGCCCACTTGATCATGGTTGATAGGCTTTTTGATGTGTTGCTGGATTCAGTTTGCCAGTATTTTATTGAGGGTTTGTGCATCAATGTTCATCAAGGATATTGGTCTAAAATTCTCTTTTTTGGTTGTGTCTCTGCCAGGCTTTGGTATCAGGATTATGCTGGCCTCATAAAATGAGTTAGGGAGGATTCCCTCTTTTTCTATTGATTGGAATAGTTTCAGAAGGAATGGTACCAGCTCCTCCTTGTACCTCTGGTAGAATTTGGCTGTGAATCCATCTGGTCCTGGACTATTTTTGGTTGGTAAGCTATTAATTATTGCCACAATTTCAGAGCCTGTTATTAGTCTATTCAGAGATTCAGGTTCTTCTGGTTTAGTCTTGGGAGGGTGTATGTGTCGAGGAATTTATCCATTTCTTCTAGATTTTCTAGTTTATTTGCGTAGAGGTGTTTATAGTATTCTCTGATGGTAGTTTGTATTTCTGTGGGATCGGTGGTGATATCCCCTTTGTCCTTTTTTATTGCGTCTATTTGATTCTTCTCTCTTTTCTTCTTTATTAGTCTTGCTAGCGGTCTATCAGTTTTGTTGATCTTTTCAAAAAACCAGCTCCTGGATTCATTAATTTTTTTGAAGGGTTTTTTGTGTCTCTATTTCCTTCAGTTCTGCACTGATTTTAGTCATTTCTTGCCTTCTGCTAGCTTTTGAATGTGTTTGCTCTTGCTTTTCTAGTTCTTTTAATTGTGATTTTAGGATGTCAATTTTGGGTCTTTCCTGCTTCCTCTTGTGGGCATTTAATGCTATAAATTTCCCTGTGCACCCTGCTTTGAATGTGTCCCAGAGATTCTGGTATGTTGTGTCTTTGTTCTCATTGGTTTTAAAGAACATCTGTGTTTCTGCCTTCATTTTGTTATTTACCCAGTAGTCATTCAGGAGCAGGTTGTTCAGTTTCCATGTAGTTGAGCGGGTTTGAGTGAGTTTCTTAATCCTGAGTTCTAATTTGATTACACTGTGGTCTGAGAAACAGTTTGTTACAATTTCTGTTCTTTTACATTTGCTGAGGAGTGCTTTACTTCCAACTATGTAGTCAGTTTTGGAATAGGTGTGGTGTGGTGTTGAAAAAAATGTATATTCTGTTGATTTGGGGTGGAGAGTTCTGTAGATGTCTATTAGGTCCACTTGGTGCAGAGCTGAGTTCAATTCCTGGGTATCCTTGTTAACTTTCTGTCTCGTTGATCTGTCAAATGTTGACAGTGGGGTGTTAAAGTCTCCCATTTTTACTGTGTGGGAGTCTAAGTCTCTTTGTAGGTCACTAAGGACTTGCTTTATGAAACTGGGTGCTTCTATGTTGGGTGCATATATATTTAGGATAGTTAGCTCTTCTTGTTGAATTGATCCCTTTACCATTATGTAATGGCGTTCTTTGTCTCTTTTGATCTTTGTTGGTTTAAAGTCTGTTTTATCAGAGACTAGGATTGCAACCCCTGCCTTTTTTTGTTTTCCATTTGCTTGGTAGATCTTCCTCCATCCCTTTATTTTGAGCCTATGTGTGTCTCTGCACGTGAGATGGGTTTCCTGAATACAGCACACTGATGGGTCTTGACCCTTTATCCAATTTGCCAGTCTGTGTCTTTTAGTTGGAGCATTTAGCCCATTTACATTTAAAGTTAATATTGTTATTTGTGTATTTGGTTCCGTCATTATGATGTTAGCTGGTTATTTTGCTCGTTAGTTGATGCAGTTTCTTCCTTGCCTTGATGGTCTTTACATTTTGGCATGTTTTTGCAGTGTCTGGTACCAGTTGTTCCTTTCCATGTTTAGTGCTTCCTTCAGGAGCTCTTTTAGGGCAGGCCTGGTGGTGACAAAATCTCTCAGCTTGTCTGTAAAGTATTTTATTTCTCCTTCACTTATGAAGCTTAGTTTGGCTGGATATTAAATTCTGGGTTGAAAATTCTTTCCTTTAAGAATGTTGAATATTGGCCCCCACTCTCTTTTGGCTTGTATTCTGCCAAGAGATCCGCTGTTAGTCTGATGGCCTTCCCTTTGTGGGTTACCCGACCTTTCTCTCTGGCTGCCCTTAACATTTTTTCTTTCATTTCAACTTTGGTGAATCTGACAATTATGTGTCTTGGAGTTGCTCTTCTCGAGGAGTATCTTTGTGGCGTTCTCTGTATTTCCTGGATCTGAATATTGGTCTGCGTTGCTAGATTGGGGAAGTATTGTCCTGGATCATATCCCTCAGAGTGTTTTCCAACTTGGTTCCATTCTCCCCGTCACTTTCAGGTACACCAATCAGACGTAGATTTGCTCTTTTCACATAGTCCCATATTTCTTGGAGGCTTTGTTCGTTTCTTTTTATTCTCTTTTCTCTAAACTTCTCTTCTCGCTTCATTTCATTCATTTCGTCTTCCATCACTGATACCCTTTCTTCCAGTTGATCGCATCGGCTCCTGAGGCTTCTGCATTCTTCACATAGTTCTCGAGCCTTGGCTTTCAGCTCCATCAGGTCCTTTAAGGACTTCTCTGCGTTGGTTATTCTAGTTATCCATTCGTCTAATCTTTTTTCACAGTTTTTAACTTCTTTGCCATTGGTTTGAATTTCCTCCTGTAGCTCGGAGTAGTTTGATCGTCTGAAGCCTTCTTCTCTCACCTCATCAAAGTCATTCTCTGTCCAGCTTTGTTCCGTTGCTGGTGAGGAGCTGCATTCCTTTGGAGGAGGAGAGGTGCTCTGCTTTTTAGAGTTTCCAGTTTTTCTGCTCCATTTTTTTCCCCATCTTTGTGGTTTTATCTACTTTTGGTCTTTGATGATGGTGATGTACAGAAGGGTTTTTGGTGTGGATGTCCTTTCTGTTTGTTAGTTTTCCTTCTAACAGACAGGACCCTCAGCTGCAGGTCTGTTGGAGTTTGCTAGAGGTCCACTCCAGACCCTCTTTGCCTGGGTATCAGCAGCAGTGGCTGTAGAACAGCGGATCTTGGTGAACCGCAAATGCTGCTGCCTGATCGTTCCTCTGGAAGTTTTGTCTCAGAGGAGTACCCGGCCATGTAAGGTGTCAGTCTGCCCCTACTGGGGGGTGCCTCCCAGTTAGGCTGCTCGGGGGTCAAGGACCTACTTGAGGAGGCAGTCTGCCTGTTCTCACATCTCCAGCTGTGTGCTGGGAGAACCACTACTCTCTTCAAAGCTGTCAGACGGGACATTTAAGTCTGCAGAGGTTACTGCCGTCTTTTTGTTTGTCTGTGCCTTGCCCCCAGAGGTGGAGCCTACAGAGGCAGGCAGGCCTCCTTGAGCTGTGGTGGGCTCCACCCATTTGGAGCTTCCTGGCTGCTTTGTTTACCTAATCAAGCCTTGGCAATGGCAGGCACCCCTCTCCCACCCTCGCTGCCGCCTTGCAGTTTGATCTCAGACTGCTGTGCTAGCAATCAGCGAGACTCCGTGGCCATAGGACCCTCCGAGCCAGGTGTGGGATATAATCTCCTGGTGTGCCGTTTTTTAAGCCCATTGGAAAAGCGCAGTATTAGGGTGGGAGTGACCCGATTTTCCAGGTGCTGTCTGTCACCCCTTTCTTTGACTAGGAAAGGGAACTCCCTGACCCCTTGTGCTTCTCAAGTGAGGCAATGCCTCGCCCTGCTTCGGCTCGTGCACGGTGCACTTCACCCACTGTCCTGCACCCACTGTTTGGCACTCCCTAGGGAGATGAACCCAGTACCTCAGATGGAAATGCAGAAATCACCCATCTTCTGCATCGCTCACGCTGGGAACTGTAGACCGGAGCTGTTCCTATTCGGCCATCTTGGCTCCACCTCCAATCATTTGTTTAACAGCAAACTTAGCAGATCCTTGTCTTATCTTGAAATCTTAAAATGATTATTTAAAAAAAATTATTTTTTCCAAGGATCAGTTCTATTCTGTATGGCTTTTTTTTTTTTTCCAGAAAATTTCAGCTGGTCAGGTGCAGTGGCTTATACTTGTAATCCCAGCACTTTGAGGGGCCAAGGTGGATGAATCACTTGAGCCCAGGAGTTTGAGACCAGTTGGGCAACATGGCAAAACCCCTTCTCTACAAAAAAATTAAAAATTAGCTGGGTGTAGCGGTGCCTGCCTGTAGTCCCAGTTACTCGGGAGGCTGAGGTGGGAGGATTGCTTGAGGTGGACATTGCAGTAAGCCAAGATCACAACAGCTGCACTCCACCCTGGGTGACAAGTAAGACCGTGTCTCAAAAAAAATAAAATAAAATTTCAGGTGTTCTGGTTTACCACTGCTGTCAGATTTCCATGTACTTTATTTCATATTGTACTCCTTAATTGGGGTATATCGGAAAGAAACATGCCAATACACACACTGTATCCTTACTAGCCTCCAAACAAGAGTGTTTTTAAGCCGGGCGCGGTGGCTCACCCCTGTAATCCCAGCACTCTGGGAGGCCAAGGTAGGCGGATCACGAGGTCAGGAAATCAAGCCCATCCTGGCTAACACAGTGAAACCCCGTCTCTACTAAAAAATACAAAAAATTAGCTGGGCGTAGTAGCGGGCGCCTGTAGTCCCAGCTACTCGGGAAGCTGAGGCAGGAGAATGGCGTGAGCCCGGGAGGCAGAGCTTGCAGTGAGCCGAGATCATGCCACTACACTCCAGCGCTCCAGCCTGGGCGACTGAGCAAGACTCCGTCTCAAAAAAAAAAAAAAGAGTGTTTTTAAAAGGATAAGCTTATTCCCAGAACTGTCTGAAGAATACTAACATTCCCTTTTGTGCTTTTCCAGCAGTCCCAAAGAATTCATTGTCCTTAAGTCAAACCTGGATATATATGAAGGTTGATTTGGTCAGTCGTGTGTATCTACCTTCTCATTTGCTTGTTGGCGAGTAGAGCATCTCTGGCTCTTACACAGACTGAATGTATAAGACTCTGGGCCATCCATAACCTTCATTATTTTGACCTTCCACATTTTCTTTCTTCTGCCCTTTGTTCCTTCCTTCCTTCCTTCCTTCCATCCATCCATCCATCTTTTCCTTTCCCTATTTTGTATTTAAATGCTTTTGTACTGGCCAGGCACAGTGGCTTACGCCTGTAATCCCAGCACTTTGGGAGGCCGAGGTGGGCGGATCACGAGGTTAGGAGTTCAAGACCAGCCTGTCCAACATGGCGAAACTTCATCTGTACTAAAAATACAAAAATTAGCTGGGTGTGGTGGCGCACGCCTGTAATCCCAGCTACTCAGGAGACTTAGGCAGGAGAATCACTTTAACCTGGGAGCCGGAGGTTGCGGTGAGCCAAGATCACGCCATTGCACTCCAGCCTGGGTGACAGGGCGAGACTCCTCCTCAAAAAGAAAAAAAAAGAAAGCTTTTGTGCTAAAATTATCAAATCAGATTTTATGGCCTTGTCATTGGGAATGAGGGATAATTAGCCTGATTTTCCTATGTCCTTCTTTATTAGTAGTCCTACAAATGGATAAAATGTCTTTGATATTCTTAACTGTGTTACTCCTTGGTAATTTACTTTCTGTAGATTTCTGACTGCTATTAATAGTTTTATAGTTTATGTCTAAGGCTGTTTTGCTGTTTTTATTTGAAGAATTCCAAGGTATAAAAAGATTAGTTTGACCAACAATTTTAATGAATAAATGTGGTTTTTTTTCTTTTTCTTTTTTTTTTTTTTGAGACAGAGTCTCACTCTGTTGCCCAGGCTGGAGTGCAGTGGTGTGATCTCGGCTCACTGCAAGCTCCGCCTCCTGGGTTCACACCATTCTCCTGCCTCAGCCTCCTGAGTAGCTGGGACTACAGGCGCCTGCCACCACACCTGGCTGATTTTTTGTATTTTTAGTGGAGACAGGGTTTCACCGTGTTAGCCAGGATGGTCTCAATCTCCTGACCTCATGATCCGCTGCCTCAGCCTCCCACAGTGCTGGGATTACCGGCATGAGCCACCGTACCCAGCCAATAAATGTATTTTAATAATATGACAGATTGTATTTATTTGTGCTTGAATGAGTGAAAAACCTGCTTCCTTTCATGATTTTTGAGAACAGTGTTGTCAATAATTTGCCCACAAAACTGCTGAGATTTTGTAAATGGAAGTCTAAGGGAAAACATTAAGGTCTCCAGCTATCTTTGTGCGTGATACTAGGGATTTTAAAAGATAAATGTGATAAACTATGTTTAGTTTTAATAACTCAAGTTAGTGGCAGAGTTTAAAAAGTAAGCCTTTTAAAAATAAAAATGTTATTTATTTTAGAAGATACCTCCTGAAGTTAATTGACTGTGACACTTGCTTAAGTAACTCCAAGACTTGAATTAAAAATTTGCATTACCTTCCTCTAAACTGAGTTTAAGAAATCACATAACAATAATTTACTAACATTTTTATGACTCTTTAACATTTCAGAGCCTTTTTATAGACATTATTTGTTCCTCAAAATAATTTCATAAAGTAAGTTCGATGAGCAATAGTAGTATTCCCATTTGAAAAATAATCTGCCAGTGGGGCACAGTTGGTAAGTGACAGAATTGGTATTTAAGTCTGTCTTTGCTTTTCATTATGAAGAATTTTAAGTATATAATGACTTATTTGGTACATTCCCATGTACTCATTATTTAGTGGGTATAAGCAGTGCTTAGCTATTTGTATTTGCTATATTTGCTTTATCTTTTATTTTGCTATAGTATACTATGAAGCAAATCCCAGACATTTAACTTTTACCTGTGAGTATTTTAGTGAGTATATAGCTCTAAAAAAGGACATTATCTCAATAATCCCAATACCATTATCATACCCACCAAAATTAGCAGTAATTTTTTTAAATATCACCAGATACTCAGTTCTTATTTAAATTTCTCTGGGTTATCCCCGAAATGACTTTTTACAGTTGGTCTGTTTTTGAATCATGACATAAAACAAGACTCATGGTATTAGTGGTTATGTCTCTTAAATCACTTCATCTACAACAGGAAATCCCACTTTCCTTTTCATTCCATTGACTTATTGAGGAGACCAACAGGCAGGTCTTCCGATGTTTAATTCAGTATTCCTTCTGTTATTCTAAGCTGCCTCAAATGTAAGTTTTAAATCTAAGTAAAGAAATGAATAAAATAAATAAATAAAATAAGTAGAAGACAATTCTATGCCTGGTCTATAAAATAAAAATATAACTTTTCGTTTTAAAGAAGAGGCCCACTGAGTAGTTTATTGTAACTAAAATGTTGCTGTAATAGCTAATTTCATAAGCAGCTTTAACGTCAAAGCATCCAAAAGAACTATGTTCTTGTTACTTTTATGCTTGTGTAACGTTTTTGCTAAATACAGTCAATAAGAATGAGGACGATGTAAAGAAAGCCTAGTCTTTGCCAGTAACATAGGTGTAGTCCAGTTTTTCTTTTTGACTGACAGGAGAAATATAAATGGTAAATCTTAATTCTGTTACATGTTCTGTTGTTGTATATAACAGGAAGCTTTCAGGCATTTGTTGTTTGTAAATACTTCATCTTTATTGCTCTTACCAATGAGCAGCTATTAAATATTCATTCCATAGTATCAACAATAATAGTATTGATTTCTAAAAATTAGTATGTTTCATCCTTGTGTAACTCTCATGCCCTTATAATCCATCTCAGTGTTACCCTAGACTAAACTCCCAACTTCCAGAAATGGCAACAACAAACAATAGGGGAGAAGGTAGGAAGAGCTGAGAGTTGTCTGAGCTCAGGGCAGTGGAGGTTAGAACTGTCATAGAGCTTGATACATGTTACCCTGTGGCTTATGGCCTGGCCCATCAGGCCTGGTTGACACCCGGTAAGGCTTAGCATTTTTTCTTACGGTTCTCTACATTGAGAGACATTAGTCATCCCATGAGGATGCATCACTGTTGTTTTGCAAACCAGCATTGGCAGAAAGAAGGACTTCAATCTTTTGAATACATCTACCCTAACATTTTCATCTCTGTACCTGCAATATCCTTGTAGGCTGCCTTTCAAGGAAGTGTATGAAGAGAAAGAGAAGGCGTGGGGGAGAAAGGCAGCATGGGTGAATAAAGATGCATTCTTTCCAGATGCTCAGTTGCACTGCCTCTCTTTGTGCAGTGTTCACTGAAGGATTTAAGGATGAAGCATAGGAATCTGCTGTGTGAACTAATTCCCTGGCTTTTCCTAATGGTGTGTAAATTTCTCATTCCCTAAGGCACAGTATTATTTCCAGAGTTTTCTTTGGTTTTCATAACTAGTTTTTCTGAGTTCTGTCCTCAGAATATAGTAAATGGAAGAAATGAGATGAATCTACAAAAATGCTTTTTAAAACCTCCTCAAAAAATTATTTACACATAAAATAATTAAATATTTTGGCTCTTCTGCAACCTATTGGTTAAAGTACATCTTTAATGTACAACTATAACTAAGTTATAACTAATTGTGTCCTTATATTTCAAAGACAGGTACTTGTCTGTCTTCTCTCACCCCAAAGGAATGACTACAAAGTAAAGGAAATTGGTTTAAAACAAAAAGCTTGAGATTTCAGAGAAAGGAACATTTACATAATAGCATATCTCAGCCTATTTCTTGAAATGCATTGTTTCTCTGTAGCTCTCTTTCCTTTTTTTTTTTTTTTTTGGCATGTATCTAGTGTTAAGAAAATACAGTGTAGCAGCTGTTTATGTACAGAATAATACCACAGTGGATGGGTAAAATCTCACTTGCTAAGAACCTAAGTACTTACCTATTTTAATGTTGTACAACCTCACCACCTGTGCAAGGGCAGGCCTCATTTTTAAGAGTCTGATCATGTCACATAATCTTGATGGAAGTAATTGTATCAACGGTTCAGGAAACTCAAACGGCCTCTTCTTCATTCTCCTTTGAATGGGTCAGTGCTATTAAGGGCATTGCTGAGAGAAGCAGAAGGTGATTTTATTTCAAGAGTTATTGATTCATGCTTCCCCTGTTTTGTTTCAGGTGGATCATCCATGCCATGGAGTATGAACTTCAGATCCGTGGCGGAGACAAGCCAGCCTTGGACTTGTATCAGCTGTCACCTAGTGAAGTTAAACAGCTTCTGCTGGATATTCTGCAGCCTCAACAGAATGGAAGGTAATAAGGGCCCCTTGTTACCTACATGATACTCTGGATTTACAATAACATCATAATTTTTAGCTTGATATATCTATGAAATTGATAAGATATTAATAAGTAAAATTCAACAGAGTGTCAGAGGCCACCCCACTAGATGGAAAGTGTAAACAGAAAGACCAATCAAAATGTCTGTCTTCAATTATTATTTTGCATTGATTTGAATTTTATGCTTTTTTTCCAGTATAGTTTATAAGCATTTCTTCATTTTTATTATTCTGTGCAAAATGTAACACCTCATACCACTTTCTGAAGTCAGTTTCCTTTCTGAACCTTTGTGGCACTCACCATCTCCTCCCAGCATTTTGGCAGATAGGATTGGGTTTGGTAACATTATTTAAATATGTTGCCTGTGACTTTGTCTCCCTAAATAGACTTCAATGCTAAACCCTTTCCTAGACTTGTGCTAAGCTTACACTAAGAACAAAACAAATACTTGTGGATTGTGTTGACTTGAAGAACTTTTTTATTACAGAAATAGCTTTAATGTAAGTATTTAGGAAAGTATTTATTGAGTACATTTGTGCCTGGCATTTACCAAAGTGGTATAGTTATATGCCTAGAAAAATCTGCCTAGGCCTTTTACAAAAGCTGTCTTCCACAAAAGGAAATTTGAATAAATGGAAAGGCATCCTCGTTCTTAAATAGGAACATTCATGTTATAAAGATGTCAGTTGTAAATATAATTCAATTCCAATAACATTCAACTAGCTGTTTTTATGAGGTTAAGACAAGTTAATACAAAACTTCATATGGAAAAACAAACATAAGAATAATCAGAAAAACATAAAAGAAGGACTTGCCCTGCTAGACATTAAAACATACTATAAAGCCTCTGTAATTAAAACAGTGTGATATTGGTGCACAACAGACAAATAGAAGAGTTGAACAGTATAGAAAGTCCAGAAATAGACCCCCAAGTATATGTGGAAATTTAATGTGTGACAAAGGCCAAGGATGGACTTTTTAAATAGTGATGAGACAACTGGATAGCCATTTGCAAAAAGATATAATCACACCTGTAGTTTATACCACACATAAGAATACACTCCAAATAGATTAGAAATCTAAATGTAAAAATGAAATAATAGAAAACAAGAAGACATGGTTAAATTCCTTTTTACTCTTAGTATGGGAAAGACCTTCTAATAATGACTCAACCCAAGGACAACAAAAGAAAAAGTTAATAAGACTATATGAAAATTAAAAACAACACTTTGTATGGCAAAAAGTAGACAACCAATGTCAGAAGATAACTGAGAAACTGGAACAAAACATATGCCACAAAGAGCTTATAACCAAGAATTCTTAAAAATTGAAGGACAGACAACCAAAATCCCAAAGGAAAATGGGAAGAAACATTCTTACATACCCATGAGTCTATGCTAATATAAATAGACAAATGGGAGTGAAGAGACCTTTCTTATAATAGAATTCCAATTATAAGTGTAGATAGGATGACAAAAATAGACAAATACAATAGTTACCATTGTTGCCGGCAAAAACCATCATTGCATGGAAGTATGATGAAAAATGGAGAGTTTCATCATTCCAATGTGTTTCCACTCAAGATGCTTAAATTGTAAAGGAAAAAATAGTGATTTTACAGTGGAGAAACCCAGCTGACTCTACCTTAACCAAAAGATTAAGGTGAACATCGCCAGTAATAAGACACATCAAAATCATATATCCCCTGATATGATGCATTGAAAAGGGCATGATGGGCCGGGCATGGTGGCTCAAGCTTGTGATCCTAGCACTTTGGGAGGCTGGAGCAGGAGCGTCCTTTGAGTCCACGAGTTTGAGACTAGCCTGGGCAACATTCTGAGACCCCATCTCTATAAAAATAATAAATAAGAAAAGTGCACAACATCACTTCTAGATACTCTTGCCAAAAATGCATAATCTCAGTCTATTCATCAGGAAACATCAGACCAACCCAAATTGAGGTACATCTTACAAAATAACTGACATTTCTAAAGTGTGAAGGTTATGAAAGATAAAGGACAACCAAGAAACTGCTAGAGGAGCCTCAGGAGACACGGAAACTAAACACCAATTCTGGATTGGATTCTGGATCAAAACAAGAATATTAGTGGTAAAATTGACAAAATTTGAATTAGATCCATAGATTAATTAATAGTATTGTATCATTGTTTACTCCCTGGTTTTATACTATAGTTATGTAAGATAACAAGAGTAGAGGAAGGCCAGGCACGATGGCTCACACCTGTGATCCCAACAATTTGGGAGGCTGAAGCAGGCAGATTGCTTGAGCCCAGGAGTTTGAGACCAGGCTGGGCAACATGGCAAGACCCCATCTCTACAAAAAACACAAAAATTAGCTGGATGTGGCGGCACATGCCTGTAGTTCCAGCTACTCAGGAGGCCGACATGGGAGGATCACCTGAACCCAGTAAGCTGAGGCTGCAGAGTCGAGATTGCACCACTGCACTCCAGCCTCAGTGATAGAGTCAGATCCTGTCTCAAAAAAAAAAAAAAATGGAAAAGGGAAGTTAAGTAAAGAGTATACAGGAACTTTATGGTTTATATTCATGACTTTTCTGTAAGTCTGAAATTTTTCAAAATGAAAAGACAAAAAATAAAGGATCTTTCAAAATAATTTTCTACCTCCATTATGAGTATTCTCATGTTTCTACTTTTTCTGTTGTCCTACGAAGTATCTCCTTTTTAAAGTATTAATCATAACTTCATATAACTCCAAAAACATATTTTTTAATTGCCAAACAAAGGGAATGAGGGGAAAATAAAATGCAGGCAGTGGGGTATCCAGTTATCTAAAGTAAAACATCACCAAGGAACCCTTAGACGTTTGAGCTTTGTCACTTTGGTGAAACACTAAAGCCAGCAATGCAAGCCCGTGCCTATTAAAAGAAATTTTATGTATCCAAAAATAGATGCCCCTCTTACCTATGTAGTGATAAATTTTCATTGGTCCTCTTTCTCCAGCGCAAACGTGTCTTTTTCTGTTTACTGTATCCTGCATAGCTATTGTCATACCTAGAAATAGTGTTGGTCATGACATATTTCCCTTGTAATTGAGTATACATTTCACTCTGCTGTCTTTTAAAATACTAAGTGTAAAAAACGTGTATCTGGGCTGTGTGCCGTGGTTCATGCCTATAATCCCAGCACTTTGGGAGGCCAAGGCAGGAGGATTACTTGAGGCCAGGAGCTCAAGACCAGCCTGGACAACATAGCCAGACCCCATCTCAACAAAAAATTTAAAAATTAACCAGACATGGTAGTGCATGTCTGTAATCTTAGCCACTGGAAAGGCTGAGGTGGGAGGATCGCTTGAGCCCAGGAGTTAGAGGTTGCAGTGAGCTATGATCGAGCCATTGCACTCCAGCCTGGGTGACACAGCAAGACCCTGTCAAATAAATAAATAAATAAATAAATAAATAAATAAATGTATCTGTCCTTTCTTCAACTTTTGCAAGAATATTTTTAGCAGTTTGTGAATGATGTATTGTATCTTTAAAATTTAATACTTAAGTGCTTAATGCATGAAAATAAAAGATCTAAAATTTTGGTGTATCACTACATTCTGTTATTATAATGTAAGATTTTATATCTTTTTTCAGCAAGAGAACTTTAGCTATGTCTAAATAGCAAACTTCTATAAGGTTTAAAATAAGGTAATTTTATTCTATATAAAATGCTTTTTTGAACATCATTTATTCATTCACTTTTTAAGTGTTTACTAAGCACCTTTCTGGGAGAGGTGTATAGGACTGATCAAATTATATGATTTCCATGCCTTCATGGAGCTTACATTTTATTATATGTGAAAACAACATCAAGTTATTATGAAATTCACAGCTGCTGCGTTTTTAAAGGGAGCTGCTCTGTATACTTGAAAATCATTTGAGCATGTAGTAAGCAATTCATAGCTTACTTACAGGATAACATTTTGTCTGTTAAATTTTTTAGAATCTTGGAGACTTCCTCCTGTCCTGCCAGCCCTGTTTTCATTATGAAATATTTACTAGCCTCTGTAACACACGGAGATATGCATCATTGATGGGCTTTGGCTTTTATTTCTTACCCTATCAGAACAATTAGTTCATATTGAAAGCCCTGCTGTCTACCAGAACAAGCTTGTTCTTCAACTCTGAGACATTTGCCTTTTGTTACAGATGTTGGCTGAACAGGCGTCAGATCGATGGGTCTTTGAATAGAACTCCCACCGGGTTCTATGACCGAGTGTGGCAGATTCTGGAGCGCACGCCCAATGGGATCATTGTTGCTGGGAAGCATTTGCCTCAGGTAAAGCCCCACCATGTTCACATAAAGAAAGGAGACTTCGCAAAGGGTAGTGAATCCTTTCCTCTTGCACTGCAAATAACTTTTCTCCTTTTCAGCGTTCTAAGAGTATTTTCAAAGAAGGAATGAAATACTAGAAAATAAGACATCTAATCAATTGGATTGAAAATTTTTTTCCCCAATCTGAGTTACTTTTATTTTTCAAATTTAGTGTCCCTGTAGGCAGAAAAGGCTCACTTTACCAAATGGCTATATTGCTGGAAGTCATATTTAATAAAAAAAATTGTTGGTATTGTCATATTTTAGATATTTTGAGGATATTCCCTTTTTAAAAACCACATAGCCAAACCTCTTGTTGAGCAAGCTGTCCTTCCTTTGTTTACTTACCAGCTTAGAGTTTCCTATATTGGCTTTACTTTAAGTGTGGGTACCCCTTCACTACCCCCAAGTGGTGGTGGGTCAGTGCTGGGGGGCCTCACAAACAGTAAAGCATGCATTGGAAAGACAGAACCAGAGCAGACCTAAGAAACAATGGGGCCTAGTAGTGCTGTGGATGAGGAAATCACCACTTAGGAATTGTGTTGAATGTGGAAAATGCAGTAACTTTTTAGGTCATTGGACAGACAATCACTTACTTCACTCCAGGTGTACCTTACCTGTGGTCCAAGTGAGTTAGTGCCCTCTCCTTCTGATGGTTTCCCATGTGATATACACTGGCCTGCTTCTTTGATGTGATTATTTAATCCTGGCATCTAAGTCATTCTACTTATACACAAAAGAGAAGGATTAGCCTTTTGGAAATAGAGTACTGTAATTGTTTTTAGTGTTGAAATCTCAACCAAATAAATTTTGATGTAGTTCTTTATACAAATAAAGTATTCTCAAAGGCACAGACCCACACTCATTTTGCTTGTATCTACCTAAGAGTGTCTCTGTAAGGACCCATAGGAAATTGGTAGTATTCTTTTCTTAGTCTTTGGTAAAAGGAACTGTGTGAGTGGGAGGATGGTGTGGGCTCTTCCCTGGAACCCTTTTAAACCTTTCAAAGTCTGAATGCTGTGAATATATTACTTATTAAAAAAAATGCATAAAAACTTTTAAAAAGTATTTATACTGTTCACAGACTGCAAGTAGTTTCATTTGACTGTCAGTGCAGGGCCCAGCCCTCTCCTGGGTGCCCTATGATTACTGTTGAAGAGCAGCACCATCTCTTGAGAGCAGAGAGCAGCGCCTCGTTGCTGGAGTTCAAACCCTCTGGCAAGGCCTCCTGTCTGCCTACCTGGGCAGTGCACGCTCACAACCACTTGTTAGCTTCTTTCTCAGCCCCCACTAATACTTACCAGATTTTCATTTAATTGTCTGGCAGTCTGGGCCACTTAACATGTAGTATCCTTGCTTTGCTAATATCCTCTCTTTGCTAAAAATAACAATAAGACAATAAATACATGTTAAGTATTTTTATGCACCAAGCACTTTTCTAAGTGCTCATTTAATCCGTTAGACAATTTTTTGAGGCAGATGCTTTGTTATTAGTATTCCAGTTTGACAGAAGAGGACACAAACACAGATAAATGATTTCCTCAAGGTCACACATCTAGTAAGTAGCTGCCCCAGGATGTGACCCCTGGCAGTGTAGCTGCTGAGCCTTTTCTCTTAACTTCTCTGCTACACTACTTACCCTAAGTCCTTTCAGAAGAGTAGGAAATAAGGCAAGCTTGGTATCTCTTCTGTAGTTGCACAGTAGCTAGGTTGACTTTTTTAATGAGATATATTAAGAAAAAATTAATGTGAAACCAAGAAAGGGTCTTCCTTTCCTTCTGTAACCCCGTTAAGCCCATTGCTAGAGATCTAGCCAATTATAACTGTGTTTAGCAATGGGGCTTTATTTTCCCCAAATTAGGTACTATCTGTAAACATTAATAATATGTTGGATTATATTGACTATGAAATACAATAGTTAGTTGTATTGAATATCTATTGAATATAGACTAAGGCATTATTATACCAGGCTGAACAACTTTGCTGTCACTTGATTGAAAGAGGACATTGGGTCCCATTTTGAGTGGTAAGTAGATAGACATGGTTCTGAACCTGATTGAGTTCACTGTAAACTATCACTGAGGTGAAAACAAGTATGTCTCATCATTTCTGCCTCTCTGGTAATGATCTAGTCACCCCATCTGCCTTCCACCATACAAGCCTAATGTTCAGAGCCTTCCCTTCCATCCTCTGAGGAATATTCCCCATGCCCAGATTTGGATTTTAATTTTAGTTTATTTTCTGCTTTCATTTGGATTGTGAAGAAATGAATGGAAAACTACACAGTATTCTTGTTTTAAATGAAAGATAAAGGGCAGAGTAGAGGAAATTCTTTTAGCGTCGCTTTTTTCCTGTTTCCTTCCCAGTTCTGCACATAATATTGTTTTTGCTTGTTTGTATGCATTTTTATGCTGCCAGCTCAGAAAGGAGCTGCCACAGAAATGATGTAAATTCATTAGCAGGTGACTTCTGTGCGGGAGCCTGACAGCAAGCATAACTTCTCGTGTAAATTCTGAAAGCAATATGTACACTATTTGTTGTCTCAGTGTTTGGCTATTCCTTTTGTGTATTAAAGTGGCCTTCTAACATAGTCCTTTTTCTCAAAAAATTAATATAGTGAAGGTAACTACTAAAAATGGGAGGTTTAATTTATCACAATAGTCAGCTGGTTGGCTTTAGTAGTTTGACATATATAAAATCCAGTTGTGTAGCTGAAAATGTTCTCCAAGGTTTTATAAAAACTGAAAACTATTAATGATTAGAAAATGAAATTCTTCTATTAAATGAGAACCAGAGCATAACGGTTCAGCATGTTAATGTGGAGTTATTTTTTTCAGCAACCAACCCTGTCAGATATGACCATGTATGAGATGAATTTCTCTCTCCTTGTTGAAGACACGTTGGGAAATATTGACCAGCCACAGTACAGACAGATCGTTGTAGAGGTGAGTAGTAAGAAATGAAGATTGCTGAATAAATGCCTTCTCTCTGCTCCGTGAAAACTAGTATAAGGGAAACTGCCTATGAGACCCAGAATCCTATTCTTTCCAGTACCCCGATCTCTCCTGTGAGACCCAGAACCCTATTCTTTCCGGAACCTTGATCTCTCCCAGCCGAGTCCTCAAGAAGATGGCCACCCCTGACCCAAGGCAAGGCACACGAGCAATTCAGACACCTCAGGCTCCTCCAGGAAGGGAGAACCGACCCCTGCTTTTCAGCCACACAATCACCCCTTAGCATCAAGTGTATCAGCCACATCATAAAAGTACAGGAAGTGACCTTTTTCTATTCACTTTCTTTTCTATTCACAGAAATAAGCACAACTATTGTAGAAAGTTTCAGCAGTTTAGAAAATTATAGAAAAGAATATAAGTTTCCCCCACACTCACTAGCAAGAGATCATTGCTGTTAATATTTTGAGGGACATCTTTCTAGACATCTCTATGTGCAGAGAAGACATGTCATTGCATGGTGTATCACTGCCCTGTATAAAGTTACATGTAAAATTAACAGAACACATGTGTCCTTTTGTCATGTTAAACATCACCCCAAATACATAGAGAAGCCACCAATTGATGAGTTTAATATTTAGCTTATCCGCACTTTGTCTCTTTCCCTGGGCATGTATCCATCCGACTTTTGTGTTTCTCAAGGGTAGATAATATGTCTTATTGCTACGGAAGCTCTGTGTGACTGCCAACCTGGACATGGCACCTCCTAAAATCTAGCATGTCTGGAGCTGCAGTCAGAGCTGAGTAGATTTAGCCTCCTCTTTGATGTCCCAGGATGTGGAATAGTATCAGCCAATCATTTTCACAGCATGAGGCAGACTGGGTCGTGAAAAGACGGGGTTATTAGGCAGGTGAATGCCTTCCATGTCTAGTACCCAGCATCTGGGACATATAGTAGACATAGAGATCCTTCTTGTTGACCACAGTGAAGTCATTCCCTTTGCAGAAGACACTTTCCTTTAGACCTACAGCAAAACTTCATATTCTCATGGCTAAAGGCCTGCCCTAAGGTTTCCCACATTGTGACCCCTGGATTTTACTGTGTTTCCTTTGGTTCTTTCAGGTTCTGTTTTTGAAGCATCGAGATAAAATACAGTCAATAAGAATCCAAAATTGGGAACTATGAGGCGTGTTTCCTGTTCAGTGTACAAATTAGGAGCCATAAACATCATCAGAGAGCCTTTACCAATTATTGCATATGCAGATATTATTTTTGCTTATAGGAATTTAGCATCTAAAATGAACATTACCACTTAGGATAGGTGTATGTGATGGCCAAGCAATAGGGTGATTCATTAAACTAAGATAGTTTATACAGACCAAATAGGACTTTTGTCACAGGGGTCAGAGTTAAACATATTTTTTTAAAACATGGCCATCCCTTGAGAAACTACTGTGGCATCACAGACTTATACTCATTTGGGTCCTGGGCTCCAGGTCGTTTGATCCTGAACCTGGGTCCAGAGTCTCCATTGAACCTGCCTGGCTTCTCTGGCTTTGGTCCCTGACCCGTCTCTCCACAGACAGTGTTTTGGTGTCTTGCCAACAAGGATTGACACCCAAAGGCCTAGAAAGAGTTCAGACACTTTGGGTGAATAGGGTATCATGTATTATGTACATGATGGGTTAGGAAAGTCATTTTTCTAAGTTAACGGTTTTATTTAACTGATGAAAAAACATTTCTAGGGATACACACAATGAAAAAAAAGGTGCACTTTCCAAACAGAATTTATGCAAATAACTTGCAAAATTAGGAAGATTCCTTCCATAGGTGATCCTTGAGCCCCTCATCATATAGAATATCCTTTGGATCACCCATCCATCTGATCAAAGGGTGAAAACATGTCACTATTATGGTTCATATAGTTGGCTTTCAATGTCTGTCTCTTCTAGTTACTTATGGTTGTATCCATTGTACTGGAAAGAAACCCCGAGCTAGAATTTCAAGACAAAGTAGATCTAGACAGACTGGTCAAAGAAGCATTTAATGAATTTCAAAAAGATCAGAGTCGGCTAAAGGAAATTGAAAAACAAGTAAGTACACAGCTTTTTTTTTTTTTTTTTTTTTGAGAATTTTTTCATTGTCTCAATTCTTTAAAATATCCCTAATCTCTTTTCATTTACTTTATAAAACAGATTCACAGGTGCAAAATAGGATACTTGAGGGGCAGTCTGCCTTTTTCGAGGAATTAATGTTACTTTTCAGTTAATTACTAGTCAGTTCAGCTGTGAAGTTCTGACAAAAAAGAGATCTAGAAAGAGATAAATTTCCTTTATATGGTTAGCATAAAAATGTTTTATCAGAGAGGAGGCATAGACTCCAGAAGGCTATAAAATTAAATTCTGGGGACAATAGAATGCAGTGACAGGCTACGTTGGTGCTGCGTACTGCCTAATATAGGCCCTTCCAGGTTCTCTGTTTAATATTTTATGTTCAACTGTAAAGAGGTTCTCTAAGTAAATAAAAATTATCAACAAAGGAGAGAATACTAAAAATATCTGTCTTTGTTTTATATACACCTCAGGAAAATGAAAGAAAAGCTCAGGAATCTCATATTTTCCATAAGGAAATCTTTATGTGAATTTATTTTTCCCCCTAAGCTGACACAGATTTTACCTGTCAACTCTTTACAAACAGAAGATCGAATGCCTTGCCTACTGTTTTCCTTTGTAGGATGACATGACTTCCTTTTACAACACTCCTCCCCTGGGAAAAAGAGGAACATGCAGCTATTTGACAAAGGCGGTGATGAATCTGCTGCTGGAAGGAGAAGTCAAGCCAAACAATGATGACCCGTGTCTGATTAGCTAGTGGGGAAGGTGTAGGAAGCTCTGTTGAGACACATGTTCTGAAGTGTGTTGTGTTTCATGTTCAAGCTTAATCAAGGCAGCCATTAATATACGAACTGAGCATGCTGGGGAGGTGAATGCCACATCCTTGGCGGGGTTATGGACCTCTTGCATGTCATAGCCAATCTAACGGTAATGGTAAATGCTTTTAATCAAGCAGGAAAAAGTTCTCATGATTATGCCAACTATAATAGTAATCCTCACTGAGTGATAAAAATAGTTTATGAATTGAAAATTTGCCGCTGCATGTTGTATGATCAAATAGTTCATCAAAATGAATCTTTGCTCTTTGGACTGAATTCTTACCATACTGCCATTAAAATAAATTTGCCAACTAGTAATGCATACTGGAAATCAAAAGATACTGAAAGAATGGTGAACTTCTCTTAGTGGTATTGTCATGCTAAAAGATGTTAATATACATCATAAAAGCAAAGTCAGCCAGCTGATATTTTGGTTCTCAAAAACTGCATTATTAATAATATTTTAGTATACAGAGCTATTCTACAGTTTTTACATTGTAAACATGACTGTGGTTTTGTATTTGCTAAATATAGGGGTTGGACTAAAATATAATAAATCTGTACCTTATCAAACATTTTCTTTGAGCTCCTGCTAAAAATAGGACATGTCTATGATTGTTCAAAAATATGTTAAATTTAGGCTCAGCACAGTAGCTCACACCTGAAATCTTAGCACTTCGGGAGGCTGAGGCAGGTGGATCACTTGAGGTTAGGAGTTCAAGACCAGCCCAGCCAACATGGTGAAAACCCTGTCTCTACTAAAAATACAAAAATTAGCCAGGCATGATGGTGCATGCCTTTAAACCCAGCTACTGAGGAGGCTGAGGCATGAGAATTGCTTGAACCAGGAGACGGAGGTTGCAGTGAGCTGAAATCCTGCCACTGCACACCAGCCTGGGTGACAGAGCGAGACTCCATCTCAAAAAAAAAAAAAAAAAAGAAAAAGAAAAAAATATGTTAAATTTAAGGACTGTTAACCTACGTTCTACTAGTAAAAACAACATTAAGGGTCATTAAATTTTATTTCTGAATTAATGAACATATCTGGACATTTTTTGTTCCTAGGTTCACAAGATTGAGCTTCAAACTCCCGAGTGTTTTCATTTAATTGATTTAGAGGTAGAATGGAAGAGAATCTGTGGTACCTACCATTATACACATTTAGTTGCCCAGTTTACTTAAACTTTAATGAAAGTAGAAAGTAGATTAAACATTTAAATTTTATTTCTTTCCTAAATAGAAAAAAAAAAGGCCCATGAGTTTGAGCCCTTGCCCCAAAGAGAGTTGTTTTTCTGATCAATCTTACTGGAGTTTCACCTGAGAAGATAGATTTGTCACATAAAAAATGCAGCTTATTTGTAGTGTTTTGAAAGGATGTAAGAAAGGATGAGTGGCTTCAGTATTGAGTCAATCGATATCAAATGAATGGATGTGTGAGCACATGGAAAAATCTGCTGTCAGTCACATTTCTCATAACATTGAGGTACAGTGCCGAGATCTTGCATAAGAAATTGTATGGATATTAGTTGGCAAAATTGAAATGAATGAGACACAGTTGGGCCCTAAAGAACTAAGGAGGGGGATTGACAAAGAATAGAATTAAACTACTTGACTCAATATGTTAAGAGAGTTTATGAAAAGATAGTCGTGAAGGGTGAAGCTAATTTGTAAAACTAATGCCTGAAAAAAACGTAAGCATGAAGTCCATGGAGAGGGAATTGAGAGCTGACACTTCATAACTGGAGAAACTGGAAATTAAAGAAAGGGAAACAAAAGACTTAAAATTTTTGTTTGCCGAAATTTTTACGAAAGTAAACTGTGTTGTAGTTTTAAGAATTTTTTTAAAAAATCTGATTAGCTGAGCAAAGTTACCAGAAAACTGCTATCCTAGTTGAAATCAAACATTACTTGCAAATGTGTTTTCTGAGTGTTAGCTTCCTGCTTAAATGTTACATATGCAAAATTCTGAAGTTTTCCTGTGCTACTCCTGAAAGCATTCAGAATCTGTGACACGTATTGACTTCATGCTTTGAGATTCAAAATTTATTGTTCTGAAAGTTATATTTAGAATCAGTAAATCTTGATATTCACCTTTACAAAAGCCAATGCCTGTTTTCTTATTAGAAAAGCAAAAAATAATAAGAATTAGAACACAGAACTCATATGAAATTTAGAAGTCTCATTTGGTCTACAGAGCCCAAATGTTTTAACAGCTGCACTAGAGACCGACTGGAAATATTAGCACATTTATTTAGGCATGACAAGATTTAAATCTGATTTAAAGCCTCCTCTATCACAATGGCAGATTCACTGCGTAAATTTATTGTACAAGCAACGTCTGTTGGAAACTCCTGACTGAATATCAAGTTCAACTACATTTTCAGAGCATCATTTTAAGAAACAGGATGTTTTCCAGATTTTCTGCTGTTATTTAAGCCTGAAAACATCATATTTCAATTTTTAAAAATTAAAATGGGGAAACAATCAATGATGAAAACCACATGATTATCTCAATAGATGCAAAAAAGGCCTTCGATAAAATTCAACACCCCTTCATGCTAAAAACTCTTGATAAACTAGGTATTGATGGAATATATTCAAAAAAATAAGAGCCATTTATGACAAACCCACAGCCAATATCATACTGAATGGGCAAAAGCTGGAAGCATTCCCATTGAAAACTGGCACTAGACAAGGATGCCGTCTCTCACCACTCCTATTCAACATAATACTGGAAGTTCTGGCCAGGGAAATCAGGCAAGAGAAAGAAATAAAGGGTATTCATATAGGAAGAGAGGAAGTCAGACTGTGTCTGTTTGCAGGTGACATGAGCCTATATCTAGAAAACCTCATCGTCATCTCAGCCCAAAAGCTTCTTAAGCTGATAAGCAACTTCAACAAAGTCTCAGGATACAAAATCAATGTGCAGAAATCACAGGCATTCCTATACACCAACAATAGACAAGCAGAGGGCCAAATCATGAATGAACTCCCATTCACAATTGCTACAAAGAGAATAAAATACCTAGGAATACAGCTAACAAGGGGAGTGAAGGACCTCTTCAAGGAGAACTACAAACCACTGCTCAAGGAAATAAGAGAGGACAGAAACAAATGGAAAAACATTCCATGCTCAGGATAGGAAGAATCAATATTGTGAAAATGGCCATACTGCCCAAAGTGATTAATAGATTCAATGCTATTCCCATTAAACTATCATTGACATTCTTCATAGAATCAGAAAAAAACCTACTTTAAAATTCATATGGAACCAAAAAAGAGCACATATAGCCAAGACAATCCTAAGCAAAAAGAACAAAACTGGAGGCATCACACTACTTGACTTCAAACTATACTACAAGTCTACAGTAACCAAAACAGTATGATCCTGGTACAAAAACAGACACATAGACCAATGGAACAGAATAGAGATCTCAGAAATAAGACTGCACATCTACAACCATCTGATCTTCAACAAACCTGATAAAAACAAGCAATGGGGAAAGGATTCCCTATTTAATAAATGGTGCTGGGGAAACTGGCTAGCCATATACAGAAAACTGAAATTGGTCCTCTTCCTTGTATCTTACACAAAAATTAAATCAAGATGGATTAAATACTTAAATGTAAAACCCAAAACTATAACAACTCTAGAAGAAAATCTAGGCAATGCCATACAGGACATAAGCATGGGCAAAGATTTCATGATGAAAACATCAGAAGGAATTGCAGCAAAAGCAGAAATTGACAAATGGGATATAATTAAACTAAAGAGCTGCTGCACAGCAAAAGAAACTATCATCATAATGGACAGCCAGAATAGGAGAAAACTTTTGCAATCTATCCATCTGACAAAGGTCTAATATCCAGAAGCTACAAGGAATTTAAACAAATTTACAAGAAAAAACAACCCCATTAAAATGGGGGCAAAGGGGCCGGGTGCGGTGGCTCACGCCTGTAATCCCAGCACTTTGGGAAGCTGAGGCGGGTGGATCACGAGGTCAGGAGATCAAGACCATCCTGGCTAACACAGTGAAACCCCGTCTCTACTAAAAAATACAAAAAATTAGCCAGGCGTGGTGGCGGGCGCCTGTAGTCCCAGCTACTCGGGAGGCTGAGGCAGGAGAATGGCATGAACCCAGGAGGCAGAGCTTGCAGTGAGCCGAGATTGTGCCACTGCATTCCAGCCTGGACGACAGAGCGAGACTCTGTCTCAAAAAAAAAAAAAGGTGGGGGGGGTGCGAAGGACATAAACAGATACTTCTCAAAAGAAGACATTTGTGCGGCCAATAAACATATAAAAAAAAGCTCAACATCACTGATCATTAGAGAAATGCAAATCAAAACCACAATGAGATAACCATCTCACACCAGTCAGAATGACGATTATTAAAAAGAAAAAACAGATGCTGGCGAGATTATCAAGAAAAGGGAACCCTTATGCACTGTTGGTGGGGGTGTAAATTAGTTCAGCCATTGTGGAAGACAATGTGATTCCTCAAAGACCTAGAACCAGAAATACCATTTGACCCAGCAATCCCATTACTGGGTATATACCCAAAGAAATATAAATCATTCTATTATAAAGATACCGGCACACCTATATTCATTGCAGTACTATTTGCAATAGCAAAGACATGGAATCAACCAAATGCCCATCAATGATAGACTGGATAAAGAAAATGTGGTACATATACACTGCAGAATACTGTGCAGCCATAAAAAGGAACAAGATCATGTCCTTTGCAGGGACATGGATGGAGCTGGAAGCCATTATCCTCAGCAAACTAACGCAGGAACAGAAAACCAAATACCGCATGTTCTCACTTATAAGTGGGAGCTGAACAATGAGAACACATGGACACAGGGAGGGGAACAACACATACTGGGGCCTGTCAGAGGGGTGGGGAGGAGGGAGAGCATCAGGATAAATAGCTAATGCATGTGGTGCTTAATACCTAGGTGATGGGTTGATAAGTGCAGCAAATCACCATGGCACATGTTTACCTATGTGACAAGCCTGCACATCCTGCACTTGTATCCCAGAATTTAAATTATTTAAAAAATCAGAATGTGGGATCAACTTGATGTCATCTTCAATATGTTATAAGCCTGTGGTGCCTTATTCACACCAAATAACATTTATTGGACACCTGAATACATTTAGCTTTTCACCAAAACTCTTAAACAGTAAATTCAGGGCCAGGTGTGGTGGCTCACTCCTGTAGTTCCAGCCACTCAGAAGGCTGAGGCAGGAGGATTGCTTGAGTCCAGGAGTTGGAGGCTGTAGTGAGCTAGGGTCACACTATTGCACTCTAACCTCGGTGAAAGAGCAAGACTCTTGCCTCTTAAAAAAAAAAAACAGTAGATGCAGATGCTTTAAGCCTTTATGAGCATGTATATTAAATAGATGGCATATGAAAGTGCATATTCACACTTCACAATGTGGCAACAGTTATAGCAGCACAGAAAGACCACATTTAAATCCAGGACAGGTTGGAAGTAGCATATAGCAGTATGCAGCCATATAATAAAAGTCCTCCGTCTCAGAAACTAAAAACATGAATGAAAACTGAGGCAGAATGGACCAGCAAAACCATACCGGCAGCATTCAAACAAAGGAAGCGGGTAGTACAGCCTCACACCATAAACTCTGAAAAGCAGCAGCGGACAAAAGACCTACTAGAATTAGAATTTGGCTCCTATACTCTGGCTTCCTAGAAGCTGTGCATGGGCGAGGACAAGGTTAGTTAATTTGTGAAAAATCAAATGCATTTGGAGGGAATCAGATGCCTGTTGAGTCGGCACTTAGGGGAAAATTCAGAAAGTGTTTCTCCAAGGTGGAAGCTCCTCCCCCACCACACATAACATCATCCGGCATCATATAGCAGGGCTACTGCCAGCCCACGCTCAGTCCTGTGTGTGAGTGAGTGGCACCTTTGTACAGAGAAAGGTCCTTTCTCTGAGCAGATGCAACCCCACACCAGGACACATGGCTCAGAGTAAACTGGATTTCAGCCCCCAGCTGCATTCTCATTGGCTCCCTTGTGCAGTGCACTGACCTCATGACTGTCTCAGTCCTGCTCCCCAAGGAACGGAAAGCTGTTGGGAGTGGCATTCTGACTCTGTCTGGGAGGGAGGCAGATGAGGAGCAAGGTTCCCCAGAACTCACTGTCTCCAATGGCAGGTGGTCTGGGAGCTGGTCCTGACCTGGTTCTTGTTACCTGAGAGGGCGAGGCTTATGAGGAGTGGTAATTGGAGTTGACTGTCCCCTCTTCTTATTATTTCTGTAATGTTGTTTTAAACTGGACAAAATTCACTCTGTCTAGTCCAGGGCATATCCTGTTTCCAAGGACAGCATCTTCCAATGTGGGTGGTTCTGCCAAACAGGGTAAACTTTTTCACTTGTGACAGAAATGCTTAGCCTCAGGGATAAATCCCACCTCCTTCACTCCCATCTCTCCAGAAGTTGCTCCTCCTCTCCTCCTAGACAGGGAGGAAAAGTGGGGGAAACAGGTGGCTTTGGGGCTTTCCTCCTCACGGGAGTGGGGAACTTAGGGCAGGGCTGTCCGTCAGTCCCTTTCCCCTCTGCTCGGTTGGTTCTTGTGCTGGTACTTTTTGAGTTCTCTGTCCTCTGAGGACTGCATATTCCTGACTTGTGTCTTATTGTCTAAGAGGAAGGGACTCGGCTGGAAGCAGCTTGGAGAAGACCAAAGAGTTCAGGTTGGGTGGGAGAGTTTCAAAGACCACCCACACTGTAACTGGGGACCCACAAGGCTGCTGTGCAACCATGAGAAAGATGCAGAGAAACTGCCCATCAACTATTTTTTGTAGAGACAGGGTCTCACTATGTTGCCCAGGCTGGTCTCTTACTCCTGGCCTCAGACGGTCTGCCCACCTTGGCTTCCCAAAGTGCTGGGATTAGGTGTGAACCACCATACCCAGCCTTATGCCTGTAAACAATGTAAATAATGCTACAGGAAAAAAAGAGATAGATATAGAACCCATTCTGAAAGAAAATTTACTCTAGGAAATAGAACATCCTCCACATCAAATGCCCTATAGTCTAAAAGAAATTAAAGAGAAAAAGGATCAATGAAAAAACAAGTCAAAGACAAAATGAGACACTACAATAAAATAGAAAGGAAACTTAGAGCTAAGGACATGAGTTTCATAAATTAGAAACAGCAAAGAACAAAATACGCACAGCTAAAAATTGAGTTGCCAACACACAGAACCCTTGAGATAATTCAGTCAAGTGCTTATTGAGCATCATCTATATGCACCTGACGCTGTTCTGGCACAGGGTTAAAAACAAACAAACAAAAAGACAATCCCCCGTCCTTGTGGAGCTATGTTCTAATTGGGGTGAGGACATAGGTGGTATGTACTGATGATAAATGCTATGGAAGAAAATAAGGCAGGATGAGGAGGAAAGAGTGACAAAGGTTATTAGATTTCCTGGGGTTGTGGGAAGGCCTCTGATCAGGGAATATTTGATCAGATGGACAAAAAATAGAGATGGGGGTAAACAAGGTTGATCCAACATAAAGAAAACTGGTAGGTAGAGAAGGATACGAGACTGGCACAGAAAAAATTCAAGTAAATGATGTTTTCCCTAAATAAATAAATCTGCAGATCAGGAGAACACATCATGTTTCAGAAAAATTTAATACAGAATGAGCAACATTGAAACATACATTGGGAGAATTTACTTGGAGAAGTTTATGCCAAAAAAAGTCATCTATCACTCAATTTCTCCACATCAGTTCAATGTTGTACAATGTGACCTGAGATTTTTTTTCCCCAAATACTTATAAAGGCAAATGAAGAATTCTTAAAATATGCAAGGACTCAAGAATCATAACACCTGCAAGCCTCTCTTGAAAATAATATTTGACGAAATCCAGTCAACCAAGAGAATTGATGTGAAGAGTATAGTAACCAAGAAGACACAAAACATAAGAAGTAATTATGGGCTGGGCGCAGTGGCTCATACCTGTAATCTCAGCGCTTTGGGAGTGCGAGGCAGACAGACCACTTGAGTCCACGAGTTCAAGACCAGCCTGGGCAACATGGCGAAACTCTGTCTCTACAAAATAAACATTTAAAAATTAGCTAGGTGTTGTGGTAGGTGCCTGTACTCCCAGCTACCAGGGAGGCTGAGGCAGGAGGATTGCCTGAGCCCAGGAGTTCAAGGCTGCAGGGGGCTGTGACAGCACCACTACACTCCAGCCTGGGCCACAGAGTGAGACCCTGTCTCAAAAACAAAACAAAACTATGAACTATGACTCCATTAAAATTTAAAATTAATAATGAGATTTACAGTTACAGCAAAGAATGTAAAAATGAAAAACAAGCTTCACAATTTAAAATAATATAACTAATGGGCTGGGACAAAAATCCTAGAGCTTGTTGACAACTCAGTAGGGGCTGAGCGGCCAGTGTAAGTGAGCTAATTTCCTTGTCTTTCACAGCAAGAAGTCAATATTCACTTTGTTTTTTAAAGTTAATCAAAATATTAAAAGTTTTTAAAGTTTATCCTTTAAAATACAAAAGTGGCCAGGTGGAGTGGTATGTGCCTGTAGTCCTAACTACTTGGGAGGCAGAGGTGGGAGGATCACTTGAGCCCAGGAGGAGTTCAAGGCCAGCCTGGGCAACATAGCAAGACTCTGCCTCTAAAAAAAAAAAAAAATTAAATTTTTAAGTAATTTTAAATTACCAGAAGGGGTGAGAATGCATCACAAAATTGACCATATAGCTCAAGATAAAAAAATAGAGAAATGACAGTCTCCAGATCCAATATAACTGGGATTCTCCACTTTAATATCAGACGGCATTGAATTAAAGGTAAAAAAAAAAGTGTGCATCTGTAACAAGAATGTAAATGGCCTACATCTCTATACAACACAAAACAGCATTCTGGCAGAAACTGCTAGCTGTCCACCAAAACCTATTCTCCCCTTGCATGACCCAAAATTATAGGTAAGTATATAGCCGTTCAGATACACCCTGCATTTGCTTGGGATTTCAATGGAATGTGAGCAGAGGTGAGTGCCACCCCAGGCCTGGCCCATAAACCTTCCTGCCTGCCCTCTGTGCTTGTCCCTTTCCCCGTAGGTTGGAATGACAATGACCAAGGTGATGGCATTGAAGATGGCCACACGGCTTCAGCCCAGCCTCCTGTGAGGCTGTCTCTCTTTTCTCCACACCCACTCTCCCTACAAGATCAGCTCTCATTGACAATTGAGCCAGGGTTCTAGCAGAAGGCAGAAACTGTATCCCACTTATCTGGATGGAAAGAATTCAAAGATTTGTTTAATTCGATCTAAAATAGGAAACGGAAAGCGTAAACTATTATATTTATTTGGGTCAGGGAGGCAAGGGTCTACTTGTTCTAGCAGTTTACACAGTATAAGTATCAAAATATATAAAGTGGGCAGGTGCAGTGGCTTGAGCTTGTAGTCTCAGCAACTAGGGAAGTTAAGGCAAGAGGATCACCTGAGCCTAGGAGTTTGAGGCTGCAGTGAGCCATGATCGCACTGCTGCACTCTAGCTTGAGTGGCAGAGAGAGACCCTGTCTCTCAAATAAATAAATACATTAATTAAATATATACACACACACACATACAAGTACCTGCAAATCCAAAGAGAAACAAAAACATAATCAGAGGGAATATAACACCTATGACAAATAAAATCCATGAATATAAATAGTGATATAGAGGAAGGGAATAATATGTAATTATTGTTACATATTAATATATAAATATTTAATTCCATATCCAAACAAAGATTCCATTTAATTCCATATTCAAACAGATTGTATCTTCTATTGCCCCTGAGACATTTCTTGAAACTGATCATATTTTGGGTGCCAAAGAAAGCCTCCATGCATTGCAAAATTAGAAATAGTACAGATTGCATTCTCTTATGTCAAACAAAAGAAAAAAAATCTACAGTTTAATATCCAAAATAGAAAAAAACAAAACCCAACCTTTTGGAAATTTTGAAATTCCTTTCTAAATTGAAACCAAAACTAAAATTTCAGAATATCTGGACTATGATCGAATTTCTATATATAAGATGGCTAAAACCATATTCAGAGAAGAAATCCACAGCTTTAAATGTCGTACTAAATAAGACAGAATGGAAATAAATTGACTAAATGTTAATTTCAAAAAAAAAAACTTAAAATTATGACAAAGTAAACATAAGCACAAGAATGAAAATGATAAAGTGAAACAAATTTAATAACAGGAAAACAGAATAAATCCAAGATCTGGGTTCCCCCCAGTTTTATTAAGGTGTAATTAACAAAAGTTATATCCATTTATGATGTACAATGTGAAATGAATCGAGCTAATTAACATATCTATCACCTCACATTTTTTAATGGTGAGAACATTTAAGGTCTATTCCTTTAGCAATTTTCAAGTAGACATTAACTATTTAGTCCCCAAAACCTGTTTTTTGAAGAAACTGTTAGATAGCTATACCCCCAGTCAGCCTAATTGAGTAATGATGGAGACTAATAATAGCTTTGAACACCTAGTATACTACGTGCTGGGCTTAGTGCCCTATGTATATCAGCTCTACTTTATAAGGTAAGAACTATTATTCTCATTTTGCATATGAGGAAACTGAGGCACGGGGTTTAAGCATTTTGCCCAAGGTCTCACAAGTAGTAAATGACTCAACAGTCAGATTCCAAGTCACCAAATTAGAGCTCAAAAGAGGAAGTCATCACAGATGTAGAAGACATTTTAAATTTTAAATTTAAATGATACATAGTAACATTAGAAAATTCTCAAACTTGTGACATGACTGCCTCAAAGGTGCTTCATGAAGAAACAGGCTCATCTGTTTTCCAAGAGCTGAGAATCCCGGGGTAGGGCTGGAGCGACCCGCTGTCACCCGGCCTGTGACCCCGTTTACAGTAGCCTTGGCTCCTCTGTGACAGGTACGGTATCTTGTGGAAAACAGAATGGGGGCAACGGGGAGCAGCTTCCCTAAATGAGGAAGCTGGCAACCTTGCGGCTCTGAGAGAAGTGTATTTATTCTGAAACCTGGCTTAATCCTTTCTTGCTAAAAGATTACCTGAGGCATATCTGACAGAAAAAGCAGACCCCAGTTCCATCTTGTGGAAAGCACTAAGAGCTACTAAATAAGCCCGGACATTCCCAGCATGAGTGTATTTCATTCCCTTTGAGATCCCACCATAAAATGAAAGTGAAGAAACTCGGTAACATCAGTCGCCCACTGTCAAGTGCCCACCCTACCATGGTGGAGGAGAAACAGAATGTGAGGTAGATAATTAACGGTCCCATCTTATGCAATCAGTACAGTGAACTAAATGGGGCAGGTTTAAGTGGCAATTTTGGCTCAAATGCCAGCTCAGCCACCAGTAAAGATGATGGGTTCAGAAGGGTTGGGATCATTTAGAGAAGTGTTTGTTTTCTGAGGCTGAAAGTGGGAGCTGTAATCTGGAACCTTTCATGCAACATGTGTTTCTGGTTCTTCAGATTCAATTGTTTTTTGATAGAGACATTGCAAATTATGAAAGCACAGCTCATGACCTAGAAGTTTTGCAGCACGATCGTTTCCCTTCTGGACAACTTCCTACAAGACTCTGGGTTGAAAACAGCAGGATGAATCCAGGCAGAAAGGAGATGCTTTGAATCTGATTTTTTCCTGCAACTTCCTTTTCCAAAATAAATAAATAAATAAATAAATAAATAAAAATAGCGGAATGATTCTCCAGCCATTGAAATCATTAATCTGCCCTCAATTAACAAGATTCTGTTTAGTTTTAAGATTTCTGGCCGGGCGCCGTGGCTCACGCCTGTAATCCCAGCACTTTGGGAGGCCAAGGCTGGTGGATCACGAGGTCAGGAGATTGAGACCATCCTGGCTAACATGGTGAAACCCCGTCTCTACTAAAAATACAAAAATTAGACAGGCATGGTGGTGGGCGCCTGTAGTCCCAGCTACTCGGGAGGCTGAGGCAGGAGAATGGCATGAACCTGGGAGGCGGAGCTTGCAGTGAGCCGAGATTGCGCCACTGAACTCCAGCCTGGGCGACAGACCGAGTCTAAAAAAAAAAAAAAATTCTTTCTTGTGTTGCTTTTATGTGTGTGTGTTTGTTTATTGACCTATGTGAAAGGAAAAGGTGTATTCACATTTTTACTATTCACAATTTCTTGACCCATAAGTTTATTTTATGCCAATTTAGACCTTCATGATCACCAATTTCATCCTGGTGATCAACATTAATTAACTTTCACTTGCAAGTAGCCATGTCCAGGTCTCCAGTGGGAAAGGACAGAGTCTGAGAATTCTCTGAGAGTCTGAGAATATGGGTTCAGGCCCCATATCTCCCTTTTTCTGGACATGGTCGACTGTTCGGCAAATCACTGATGCTCTTTGAACCGCAGTCTCCTTATCCTTTAAGTGAGTGAATTGGGCTGGATTTTTGCAATGCTCCCCTCCACCTCTACCTTTTTATCAGTTCATCTTCCATTTCTGTAACTGCATCCCCTTTCCTTTAAGTGTTTCACTCCCTTGTGTCTGTCTTTCGAAGAGCTTCTCATTCCCTTGTCTTAAATTTCACTTCTATGCTAACTCCTACACACACACATCTTGATGTATAGACACATGTACATAGATAAGAATAGATATGGATCCTGTATTGCTATTTAACCACCAGAAACTTGCACTTATCTGTCCTACTATCTTTCATCAAACCCCTTATCCAAATTTTGTAGAACTTGCTATTTCCTCCCAATACAGATATTCTCCATTCTGGACTTAAGGTCTCTTCTCTATGGCCTCCCCATTATCCCAGAACCTGCACTAATACTTAATATCCTTCTTTATCAATTGCCAAGTCCTATTGTTGTCTTCTGTCTTCGGAATCTGACATCTCCTTTCTGCTCCCACTCCCAGGACCCAGTGGCTTCGTTTCTCAGTAACCACCCACTTGATATCTGGCTCAAACCAGGAGAAAGTTCCCCAACAGGGAGTGGGGACTGCTCACTTGCCTGTCTCACTGTCTGTCATCGAAACCCACAAATGAGACAAAGAGATAATGTGGTTTAGGACTCAGCTTTCAGTTCAGAGGAATGGATGGCTGCAGCCCCAGGAAGAAATTGAAAAGCCAGGGAGCCAGATGCATCCCATGGGACCCTGCCCAGAGCTCGGCCACCGATTGCCCGGGACACCCACCCCAGTGTCCGTCAGACCCTGCCCTGAGCCCAGCCGCCAACTGCCTGGACACCCACCCCAGTGTCCGTCAGACCCTGCCCATAGCCTGGCCACCCACTGCCTGGGACACCAGCCCCAGAGTACATGAGACCCTGCCCGGAGCCTGGCCACCCACTGCTCAGGACACTAACCCCAGTGTCTGTCAGACCCTGCCCGGGGCCCGGCCACCCACTCCCTGGGACACCTGGCCCAGTGTCCGTCAGGAGTTTTGGCTCCATCTTTGCTAAACGCTTTTTGTGATTGATTTCATTTAGCCCTGACACCGTTTCTGTGAGGAAGAGACTGTTGCTGCTTCTGTTTGAGAAATGACAAAGCTGAGTAGCTAAGAAGTTAAACAGGCCCGTGCCAGGCCAGTGGCAGGGCGGGGGTTAGAGCCAAGGTCTGCAGGATTCCAGATCTGGGCTCTGAACTCCCTGCACTAATCTGCCTTACCTTTTAGACCAGCTCCTTTTGGTTTATTTTTTAACTTCTGTATTCTTTTTTTAAATGACAATTGTGAGACAAGATAGCAAACATAAAAAGCCATGTTTGCTCATTTCTGCTTGAACCCCTCACTGTGATGAAATGCAGTCCTCTGGAACAATGCCTTGAGGACAAGGCAGGACAGAGCCCGCGGCCACCCACATCCTCCCTGAGTCACTACATCCTTGAAAAGATAAATAACCTGAACCTTTGCCTTTGCCTGCACATAAGATAACGTCTGAAAGGGTAGTCATCTAGAACCAGATGTACTCTCACATCCAAACTTTGACGTGATTTTGCACATACTCAACCGCCGCCACTTGCATATAAGCTGTGGCTGAAACTGGTTTGGAGCAATCTGACCCATCTGCTCTGGGCCCTAGGTCTCAGCCTATTGTCCTCATTAAGACTTCTGAATAAAACTAACTTTAATTCTTTAAAAGCTTAATTTTTGTCTTTAGTCGACAACAACAATGGCTAAGAAAAAGCAAGTCTAAAGTGGTGTCCTCAGTGGAGGGAGAGTCAGTCTGCCCGTTCTTCATTTTTTTTTTTCTTTTTTTCGAGACAGAGTCTTGCTCTGTCTCCCAGGCTGGAGTGCAGTGGTGTGATCTCAGCTCACTGCCACCTCTGCCTCCTGGGTTCAAGTGATTCTCGTGCCTCAGCCTCCCAAGTAGCTGGGACTACAGGCGTGCGCCACCATGCCAGGGTAATTTTTGTATTTTTAGTAGAGACGGGGTCACCATGTTGGTCAGGCTGGTCCCAAACACCTGAGCTCAGGTGATCCGCCCACCTCAGCCTCCCAAAGTGCTGGGATTACAGGCGTGAGCCACCGTGCCCTGCCTGACAGCCCCCCTGTTCTAAGAATGGAAACTTTCTTCTATTTCTGTTGCCTCTGCCTCTGCTCCATTGCATCTTCCCTCCGCATCCTTAATGGAGCTCCTGAGCCCAGTTCAGGATGGCTGTCCTTAGAATTCCAGAGATTTGGTTGGGGGAGTCGTCTCTCGGGTCATTGCTTCCCATGGGCATGGCACCTTTGATTGACAAACACAGAAGGGCTTGTAAACATCTCTTCCTGTCCAGGACTCAACACCTTTTAAGATCCATGGTTTCTAAAGAAAAACCTGGATTTGGTTGAAACCATGCATTTTGTATGCCATGATTAGGAGGAGAGACAGGGGCTTCTTCCCAAGCTGTGCCCTGCCCTGATCCTGGTGAGGACCCACATGGAGTGAAACCCCTGAGGGGCACCACAGAGGGGTCGGGGAGGTGTGCGGCAGAGACTGCATGCAGGCCCTGGCATTTCCAGGGTTGTACTCATGCGGGATGGTTCTTTTGAATCCAGAGGTTTAGTCCCTAACAACTCAGACCTGCACCTGGAGGAGCACATCTTCTATAGGGGATGGCACCTTTTACTTTCACCTTAGAGTCCACCTCCCAGTCCCCATCCTCCCCGGGCCCCACTAAAAAGAACAGTGACCTAGACTGGGTTGTCCTGATATTTTTCTTGCTGCATTAGAAAAGAATGATGCTATCCTGGCGAGTTTAGAATCCTTTAAGGAACGCGTGATCAAACGGTGGGACTGCTCACATCGATACTGTCGGGAATGAATGTGCCCCTTCCCTTTTTCTCCCATACCCCAAATATCCTTGCGGGTTCCTTTGTTCCTGGGTTCTTCCACTGACAGGATGAGCAGGTGACTTCCTGTTGCTAAGGGGATCTATCCCACCAGTAAGTACTACGACCTCTGCCCATCCATTTGTAGGACTCGAGTCTCACTATCTGTTCCCTACATGAGGGAGCTGCCTACTAGAACAGCTCTCATTGACAACTGAGTCAGGGTTCTGTCAGGAAAACCTTCTATCCACTGCAGCAGAATTGAATATCTATAATCACCTCACTCATAAACCTTCACTGGCTCCCTATTTTCTGCCTCTATGAGTCAGTCCCAGCTATTCACAGCCTTCAAAACAAACACACTTTGGGGGGTCCCCTTGTCTGAAATGCACTTCTCCTTCTGTCTTATTCAGTCCTTCCTTTCTTGTTTCCTCTTGTCTTCCAGAACTCTAGAGTTTCTACTGGGTTTTATGTTTGAATTCAGGGATTCCATGTAACTCCATACAATTATAGACCACAGATGATTCCCTGGCGAATTAATGATTCAGAAGGTCAGCACTTTCTTTAGCTGAAGTAGAAGCTTCAGCTTCTACTTTATTGGATTCAGCTCAGTATCCAATAAAGGCTAAATAAGTTGGGTGTCTTCACCCGGTGCCCACTACAGAGCTGAACATGTCGTAGAGGCTAAATAAATGCTTGCTAATTGATTTAAAAAAAAAGAGAGAGAGACTGGACAATAAATATCTATTATGAATGGGATTTGCCTAAAGGGAGATAGAATTATCTGATTGACTGAAAATAGGAAAGGGACTAAAGGCTGTTTTGGTAGTTTTATATGAGTGTGCAATCAGAATTAGAGCAATTCAGTAAACCTGTGCATGTTGATCTTATCTGAAAAATGGAAGGTTAAAAAAAATTCTAAGCCTGGCGTTTATGTGAACAGCTGATGAATGACTTTAGTAATTTGTAAGCAAAAAGCTTAGAATTCCAACTTTGCTTTGTAAAAATAGCTTGAGTCACATTCTGAAGCTGGAAGGTTTTAGGCAAATTAATAATACAGGTGATTTTTCAACTTCTGTTGAGTGGGTAAGTAAATAACCTGAACTAGCAGAATCAGCAGTTAGCTAAGTGGTTCTCTCAAATGCATCAGGGACTGTGCCATTAATTTTCTCTGCTGTGGAGGTGGAGGATGATCCCAACACAATTCCTTCTTCCTTTGGCTTGGCCCCTTATATCCTTGATAGAGCTTAGTCACAGCTCTTTGATTAAATACATTGTACTGTGAAAGCTTCCTGGGATTTGTCAACTAAAACTAAAATCCTAAGCCCCTTAATGATGGAACAAACCCTCCCTAGGCCAAGAGAACCCCAGAAAAAAACTTAAAAATGGAGTTCCTGGGCCGGCCGTGGTGGTTCATGCCTGTAATCCCAGTGCTTTGGGAGGCCAAGGCAGGCAGATCACCTGAGGTCAGGAGTTCGAGACCAGCCGGGCCAACATGGTGAAACCCCCATCTCTACTAAAAATACAAAAATTAGCTGGGCGTGGTGGCGCACATCTGTAATCCCAGCTACTCGGGAGGCTGAGGCAGGAGAATCACTTGAACCAGGGAGGCCAAGGTTGCAGTGAGCCGAGATTGCACCACTGCACTCCAGCCTGGGCGACAGAGCAAGACTCCGTTGCAAAAAAAAAAAGAAAAAGAAAAAGAAGTTCCCGGCAATGATGGGGAGGGAGGCTGGACATACCTCATTATCCCCTCTCCCTTTTAATACCCAGCTGACCAGCATTAGTGTTAAAATAGAGATCATAAGACTAGCAAAATGGACTCTTTGTGACAATAAGATACCAAATTATAGACAAGATCTAAGGCCATGCAAGGCAAGGGTTAAGTCATACCTGCAGGCCCTCAATATTGCTACATAGCATCCTTATCTTAATTTAAAACATTCCTTTCTGCTGACTCCAAGTTTTAGAAAGAGCCTTACGCTTTTAATCAAGTAATCTCTGAATCCACTTATAACCGCTAAGCCCCTGCTTCAAGATATTCCACCTTTTTGGGCCAAACCAATGTATTGGTTCCCAGTGCTGAAGTATGTCTCTGCCTGTAACTCCTGCCTCCCTCATTATAAAACCGAACTGTAATCCAATCGCATGGGGTTCACTTCCTCAGGACTCCTTGAGACTGTATTTCCTTGAGCCGTGGTCACTCCTATTGGTCAGAATCAACCTCTTTAAAACATCGTATAGAGTTTGGTTTTTCTGTTAACTGAGAAGAGGCCCAGAGCAGGAGTGCGGAGTGTGAGGTGAAGCAAACGGCCAGCTTCCCTCTCCGCGCTTTCCCATTAACTGGAGGACAGGTGCTCTTCCTTAGATCTCTCAGCTCCCTCTCCTCATCAGAAGCAGAGGAACCAGGAGTGACCCTAATCAGAGTCTAAAATTAGGATCATAAATGAGAAAGGACCCTGAAAAGTATTATAACACTTTAATATATGGTATATAATTATCGAAGTTTACTTGCCATAAGACAGCAGGTCTGCAGGGTGGTTATCCTATCACACGCTGCAGAAGAATGAAGCTTGATCATTTTTGAATCTTTTAACAGACATTGCATTGTTGTACATGTGGGAGCCTGACTTTAATATGTCCATGTTGGCATGAAGGAGAGTGATCGCATGGGCCTTGGGCTGACCTCAGCCCTCCCACACAGGAATCTCTGCCAAATCCTCCCAATGTTAATACTTCACTTGATGGGTACAAAAATATAGTTAGAGAGAATGAATAAGACCTATTGTTGTTGTTGTTGTTATTATTAATATTATTATTATTATTATTTTGAGACTGAGTTTCGCTCTTGTCACCCAGGCTGGAGTACAAGGATGCAATCTCGGGTCACTGCAACCTCTGCCTCCTGGGTTCAAGAAATTCTCCTGCCTCAGCCTCCCAAGTAGCTGGGATTACAGGTGCCCACCACCACGCCTGGCTAATTTTTGTATTTTTAGTAGAGATGGGGTTTCACCATGTTGGCCAGGCTGGTTTTGAATTCCTGAGTTCAGGTGATCCGCCTGCCTTGGCCTCCCAAAGTGCTGGGATTACAGGTGTGAGTCATGGCACCCAGCCTATTATTATTGTTATTATTATTATTTTGAGACAAGGTCTCACTCTGTCACCCAGGCTGGAGTGCAGTGGCATTATCATGCAGCCTTGACTTCCTGGGCTTACTGCAGCCTTGACTTCGGCTCACTGCAGCCTTGACTTCCTGGGCTCAAGCCATTCTCCTGCCTCAGCCACCCAAGTAGCTTGGTCTACAGGCACACACCACTATCTCATGTACCCCATAAATATATATATGCCTACTCTGTACCCACAATAACTTTTTTAAAAAAGGAGAATGCAGAAAAAATTCCAAAATAACAATTACAATAATTCACCACATTAGTTCCCCGTTCAAGGACCCTTCCCGGGCATCATTCCCTATGTCCTCACAACTACTGGGTTCCTGCTCTGGGGCCCAGGTGGTTCCCTTCCTCCTAAACCTGTGGCCCAATGTCCAGCTCAGTTCTTGCCCCTGCCTGACCATGGTGCAGCTGCATGGAAGGCCAATGCACTTGACCTCTGTGGCCAGGGCCGGGCCAAAGTGTGCCCAGTGGTGGGTGCAGGTGGAAATGATGGGGAGTGGCCCCCCGCACAGCTCAGGCTTGAGGCTTCATGAACCCCATGAACCAGAAGTGGGGTACGGAGTCAGGCAGCAGCCACTTTCTTCTGTTGCCACAATCCCTTTCAAGGCCAGTCTTGCTGTGTTTGGGGAAATGATGTTTTGGGGTGACATTGCCTCTCTGGAGGGATATGATACTTCTGACACACCATGTGGTGTCGCCATTTATTTCTATCCCGAGGAGGTGAAGGATAGAAGATCTGAACTCTGAGGAGCAGGGGGCATCGAGAAAGGGTATTTTGATATGTGAGGCATAAATTGAAGTCTCAGCTGTGCAAGAAGGCAGGAGGTAGATATAGGTTCTCCATCCATGAGGTTCCTGGATACCTCTGATGTCCTGTTGTCAAAACATGTGTTTAATGCAAGAGAGAAAGAGGGAGTTGTGTTTGGTGAGGGGCAAAGAGAAGACCTTTCATCCCACCCCCAGTGGCATGGCGAGTAGGTGAGTAGCAGATGATGTCCAGTGAGGCTTCTGGAGAACATCTCTGTCTCCAGTGTGGCCCGGGTTCAGTGCTGGCTGTAGTGAAACCAAGGTTTGTTGCTCTAGGACCCACCAGGCAAAAGCAAGTTTCCCTTCCAACTAACGCCAGTTCCTGTGGATGTGCTGGGGTCTCAGCCCCACTCCCCCATCTCAAGCACCTTATCCAGCAGTCATCTCTCTTACCCGCTTTTTCACTGGATCCTTTCTATTAGCATTACAGTTTGCTTATATCACCCCCATCTTAAAATAACCCTTCCTCCCTCACTCCACATGGCCCTCCATCCAGGCCATTTTCCTCCTCCCATGTGCAGCCACAGTTCTCAGAAGAGTTGTCTGCACATATTCCCTCCATTCTTCCACCAACTGCTCTGTCACTGAAATGACTCTTGCTAAGGGCACCAATAATTTTCATGTCGTCAAGTTCAAAGGACATTCTCTTAGCCTTCATCTCTCAGCAGCTTTTAAACAAATATCCTCTCACCGTTTAAAATACCATCTTCCCTTGGCTCCAGGTCATCACATGCTCCTGGTTGACCTCCTCCTTCTCGGCAGCTCTCCCTCAGCCTCTTTACCAGCACATCCTCTTCCATTTACCATTGACATGTTGGAGCTTCCCTTGACCTGGCCTGAGGCCCCTTCTCTGCTTTGTCATCTCTCCCTGGGTGGCCTCATTTACTTGCAGGACATCAATGGCCAATGTGCAACAATGACTCTTACATTTATTTCTTCAGCCCAGATCTCACCTCTGATATCAGAGTCATATTCAACTACCTACCTGACAGCTCAGTCAACATATCCAATGTTGAGCCTGTAACCACACCAGACCAATCTGGCTTGGCTTTTTGTGACAAAGCTGTGAGTTGTTTTTCATTTGCCATGGATCTCCGGGTTGAGGTCATATAACCTGAGCATGCCCAGATGAACCAAATGTGCAGCCAAAGGGGGAACCTAAGTGCTTGGGTGAAGGAGTGGGGACGGAATTAAGTGGACACCACATGGCAGGATCTAGGATCCAATCAGATCGAGCTCTAGAGTCACCCCATGGCAGAATCCAGTCAGATCATTCTTCCCAACATCACCTCATTGTGAGATCTAATCAGATCACACCTCATTAACCTACACTTATAAAACCCAACCAAAACCCCAGGCCGGGGAGACAGATTTGAGCATTTCCTCCTGTCTCCTTGCTGGTTGACTCACAATAAAACTTTTCTTTTCTCAAAAGCCAGTGCCATGGTATTGGCCTCTGTGCATTGGACAGTGAACCCATTAATTGCTTGGTCACAAACCCTAGTGATCTTTCTACCAACTTCAAAAATCTTACTTTTCTTCCAGTTTTCCTTCTGTAACCCATATACCCAGCAGTGGAGGCATCAAATTTGGAAGTCATCACTCCTCCCAGTGAATCAATTGCCAAGGTCTTTCAGTTCTGTTCCTAATAAATCTTGAATGAACTCACTGCCCCCATTTCCACTGTCCTGATCCAGGCCACTCTCATCTCCTTGCTGGACTTCTGTGATGGGCTCCTGACTGATCTTCCTGCCTTCATGCTTGCCTCCCTCCAATCCGTTCTCTCACCATCAGCAGGAGATACTTTTTCGAAATGAAAATCTGGACATGGAGGATGAGAGTAGCCAGGAAAACTTAAAACTCTTTAAACAATAGAAAACCCATTGCTCTAAAATAAAATTCAATGTCCTTTTCTCAGTTCCATAGATCCACCACAAAGCCTAATTTATACCTGTGTTTTTGCTACCTCCTCCTGTTCACTTCACTCCTTTTGCCTGGCTTTCTCCTACTCCGCCATCGGCTCTCAGTGCAAATGTCACTTTGCTGAGAGCCTTATCGAAACCCCAAGACCAGAGGCCTCCTCATGATACATGCTTTATTCTTTCAGGGAAGTAGAAGGAATAATCATGATTACAACTCAATAATTAAGTGATTAGTTTCTTAAAACCTTGTGTTACCTTTTAAGATAATGAAAATATTCTAGAACTGATTATGGTGATGGTTGAACAACTCTGTGAAAATACTGAAAGCCTTGAATTGTATACTTTCAGTGGGTGAGTTGTGTGATATGTGAATTATATCTCCATAAAACTGTCTTAAAAAGAAAAAAAAGACAGGCCTACATTTGAACGAAAGCTCTAGAAGAGGCAGGGAACTTGTCTATTTTGCTTAGCATTGATTACCTAGCATACAACGTGGTGACTCATATGAAGTATGTGCTTAAATATTGGTTGAGTGGCGGTGAAGGTGAGTAAATGACAAGGCTGCCCTTCTGAGTGGGTGTGGCTTTGTCAATGTTTTGTGTTTCTTAGATTTGAGAAAGATTGGCTTTAAATATGTTACACCCTATTTTAATGCTTTTTATGGAAATGCCCTGAGACCTCTGTCATGCTGAAAGCAGTGACCTGAATCTAGAGGCCCCAAGCCTATCAGAGCCCTGGAGCTGTTGCCTGGTTTCCCCTCCCAAAGCCTTCCTCTTCCAGCACATGGCCAGCTCCAAACCTGCAGATACAGCCAAATGCTTCCACGTGTCACAGTACTCATACTGAGGGAACATTCAAAGCTCTGTGCACAACTCACTCCACAGAGTTATTACCTACAATTTCTAGGGAAAGTAAATGCTATAGGGGAGAGTTCAGCCTGTCCGTATCTTCTTTCTACAAAGCACTCACCTTTATTTATTTTAGAATGGCTCTAAAGGGAACCAAACTCGATCAATGTGTTTGGCCCCATTTAGTTTCATCTCATTCTACTTTCCTTTCCAGATTGATGACTCAAGATGAAGCAAAATATGCTCTAGTGAGCATGGTAACTGGAAAAATTGCCTTATTTTTGTGTTCCCTGGGTGTGCGTGTGGACAACATTTAAATAGATGTGTAAGAAGCTTTGGACAACATTTAACTAGATGTGTAAGAAGAAAGGGTAGGTAAGTGGACTTCAGAAGGAGGGTTCAATTCCAGCCTCTTTTTTATGGCAGGCCCCTCTTCCCAAGTAGAGGCATCACTCTGGCTTTAAGATTACCGCCTGTGCACAGACTGCTTGAGACATTATTTTAAAGACTTTCAACTGATGCTCCTTGCTGCTTATTTATGTAAGATATTAATGGGCCAGCTGCGGGATGCATCTCTGGGTAAAAATACCCATAAGTGCATGTCAATGGCTCTGGGGAGCAAAAACTAGAACTCCTGATTTTGGCTATAAAGCGAGTTCCTACAAATTACTTCTGTCAAGTGCCAGCCAGGAGCACAGGGCTGGCTGGAGCTTCAGTGGTGGCTCCCATCCAAACGCATGCGGAATTCTCTCTACAGTATAACCAGACTGGCATCACATGGACTTGCTTGATTGCTGCAAGATTTTTAAAGACTTGCTTCTGAATTTTCAATTATTTGTGGCAGTGATTCTCCTAACAGATTGAGTGATTCATTCATTCATTCATTCAAAAATATTGATTGAGCACTTGTTAGGGATTTAGTAGTGGCCAAGACATGCAAGGTCTCTGTTCTCAAGGAGCTTATATTCTAGTGTGGAGAAACAGAATAATAAACAGTAAAGATACATAGTAATGTTGGAGATGGATGACAAAGAAAAATAGCAGAGTAGTGGTTAGAAAGTTACAGAAGGAGCGAGGGATATTGATACAGGGTGGGTCAGAAAAGCTTCATGAACAGGTAACATCTGAGCTGAATTACAGCAAGGAATCAGCCATGCTGTGAGCGAAGAGCCATCCAGGAAGAGAAAGCTATAATTGCATGGGTCCCAGGCAGGAGCAAGTCCATTGTGTTCACAGAAAGAAGTCCAGAGTTGCTGAACTGGAGTGAACAGAAGCGACTGGGTATATGTGAGTTTCGAGGGTGGGGCAGGAGCTAGCTAGGAACCCTGCAGAACTTGGCTAGAAGTTTGGGTTTTGATCTAAGTGCAGTGGGAAAACACTGGAGGTTTTTAAGTGTGCAAGGGGTGGAAGGGTTGACATGAATGCCTTGGTATGGGGAATAAGAGTTTAAGGGACTCTGAAGGGTTGGGAACAAAGAGGGACAGCTCCTGGTAAAAAGCTCATGGGGGTTTGTGCAGTATCTAAGCCAAGTCCCAGAGTCACTAGTTCTCAGCAGACCACCACCCCTGGCCCCAGTTAGCCACTTGGCCTTTGATCTAAGACTAGCTTTAAGAAAAGGCAACTAGGCTGGATGTGGTGGCTCATGCCTGTAATCCCAGCACTTTGTGAGGCTGAGGCAGGCGGATCACTTGAGGTCAGGAGTTCAAGACCAGCTTGGCCAACATGGCAAAACCTAGTCTCTACTAAAAATACAAAAAATAGCCAGGTGTGGGGGTGTAGCCTGTAATCCTAGCTGCTTGGGAGTCTGAAGCAGGAGAATCGCTTGAGCCCAGGAGTACAGTCAGCTGAGATCGCACCACTGCACTCCAGCCTAGGCAACAGAATGAGACTCTATCTCAAAAATGGAAAAAAAAAAAAAAGCAACTGAAAATCCCACGTGCCTTTTGCTGCATCATCAGCCAGTGCCCTCCATCCTTTTCAATTCGTGGTGGCAACTTAGATTGGATTTCCGAACTCAAACGCCATTTCTTTTTAATAAAGTGATTCTGGCTTTAATTAAGATGACTTGGCCACATTAGTAGAGTTAGCTCTCTACCTTTAAAATTGCTGTCATCCAATCGCTAGGTGCCTGAAGCCAGCAGCCTACTCCAAAAGCTGTTTTCCCCATCTCCCAATCAGGGCGCAGGCAGGCACCTGAGGGCTTCCAAAGGACTTCTTGCTGAAGCGTTGGCCAAGCCCTTCTGCAATATTTGTCATGGTCCTCAGTGGCAGAGAATTGCCAATTACCCACGTCATCTGCTCTTGGAATCCAGTCCAAACATCGTCTGCTGAAAGTTAGCTAAATTATACATTTTTTTCCCCTGCTGATTGTGGATAAGAGATCAGAGCATTTCTAAAATATATGGCTCTTTTCCAGGGCAGGAGTGAGAATCCTGACACTTAAGAAAAATAACAGGGGCTAACCATCACAATGTTCTTCCTAAGATACACAGGAGCAAATCTTTATGCTCCTCACAAACAAGGGTTATTGTCTTGGTTAGAGTGGAGAGTGGGAGGTGAAAATGGCTTCATGATGAATTTTGATTCTACTTTATTCTCTGCCTGCTTGTGATTTCAACTCCCACCAGTGTTTTCTGGTAAGCTAATGCTGAATTATAGCATTCTTTTCTGTAGCAAGGTCTCTTGACAGCTAGAATGAAGGTTATAATAATGGGGGGTGCAGGAGGAGGTAATGGATCTTTAAAGAGTTTTTATGTTTGTGATAGATGAAGAAAGCAGGGCACGGGGTCAGCTCTGCAGGAAGCCCAGGGATAGGGCTGGGTAATAGAACTGACGATTTAAAAATCTGTTCTGCACATTAACAAAAGGTAATCATCAAAGTGCTTTTCTAATAGTCTCTCAGGAGCAAGACAGGATTTTGCCTGCTTTTCAGGGAACCAGCAAGGTGGCTTTGGTGGAACAACACTTCTGGGTTAGAACATGGGCACAAGGGGAAGAGACAAGGACACCAATGATGGAACAGAACAAAAAAAAATCCCTGTCTTTTCATTTCTTATCTGGTTGATGTGGTTGAGAAAGGTGCTCTCTGGTGATGGGAAGCTAAGGAAAGCAGGAGTCGCTTTGCCAGGATTTGAGAGGCTCCAGTGTCTTCCCTCCCAGAAAGACGCCCTTCCCCAACTACCTACTGGGATACACTTCCCACCATAATAGCCCTTTGGATTGAAGCCGTCATCTCTAGAAGAGTCTTGCTAAATGCATGCATTGGCCTAATGGTACCGTACCACATGATCACATCTACGTGGATTCACCCTGCAGGCTGTTTAAAGGTAGGGCCCTGTTTCTCTTTCCACTTTCAGCACCTCTCTTTGCTACCTCTCGTCTTGACTGCTCCACATCTTCCCACCAGCTTTTCAAACCTGAGTTTTGTCTTCCCAGTCCAGCTCCCCTATAAGCATCATATCCAATCAGATTCTTCTTCTGTTCAGAAACCTTTTGTGACTTCTCCACTGTTTACAGAAGAATGTCCACCTGTCTTAACCTGTGCCTCAGGGAAGCCTCACAGTGGTGCTCTGCCTCGCTCCCTGAGGTGGAGAGGGTCAGGCAGCCTCTGGTTCAGCTGCAGAGCAAGGGCGCTTTCGAGGAGACGCATCCTTGTGCGTGAGGAGATGGTGAGGCTACAGACACCAGAGAGCTTCTTTCATTTTCCCATGTTACTGTCTTTAGATTTGTTGAAACATCAGTTTTCATGAACACATCCTAGTTTCTCTACGTATTTACCTATTTCTGCCTAAATTCTTACATAGAGAGACAGGAAGATAATGCGCAAATACATCACACTGACTCTTTTTCTGTCACGGTTTGATGTTTCTTTCTGTAAAATAGAGAAAACAATACTTAGCTCAGGGGCTCACTGTGAGGAAATGTACATGACAGTGACTCTGTCAGATCTGTGTCTGACACTGCGGCATTATTCCTCTCCCTGCCCTCTGGCGGGTGCTTCTTCATCTCTGTGTGCTCAGCAGCAACCAGAAGGGCGCCTTATATATTGGAAGCTCTCATTTCTCTGCTTGAGGCCAAACTGTGGTAAAATTTCAGCCCAGTGGTCTTCCTCGATGATCTGCCTGCCTTGCGTCCTCCAGTATCTCCTGCCCACGTGCCACCCAACTCCTGGCTTTTCCTCTTCGTTGTTGTTGTTTTCGTGGTTTATAGCCTCTTAGGCCTGGGAAGGATTTTGAAAGATTCTTGTGAGCTGTCACAATGGTAAGAAAATCAATCCTGTTTTTCATTTCCCATCCATTCAGTCACACTCCTGGGTTTAACTTCCTAACGATGAAGAGTTTTGTTCTTCTCAATCTCTGTAGATTCTAGTCCTAGTTCTATTTCTGACCTTCGCTGCGAAACCTTACAGAAATTGGTTAACTCTCCCAAGCCATGGTGGTCTCACTCATAAAGGGATGGAGAAAGAGGGTGAGACCATAACCAACCCCCACTTTGCAAGCCTGGGTTTATTTATTCTTCTGTCTGTGCCTCGGTGGAGATGAACAGCACTCTGACAACATTCTTCCTGTAAAATGTCTCTACTCTGCAACATTTTGTAGAGGTGGAATTGGCAGCAGCCCCACTACCGGGTGATGAAATACATCGCTGAGTTGCAAGCATAATTACGACAGAGGTCCCTGGCCCACTGTTTGGGGAATGGGCTGCAGCAAGCACAGGTCACCTCCGGGCTGTTTCTCTGCATTTCTTGTGAAAAGAATGCTGTATCTTGTCATCTTGCTTTCACACTCAGGCTCTTTGATGTCTTTCACCTATGTCAACATAGAACATAGAATGCGGAACAATGACAAGAAACACTGGGGAAGCATCACCTTGGGAGAAAGAGCATCCTCAGCCTCTTCTCCCTCCCCTCCCCGTGGTGCCTCTGGATGGGACTGGAGGCTTCCTTTGCTTCTGGTCCACCTAGGTCTTTCATGACGGCTCTCAGATCCAATCCAATCCCTTTCATCTCCATGCTGTGGGTGAACTGTGCTGCTTTGAAGTTTGGGCAGTGGGCTCATACATAATTCTTTTATCTTATGTTTGGTTACTCTTCTAACTCTTTGAAAAGTTTTTCATGCCCCTTCTGGTTTGGGAAACTTTGAACAGATAGAGATGTCACTGTACTAACAAGATACTGATTCCTTTCATGCACTTTGCTGTAGGATATTGTCTTTCCCCGAGGTCCCTCTACAAGAATGCAGAAAAGATGCATCTTTCCTGGCTTTGCAGTCTGGCTGGTTTCTGCCTCATTAACACAGAATGGTCTGCTTTCTAAATGGCCATAGCCAGCCAGTCTGCCATCCTTCACTGGTTTCTCAGGAGTGGGGGAGAGATGCTGCAGCAATTTAATTTCATCTCTGCTTCCCAATTGGATAAGGCAGATGGCTGGCCCTGGGAGCCAGTGGATTGAAATGGAGTCTCTTGCAGCACTCTGTGTTCAAGATTCATCTTGGTCAAGGGTGTAGTGCAAAGAATGTAGTCTTAGGCCAGACGCGGTGGCTCACGCCTGTAATCCTACCACTTTGGGAGGCTGAGGCGGGTGGATCACTTGAGGTCAGGAGTTTGAGACCAGCCTGGCCAACACAGCAAAACCCCGTCTCTACTAAAAATACCAAAAAAATTAGCCGGGCAATGGGGCACATGCCCACAGGTAGTCTCAGGAGAGGCTGAGGCAAGAGAATCGCTTGAATCTGGCAGGTGTTGGTTGCAGTGAGCCTAGATTGCGCCACTGCACTCTAGCCTGGACAACAAGAGTGAAACTCCATCTCAAAAAAAAAAGAACGCAGTCTTAACCAAAGTGAAAGCCATAGGTGATAAGGGCTCCCCACCTCCACTCGACTCCACATCCCTCTGCCACCAGCTCTAGTCTTACCATAAGCAGAGCTCTTCTTCTGCTGAGAAACCAATAGACTGGATTTCCTCCAGGATCTCTCCTGCCTGGTTGAGTTTGGGTGGTAATTCCAACTTAATTAATGCTTCATCACCATCATGGCAAATGATCTCCAGTTGCTTCTTAGATCCATCTGTTGGAAGTTGTTTTACCTAAAGCTCTCAAGCTACTTCAGTAAGAGACTGAAAGGAGATGAAACCAAGGACAATTTTTCCATAAATAATAATAGCCAGCATCAACTGAATATGCTCATCACGTCAGATACTGCACATGCATTCTTACTGCATCTCATCCTCATTGCAATCTTTTAAGATAGAGGGGAGTTTTTCCATCTTAGAGATGAAGAAGCTGAGGCTCAGGGGAGGTTTAATAGCTTTGTCAAGGCCATGGAGCTAGAAAGCAATAAACACAGAATTCAAACCCAAGTTGATCTGCTTCTGGAGTCCATACTCCCAACCATGTCTCACAGTCCTCTGAGAAGAAGTGGATGGAATCTGGCCTTGTTTTCTCAAATTGTCCAACAACATTGTCTTATTCTGCCACTTACCTCCTGTCTGTCTGTAAGCACATTATTTACTCACTCTGAATGTCAAGGTCCCCATGTAGGACGATTGAGATTAAATGAGATCATGGGTACTGAGTAATTTGTGTTGTGTCAGAAAGTCTTGGTTACGTTTATCAAGAGAAGTCTATGCATGGACGCTTGGCTTTTATTTGTAAAGAGACATTTTGTTGCACTCATTCTGCAAAAGATCCCTTTTGTAGGTCACTTTATCAAATGTAAAGAATGACCTTGCTAGTAGATGATATAGTCAGTTAAGTGAACTGTTTCCTTGCAAAGATTTATGTGTTAGCAGTCAAGGTGAGGCCATCCAGCTTGGTCAGCCTAGAGGGAGAGAAATAACTGGAGAGGCCAGACGTAGCGTAGCACGAAGCTGGGTGAGCAGCTTTGTTTACCTCCTTCAGCTGAGCTGTGTTTCCTTCCTGTTGAAGGCCATGCAGGAGATTAAGACTCTTGTTTCATTTCTGCTTATTATACACCTAGGAACAAATTGAAGACTTTGTGGTTAGAACCTATTCAAATCCTGGGGCTTCCTTCTTCATTTGGATTTTTCCTCCTGGCTTTCATGGGGCTTGTTTTAAAGAGGCTTGAGAAATCACACAGTGTAATTGGATGATTGGTGTACTTTAATTAAGGCAGCAAGATGCAACGTGTGCAGCACATTTCAGGTTGATTGTAGCACGGCTAGGCAGTGTCTGCTGGATAAAGCTAGAAGGAGAGGCTCGTTTTAATGACCCACAAGGTAAAATTGCCATCTATAGGTTGGTCTGCGCTGCTAGGACTATGGGGTCAAATTTGTATGGAAAAACTAGTGAGGTCCCCAAATGATCATCCCTTAATCTAACTGCATGTGGGTTGTGTCTTAATGAATAATGATGACCAGTTCCCTCACAGTGCAGGAAATGCTCATTGTGTGGAATTAAATCATCTCTTGATAAATTTTAAATCAGGCTGGTTTCCTTCCAGCTCTCACAGCTATCCTCTCTAATCATGCAGTTTGTGCCTAGTTGAATACTTAACTAATTTTACTACTAGACTCATCAGAGCACAATTTAGGAAGTAGGAAGAGAAATATCCTGAAAACCTGACATATTCCTAGCTCAGATGTAAATTACTTTGAGATCACTTGGCATTTTGGAAAATGTGCTACGATTGTATTGAAAACCAACTGTGTAAAGATAAAGTTTTTCTTAATTTTTAAAAATAAAGGCTCGGCTGGGTATGGTGGCTCACGTCTGTAATCCCAGCACTTTGGGAGGCTGAGGCGGGCAGATCATGAGGTCAGAAGATTGAGACTATCCTAGCCAACATGGTGAAACCCTGTCTCTACTAAAATACAAAAAAATTAGCCGGGTGTGGTGGCGGGCACCTGTAGTCCCAGCCACTCAGGAGGCTGAGGCAGGGGAATTGCTTGAACATGGGAGGTGGAGATTGCAGTGAGCTGAGATCGCGCCACTGCACTCCAGCCTGGCAACAGAGTGAGACTCCGTCTAAAAAAAAAATAAATGAAATAAATAAAGGCTCATAAAACTCCCAAGTTTTATGAGCCAACGATATAAGATATAAGCATGGCTGGAGTGGAAGCAAGTGCTATTTTGTCATAATGGTAGTTATGCATCCAGATGGTGCCCGATGGAAAAGCTTTCTAAGAATTGCTATTCACAAGGACGTATCAAAAGATGCTGTGTTGTGTGCTCCTGATTCACATGCCTGGGTTGCTCTCGTCTCACTGGTAACACCTGGGACCATTTCCTTCTCTAGGAGCTTACCTGTCCTAGGTGGTGTCTAGCTCAAGATAATGTGAAGAAATGACAATAGCGACCTACTACACAGCTGTCTCTCCTGAGACTCTCAGTAGATGGGACAAATACAGCATTATCACCGCGCGCGCGCGCGCGCGTGTGTGTGTGTGTATGAACGAGTCAGCCAGCCAGGACATACTTCTAGAGGAGTAGTTAATAAACAGCATGCTCAATCTTGCCATTGATTTCTTGATTTTTTTCCCATGGCCTTCCATGACTTATCCAGCTCACAGCATAGTCTTGTGTCCTCTAACTCTGGTCACTCAGGTACCATTTACCATCTGAATTATACCTCTTGGAAGTATTGATCTACATGCCTCATTCTTGGATACGAGCATCATGTCTCCTTAACCAGATTGTGAGCTCCTTGAGAGCAGTCACTGCGTGGGAGATGGCTTCTTTATTCTTCATAATGCCCGGGACAGAGATCCATAAATACGCCATGTGCTTGGCTTGCCAACCTCACTATTAAGAGAAAAATGCAATTTCCTTCATTAGTCTTGTATTTACCTGGAAGTGAGTCTTCTATTTACCTCCTGAAAGTAGATCTGGCTTTTCAATACAAATATTGTTCATCTTTGGGCTATCCCATGATCTGGGGCAGCCACCAGCCTTCTTCAGAAACTATGAATGGCCTTAGAATAGGATTATGTGGTTGATTCTGTTCACTTCTTGGCAAATCAAGTCAGCTATGAAGGCAAGGAGAAGTTTGCAGAAATCCAGCCTTAATCCTGTGTCATAGGGAGCTACAAGCAGAATAATTCTCTTGTCTACAAAGCTGCCTACTGCCCAAGGATTGAACACTACTTCTAATTTGTTAGAGGAGAGAGAAGACTGAGTCTGTGATGCATGTGGTATCTTATAAATGCTGACTTTTTTTTCTTTTGCCATTTGAGCTAAATTTTAAACTGATTTTCTAACAAGAATATTGAAAGCAGTTTCTTATGAAACAGTTCCGTTTTCTTAGGAAGCTTGCAGAAAGCCCTAGGACATGTGATGTTTTTATCTTTTTGGAAATCGTACTCAGTCATAAGAATTATCTAAGGAATCCATAAACGTGACGTTATTCAGAACATGAACATTGTTCATATTTAAATTTGGTCTTCAAATTACAATGCTCAATAATGTAGATGAAAATATAAAAGGAGCAGTAGTGGAGGTGGAATTAGGAAGTGGATAGGAAGTCATTGTCAGATGCTGGTGCCCAGGGACATCCTCTCAATATGCACCACCTCCAACCAGCTGGCCTCAATTTTGCTCAGCTCCTTGACTTAGCAAAGTAACACAGCAGTCCCTAAATGACTCAATGGAGGAACAAAATTGACAAAAGAAGCTTATTCTTTCCTTAGTGTTCCCAAGTTTTGCTTAACTATTTTCCAGTTATTTCTTTGAACTCCATTTCTTTAGAACATTAATGTTTAAATTGAAATTCTCTAAGCTGGGTATGTCCGTTAGCTATTGCTGTGTAACCAATGAAGTATTTACTTAACTCACTATGCTGTAGGCCAGCTGGGTGATTCCTCTGGCCTTGACTGGGCTTGCTCATGCATTTTTGGTCAGCTGTGGGTTAGGCAGGTGACTGCTGATATTGGCAGGGCTTTCTCAGCTGCTGGGGTTTGGCTGGCTGTTGAGAGGTCTAGGAGGGCCTTGGGTCTTCTCCAAATCCAGCGAATCCAGCTTGCTCACTTTGCAGTACTGGTGCTCCAGGAGAGAGAGCAGCAGCATGCAAGCCCTCTTAAAGCTTAGGCTCAGGACTGGGAGCACAGTTTCCACACATTCTATTGGCTACAGGAAGCCCAGATTCAAAGGATGGGGTGAAAGACTCTACCTCATGAGGGGAGGAGCCACAGATCACATTGCACAAGGCATTGATACAGGGGGGATAAAAAACTGGGGGTTTGGTTTTTGTTTGCAGTTTATCACACTGGAAGAATTTTATACAGACACTCAGATACAAACAAAAAGCTTGTTTTAGCTGCTGGAATGTATTATAGAAGCAATGATCAGAGTGGTGAGACGAGGGGTCAGAATGTAAAAGAAGATGTTTTTCCTGCACTCTAATTTTAAGCATCCTTTCTCCCAGGGTTCAACCTTGGTTATTTTGCTGTTGTTATTCTCTCCCTTCTTATTTGGCCACATTTTCAAAGAACTGGGATTTTCAGAAGCCTAAGATCATTTAAGATACAGGTTTAAATCCTGTGTGTTTGGAGTCTTTGTACTGTGCAGTTGAGTACTTTTGACTATAATAGTTATTTTTCTAAGATGTTCATACTCACTATTTCTTTGTGGCATTTGAGAAAGTCCTGTCTTCTAATTTAGGATCATCAAATTAAAAAAAATTGAAACGCTCTTCCCCACTCCTCTCCCAAAATTATCTTCTGGCAATATTTGTGGAGCTACAATTTGCACCTCCTGTGAAAGTCTTGAGACTCCAGACCTGGAGCTGCCAATTCAGGAGCCAAGGCGGATGAGGTCTGAGTGAGCTGTTGGACAGTACCTAGGAGGCCGTAGGAAGTGGTGTTGGGTCCTGTGGTAGACCAGCAGTTCTTTACATTTACATTTGCTACCTGTTAACATCACCCAGGGAGTTTTTTATTTTTTTATTTTTTTATGCCCAAGCTGCATTCCAGACTAATTAAAACAAAATCCTTGGGAGTGGAATTCAGGTATTACTATTTTTTTTTAAGTTCCTTGGGCAGTTTTAATATGCAGCCAAATTTAGGAACTAGTGAACTAAGCCAGGATTTCTCAATCTTTAATGTGCAGACAAATGACCTGGGGACCTTGTTAAAATACAGATTCTGACTCATCCTGTCTGGGGTAGGCCTGAGATTCTGCATTTTTGGTAAGTTCCTGAGTGCTGCTGATGCTGTGGGTCCTCAGACCACAGTATGACTAACAGGATGTAAAGTAGAGAGCTCAAGCAGCCTGAAAACTTTTTTTGCAGGGGGCAGGGGACTGGTCTCCTGTATGAACATAATTTGTGCCGACAATTCAAAATTAAGAGATTTCTCATAAAAATGGTTATTTCTGGTTTCTCTTAAAAAAAAAAAATGAAAGTGCCTACAATCCCCAGCTCTGCCTTTCCACACAGACTTGTGCTAAAGAGTGACTGCCCCACAGGAGGGGGTGCAGGTGACTCACCAGGGCAGGCTCTGAAATGCCTTTCCCTGCATTTGTTTATGAATAGGATGAATCTGTCTTTCATTTTTTCCATATAGACTGGCAAGTCGTCTTAGAACGCACAAGCGTACATGTGCGTCCACAGCAAAACCACGAAGTCAAAACACCAGATGATAAAGTGGAAAAGGCAAAAGGAAAAGGGAAAGAATAACAATTCTTTAAAAGTTACATGTGTTTATCAGTAAGGAAGGTTTTGGTTATATCAGAAACTTACTTGAGCTGTTTTAAGGGAAAAAATAAATGAGGGAGAGGCTGGGTGCAGTGGCTCACACCTTAATCCCAGCACTTTGGGAGGCCAAGGCAGGCAGATCACTTGAGGTCAGGAGTTTGAGACCAGCCTGACCAACAGGGTGAAGCCCTGTCTCTACTAAAACTACAAAAAATTAGCTGGGTGTGGTGGCGCACGCCTGTAGTCCCAGCTACTCTGGATGCTGAGGCAGGAGAATCGCTTGAATCTGGCAGGTGGAGATTGCCGTGAGCTGAGATCGCACCATTGCACTCCAGCCTGGATGACAGAGTGAGACCCTGCCTCAAAAAACAAAAACAAAATAAGTGAGGGAGAATTGTAAGCATAGAACGGTGCTCATGGACCCGTGATGCAGCAAGGCTTTCAGGGAAGAATAGAACCAGGGAGGGGCCTGGCTGTCAGCAAGGGGGACCCTTTCCTTGCTTTCATCTCACTCCTCTCTGGACATTCTCCTCCTCCTGTGTCTTTGCTTTCTCGTTCTCCAGTCCACACAGTAGAAAACACAGCCACCAGCAGTACCTGCGTTTACATACCAGGGGCCTTGCTATACATTCCCAATCCATATTCCTGAGGAAGAAATTATAATGGCTCAGCCTGGTAGAGGAGGAGGGACATCGCTGTTAACTGGGAGAACTGGAGGATGTCCAGCGAAGCTTCTGTTATGCTAAGGAAACTTATTGCAATTAAGCATAAACATTGAGCCATCCTATGTGGAGAGAATGAATGCGCTGAAATTCTAGAATGGCCCCAGCCCATCCCAGAGGCAGGGGATAGACAACGAGGTGTCTCGACTCCTTTGCTCCTATGGCATCTTTGCCTTTTGAAGGAGAATCTGTCCAGTTGCAGAGTCAACTATTTCTCAATAATGATAATAATAATAATAATCCTGAAGATGCAGCAAGACCAGCAGTGCTTCACTGATTTTTTTTCCTTTCCAAAAGGCATGCAGAGCATGATAATCACCTGAAGGCAGCAGCTCCTGACAGCCGGCTACAGGCTGGCTTTCATGTTGTGGGTGGCATTAGGTAGATAACCCACAGGAATCGTCTCTGGATCTGAGGTCAGGAGAACACAGCCAAGGCTACACAAGACAGAGAAGATTCTGCTGAATTTCAAAAGGTAGGAAACTGGGTTAAATGTGAAAATGGGAAGAGAGCAGAGGAAGATATTCATAAGCCAGGTTATTGAGAAAGAATGGTTTATAAGAGTGTGCACTTACTCCCCTATAATGAGGTCTGGGATTATCTGTAAAAACATTTAGCTCTGATTGTTTTAAAAGAAAAGATAAAATGCTTAATATGTGGCACCCTGGAGTGTGCCTTTGTGTGTGTGTATTTTAAATGATCATCCTAACGAAACACCTTTAATGTACAATGGATCGAATTATACAGCTTCCCATCAGAGAGTGCGAGGGAGAACAAAGCCTCAGATGTTGTACATTCAGACAATGAGGTGAGAGCAGATTTGAGGATAAGAGGAACTGAAGTGCCTCGTATAAGCCTGTATGAATGCTCCCATCTGGTCCTAGGACTCAACTATCTGACATTGGCAAAGATGTTTCATAATACATAGGGCCAAATGCTAAGTCTACCTTATAATTAAAAATATCCCCTAGGGCTCTTCCTTGAGGTCTGAGAAAATGTGATTATACTAAAAATTATATCACATATGGGAGGAAATAGCAAAGTAACTCACCCCACTTGTCCTGGGGTGGAATCTTCAGTTAACCTTGTCAGAGATCCTAAATGTTATGTTTACTCTTTCTCTGGATCTATTAAAGCTATAGGTGCTGGCCATTCTCTCTGGAAAATGAAAAATGGCCCATTCTTCCAGATACTCTCAAGTTAAGTGTGATTGTTACAAAGGCCTGGCGGATTCACATAGAGACAGACAAGGAAACTTCTGGGCTCCTTTCTCTCACCCCGCCCTTCCTCTCTTTTACTGTGGAATCAGTCTGTTGGAACAATGCTTTAAAATACATCTGAGTGGTATCAGAGCAAGAATTCATTTGTACTGAGGCATGGCTTTTATCTGTAAGGAAGGCTATTTGAAAAACCAGGCCTTGCGTGGTGAGGGCTCTGAGGTGAGAGCAAAAAAGGACCGTCTACCTCTTATCACCTGGGCTGGCTTGGCTGGCTCCTTTCCCAGAGCCTCTGCTCTATTTACCTTCAACTCCCTTTCCAATGGGCTGAGCTGGCCTCTACTTAGGCTGACTGTATTGACATTTGCATTAAATACTTTCTGGCTGCTCCTTCAGTTTCTGTCTTCACTCCTGGAGATTTCTTTCTCTTTTATTTTTGAGACTGAGTCTCACTCTGTTGCCCAGGCTGGAGTGCAGTGGTGCAATCTCTGGTCACTGCAACCTCTGCCTCCCAGGTTCAAGCAATTCTCCTACCTCAGCCTCCCAAGTAGCTGGGATGACAGGTGTGTGCCATCACACCCAGCTAATTTTTGTATTTTTAGTAGAGACAGGGTTTTGTCATGTTAGCCAGGCTGGTCTCAAACTCCTGACCTCAGGTGATCCGCCCACCTCAGCCTCCCAAAGTGCTGGAATTACAGGTGTGAGCCACTGCACTCAGACCACTCCTGGAGATTTCTGAGTCTCTCAAGGAAGAGAAAAACCTCCACCTTTCCCAGACTGGAAACAGATCTTCCCACCCTTCTGCAGAAATCAAGGGATAGAGAGACAGTTTGAATTGCGATCTCTCTTCATTAACGCCTTCTTCAGTTGTTCATAAACTTCAGGATTCCTTTGATTTCTGAAGTAGTGAAGGGTTTAAAAATGGATATAAAATGTTAAAAAAGGATCTAAAAATATTCTCTTTATGCAAACGTTGGTGTATATCACCCACATGCTCCATCTGAAGAAAATAGTTAAGAAATCACTAACTGCCCCCCGCAACTCAAGTTGCAGGAAACCAGAAAAATGAGGCAAATAACAAAGCACTATGGATGGATGTGGAGAGGTTGCTGTCATGAAACACGAGTGAGCAAAGGCAAAAATCCTTGAAATAGAAGGGATGTGGGGGATTCTAATAAGTATTCAGCAAATTTATGAACTGGGAGGTGGGGACATAGGTGAAGCAAAAAAGTTCCCGAAGTCTTAAAGTGGTGGAGACTCCGAAGTAGTCTATGATGAGGACAGAAGGTGAGTAAGAGTACCAAAGATGCCACTTCACTGTGGCCACGCAGAAACCATGTGTGCCATGGGGCTGCTAAAATAGCCTTATTAAAATTAACATGGGATTTAGGGGAAAGAGCACTGAACAACATAAAAAGCTACTGATAAAAGCTATGATGTGTGAATAAGTCAAATCTGTGTGCAACAAAAACAATAGCAACTAAATATGTAAAGCAAGGGAGAATTGATACAAATGTAATTAAATGGACTTCTCAAGCACCTCTTTCAAAATTGCAAAGATGTCTTTTTAAAAGTAAACTTGGCCGGGTGTGGTGGCTCACACCTGTAATCCCAGCACTTTGGGAGGCCAAGGCAGGTGGATCACTTGATGTCAGGAGTTCAAGACCAGCCTGGCCCTGTCTCTACTAAAAGTACAAAAATTAGCTGAGTGTGGTGGCGCACACCTGGAGTCCCAGCAATTCGGGAAGCTGAGGCAGGAGAATCACTTGAACCTGGGAGGCAGAGGTTGCAATGAGCCGAGATTGTGCCACTACTATACAGCCTGGGCGACAGACAGAGTGAGACTCTGTCTCTAAAGAAATAAACAAACTCTAATTTTAGCATAGTTTTAGATGAAAGAAAAATTGCAAAGATAGTACATAGACCCCATAGGCAGTTTCTGCTATTGTTAACATCTTAACAATAGGATGGTACATTTATTGTGATTAATGAGCCAATGTTGATAGATTATTATTAAGTAAATATGTACTTTATTCGCATTTCCTTAATTTTTCTATTTCATGATCCCATCAGGATCCCACATTATAGTAAGTCATCAAGTGTCCTCAGTCTCCTCTTAGCTGTGACAGTTTCTCAGACTTTCCTTGTTTTTGATGACCGTGACAGTTGTTTATTTTTTGGTAACATCTTTATTGAGATATAATTCACATGCCATACAATTCATCCATTTGAAGTGTACAGTTCAATGTTTTTTAGTATTCACAGAGTTGTGAAATAATCATCACAATCAATTTAAAAACATTTAAATCACCCTAGAAAGAAACCCTGTACCCTTTATCACCCTCCAGTCACCTCATCCCCTCAGCCTTAGGCGACAACTAATTTACTTTCCATCTCTATAGAGTTGCCTAATCTGGATATTTTAAATACATAAGAATAATATGATACGTGGCCTTTTGTAACTGCATTTTTTCACTTAGCATAATGGTTTCAAGACGCATTCATAGTATAGCAGGTATCATACTTCAATCCTTTTTATGGCTGAATAACATTCTAATGTGTATATGTATATATACTATATTTTGTTTATCCATTCATCAGTTGATAGACATTTGAGTGATTTTCACTTTTTGATTATTAGGAATAATTAGGCTAATTTCTTTCATCATGTTTTATAGTTTTCAGTGTGCAAATCTTGCATTTCTTTTGTTTGATTTATTTCTAAGTATTTTATTCTTTTTCATGCTATTGTAAATGGAATTGCTTTTCTTAATTTCACTTTTGAATTTCTCATTGGAAGAGTATAGGCCAGGCATGGTATTTCACGCCTGTAATCCCAACAGTTTGGGAGGCTGATGTGTGTGGATCACCTGAGGTCAGGAGTTCGAGACCAGCCTGGCCAACATGGCGAAACCCCATCTCTACTATAAAAAAAAAAAAAATTAGCCGGGTGTGGTAGTGCACACCTGTAATCTCAGCTGCTTGGGAGGCTGAGGCAGGGCAATCGCTTGAAGCCAGAAGGTGGTGGTTGCAGTGAGCTAAGATTGCACCACTGCACTCTGGCCTGGGCAATAGAGTGAGACTCTCTGTCAAAAAAAAAAAAAAAAAAAAAAGAAAGAAAGAAAAGAAAAGAAAATTAAAGAAAAAGAAAGAAAGAAAGAGTAGAGAAACACAATTATTTTTGCATTTTGATCTTGTATCCTGCACCCCTGCTGAACTCGTTTATTAGTGCTAATAGTTTTTTGTGGATGCTTTAGAGTTTTCTCTAAGATCATATCATCCATGAATAGAAATCATTTTACTTCTTCCTTTCCAGTCTTGATGTCCTTCGTTTCTTTGTCTTGACCAATCACCTGGTTTGAACCTCCACTATGATATTGAATAGAAGTGGTGAGAGTGGGCATCCATGTCTTATTTCTGATTTGGGGAAAGGACTCAGTCTTTTGCCTTTAAGTATTATGTAAGCCGTGGGTTTCCAGATGCCCTTCATCAGGTTAAATAAGAGCCCTTGTATTCCTTGTCTAGGGGCAAAAAGATTATCCCTTTCCCCTGACATCATAAAGGTCACAGCCAACACTCCTATAACAAAAGACAAGTTAAAAAGAGAAAAGCATAACAGACTTATTTAATTATAGTTTTATATAACACTGGAGGGTTTAGAATAAAGACCCAAAGATACAGGGAAAACTATCCATTTTTATGCTTAGATTTGGTAAAGAAAGAACAGCAGTATAGAAATATGATTGAACATCAAGGCTCTGATTTAATGCTAGTAGATTGAGGTGGGGAAACCCAGCCTGACTATTCACATTCTTCTTGGACTCTCTCTATACAGCATTAATTCTTCTCAGGTATGAGGCATCCCTTTCTGGAATGGGGGTCTTATGATTTACTATCAAACAAGGTAGGTTATATAATTTCTTTATGGCCAGCTTTTACACAGAAAGGTGGGGGGAAGATTAGAGTAATGTTTTCATGTTTTATAACTAGCTTCTGGGAAAAAGCATTCTATGATCCACCTTGGGAAAGAGGAATTCTAATTTCTATGGCTTGCTGGAGAGAAAGAGGGGTGAGAGACAGGAGGGCAGAAGGTCAGAGAGAAACCTTACTTCTGAGGCTTGCTCTGAGGCCTTCACTTTGGGGTATCATTTTCTGAGCCCTAAAACTAGTTTGTTGTGAAAGGGTGCTGGATTTTGTCAAATGGTTTTCAGCATTTATTGAGGTAATCATTTGGTTTTTGTTTATTATTCTATTGATGAAATGTATTACGTTGATTAATTTTCAGATATTGAGCCGACCTTGGATTCCTGGGATAAATTCTAGTTGGTCAGGATTTATAATCCTTTTTATATGCTGCTGGATTTGGTTTCCTAGTACTTTTTTGAGGACCTCTGCACCCATTTCCATGTAATTTCCTTTTCTTGTGATGTCTTTGTCTTGTTTTGGTATTAGGATAATGAATCTTCCTTTTTTTTTTTCTTTTTTTCTTTCTTTTTCTTTTTTTTTTTTTTAGAGAGACAGGGTCTTGCCCTGTCATGCAGACTGTAGTGCAGTGGCACAATCATAGCTCACTGCAGGCTCAAACTCTTGGGCTCCAGTGGTCTTCCTGCCTCAGCCAACTGAGTAGCTGGGACTACAGGTGCTTGCTACCACATCTGGCTAATTTTTAAATTTTTTATAGAGACAGGGTCTCATGATGTTGTCCAGGCTGGTCTTGAACTCCTGACCTCAAGCAGTTCTCCTTCCTTGGCTTCCCAAAGCACTGGATTACAGGTGTGAGCCACTGTGCCTGGCCTTCCTCTTCTATTTTTTTGAAAGACTTTGTGAAGAATTGGTGTGAATTCATGTATTTAAATGTTTTGTAGAATTCATCAAGGAAGCCACCTGGTTTCTACAAAGAGACAAGCTTCCCCTAAGTTATATAGTTTGTTGATATACATTTGTTGATAGTATCCCCTTATAATTATTTTGGTTTCGTAAGGTTGATAGTAATGTCCTCTCTTTCATTCCTGATTTAGTAATTTTACTCTGTTTTTCTTTGTCAGTCTAGATCAAAGTTTTCAATTTTGTTGATTTTTCCATATAACTAGCTTCTGGTTTCATTGATTTTTCCATATAACTAGCTTTTGGTTTCATTGATTTTTATTTTTTCCACTCTTAATTTAGTTTCACTTTAATGTTTATTATTTCCTTCCTTCTGCTATTTCTCCCATCAGTGGCAGAATTGTTGGAGATTTCAATACTCCATTTTCAATAATGGATAGAACAACTAAGTAAAAGATAAAAAAGGAAATATAAAACTTGAACACCATTATAGACCAACCAGACCTAACATACATACATACATACATATTTATACAGCCCTCCACTCAATGACAGCAGAATACATATACTTTGCAAGTGCGTATAGAGCATTTATCAGGATAGAATACACGTTAGGCCATAAAATAAGTCTCAGCGGACTTAAAAGAATTGAGATCATACAAAGTATGTTTTCTGACCACAATGGAGTGAAATTAGAGATCAATAACAGAAGGAAATTTGAAAAATTCACACATATTTGGAAAGTAAACAATACACTCCTAAATAAGTTGTTACAATTTGTCTATAGTAATAATATTGTCTTAAAGAATATTTTGTCTCATATTAGTATAGCAACTCCAGCTCTCTTTTCGTTACTGTTTTCATGGTCTAGCTTTCTTTATATTTTACTTTCAACCTATTCGTCTTTGAATGTAAAATGAGTCTCTTGTAGGTAGCATATAGTTGAATCATAGTTTAAAAATCCATTCAGCCAATCCGTATCTTTAATTGGATCATTTAATCCATGTACAGTTAATGTAGTTACTGATAAGGTAGGATTTATGTCTGCCATTTTACTACTTGTATTCTATATTCCATGTATTTTTTGGTTCTCATTTCCTTCATTACCTCCTTCTTTTGTGCTAGACATTTTCAGTGAATCATTTAAATTCCATGATCACTTCTTTTACTATAGATTTTTGAGTTTTGTCTTGGTGGTTGCCCTGAAAATTACCATTAAAATCTTAATTTATAACAAGAGAATTCAGCTTAATACCAACTTATTTTCAATAACGTATACAGACCTTGCTCCTATATATCTCTTTTCCCCTTTTCTTTATGTTTTTGTCCAAAATTACATCTTTATACACTGTGTGCCCATCAACTCAGGTTTATAATTATTGCCTTATGCAGTTGTCTTTTAAATCAGACAGGAAAAAAATGGAGTTACAAACAAAAAATACATTTAAAATGTCATTTATATTTAACTGTGTGGTTAACTTTACTGATATGCTTTATTTCTTCATGTGGATTTGAGTTACTGTCCTATATCCTTTCATTCCAGCCTGAAGGACTTTCTTCAGTATTTCTTGTAGAGTGGATCTACTAGTAATGAACTCTCTCAGTTTTTGTTTAACTGGAAATGTCTAGAATTCCCCTTCATTTTTCTAAAGAGTTTTTCTGGATATAGAATTTTTGATTAACAGTTTTTGTCTTTAGCATTTTCAATATGTCATAGCATTGCCTGCTAATATCCAAGGTTTCTGATGAGAAATCAGCTGTTAATCTTATTGAGGATTCCTCATTTGTTAAGAGTCACTTTCCTCTTGCTGCTTTCAATATTCCCTCTTTGTCTTTTGACCATTTAAGGTGTGTCTAGATGTGTATCTCTGAGTTTATACTATGTAGAGTTCATTGAGCTTCTTAGATGTGTAGATTCAATGTCTTTCATTAAATTTGGGAAGTTTTCACTCATTATTTATTCAAATATTTTTCTGCCCTTGCCCGTCCTCTCTTCTCTTTCTTCCTCTCCCCCTCTCTCTGTCTGAGACTCTCATTATGCTTGTGTTGGTGTGCTTGACAGGGTTCCATAGGTCTTTGAGGCTCTGTTCATTTTTCTACATTCTTTTTTCTTTCTATTCCTCAGAAAGAATAATATTAATTGAGCTATTTTTCACATTTACTGATTCTTTCTTCTGCCTGCTTACATCTGCATTACATCCTATATTGAGCCCATCTAATGACTTTTTCATTTCAGTTACGCTTTTAACTCCAGCTTTTTTACTTGGTTCCTTTTTATAATTACTATCCCTTTATTGATATTTTCTCTTTGGGGACACATTGCTCTTCTGATTCCTTTTGGTCTTTAGACATGGTGTTTTGTTTGTTTGTTTTACTTTTTGAACATATTTAAAATAGCTGGTGTAGTAAGTCCAAAGTCTGGATTTCCTCAGAGACAATTTTCATTTGATTCCTATGTATGGATCATAGCTTCTTTTGTGCATATCATAATTTTTTGTTGAAAATTGGACATTTCAAATAATAAATATGGTAACTCTGGAAATCAGATTCTCTCCATTACCCAGGGTTTGCTGGTGCTGCTTGTTGTAGTTTATATTATCTATTTAGTGACTTCTGAACGAATCCTCTAAAGTCTATCTTTTTCATACGTGAACACTGAAGTCTCTACTTGATTAGCTTAGTGGTCAGCTGATTAGACAGACATTACCTTAAATGCCTGGAGCCAATAAGTCTCTGTGTATTTGCCAGTGGGTTCTGAGTGCACGTTGAAGCACAGCTTCAAAACTCAGCAAAGCAATTTACAACTCTGCCTCAGCTTTCACTTTCTGCTTTCACAAAGCCTCAAAATCATTCTGCTTTGAGAGCTTAGAGCCTCAAGTCTCAGGTCTTTCCTGAGCATGTGCACAGCTCCATGTCTAGTCCGTGGTCTTTTGGCATCTATGGAAATCTCATTCCTCAGCCTTTCCTTTTAAGCTGTGGATTAGTCTATTGTTTGCCCCAACTGTTATCCATTGCCTGAAGTAGCCAAGATTTTAAAACATTTGACAAATGTCTTCCAGAGAGAAACTTCTAGCACTGGGATAATTCTAGTGAAGTCAAATAAAGACAAACCTTTGAGTGAGGTCTTCCAAGAAACAACTAGAATGGTCAAATAATGACTTCTTTTTGGTACTGAGGCTTTGAGAAAGAGTTCCAGCCCCATTCTTCTCCTTCTTTCTTTTTCTCTTCAACTTTTATTTTAAGTTCAGGGTTACATGTGTAGGATATGCAGGTTGTTACATAGGTAAATATGTGCCATTGTGGTTTGCTGCACAGATCATCCCATCACTCAGGTATTAAGCACAGCATCCATTAGCTATTCTTCCTGATGCTCTCCCTACCCCCATCCCCTCCCCTCAGACAGGCCCTAGTGTGTGTTGTGCCCCTAATGTATCCATGTGTCCTTATCACTCAGCTCCCACTTATAAGTGCATTCTGCCCCTTCTTATACCAGGAGTGCAGGCTGTTATTTTTCAAGGCTTCCCCAGTGCTGTAGAATGTGGAATGGAAATAAGAAGCTAAAATGCCACAAGGCTTGCTGTTCTTACTGAGATTCAGAGTTTTTGTTTGTTTGAAAGCATTTTTGGCTAAATGCTTTCAAAGTTGCTGCAAGCCTGATATTAATTTCCAGGGTTTTGAAAGAGTTGACTGATGATGATTTTTGCCAGTTTTAAACATTGCATTTATGGAGAGAGAGCTTTGGCAGGTCCTTATTCTGACATTTTTGCTGATGTGTCAACCTTGAGAGATTTGAGTACTAGTCAGATAGTTTGCAGGGCCCCTCCAGTGATATTTGTCTGATATTTTTCTCACGATTAGACTGGAGTTTTTGGGAGAGTACTGCAGAGGTAAAGTGCCACTCCCAGTACATTATATCAAGGGGACATACTATTGGCATGAGCTATCATGCAGATGCTAACCCTGATCACATGGATGAAGTAGCGCCTGTCATGTTTCTCCACTGTAAGGTTGCTCTCCATCCTTCCCCTGTCTGTTCTATACTTTGTGGAAGGAAGTCACTAGGCACAGCCCACACTGAAGAGGTGGGTAGTTAGTTTCCATATATACTCAAGGCTAGAGTTGCTATGTAGATTATTTGGAATTCTCCAGGGAGATTTATCTATTTTCCCCCAATCATTTATTTATTCAATCATTTATTTATATCAGAATGAATTCATGGTTATTTAGTTTACACATTAGGCTATCACTCTATACTACTTTATTTATTTTGTTGCTCAAAATGTTCCAGCTTTGACAATTTAGTGCTCTTCCAGTTGGTTCCAGTGTACCTTTGAGCAAAATTAAGAAAAAAATCATTTGAAAAGGAATTTGGCCACACTCAAACTTGATATGATAATTGTATATAGAACTTTGCATCATTTGAATACAAAAGAAGTTTTTTTCTATGTCTGAATACATGTTTAAAAAATGGTCTTGACCATGAAGAAAACCTTAAAATTTTCTGACCATTCTCTGATTATAATGTTGTAGAAAAAACTGGGTTCTTGTCACACAACCAGGAAAGATTAGGCTCATGGACACACAGAAGGGTGAGGAGTGGAATTTATTGGGTGAAAAAGAACAAGGAAAAACAACTTAGCAAACTGAGATGGAGTCCTCCTAACAGGCTCTCCACCTCAGCAAATGAATCTCAGGTCACCACCCAGGAACAGGAGAAGCCAGGATCCTCCCTCCTGCAAAGCACAAACTTCCCGAGGCTCCACCCCAACCTCTTAGTGCTCAGGCGGGTGGGAGATTCTCCAGGGACCCCTTTTTACTTGGCAGTTCCAATAATGCAATAAAATTAGCAGTAAATAATAAAACAATAATAAGGAAAAATTTTATCTGGAAAGTAAAAGCATATTTTTAGAAAACCCTTGAATTAGAGAAGAATTTTTTAAAAAATCACAGACAAAATAATAGAACCCATCAAAAGCTGAACTCCAAAATCTAGAGCTTTAAATGCCTTCATTTTTAAAAAAAGAAAGACAAAAATATGAAAGGAGCAAAATATTCATTACATAAAGTTAGAAGAAGGAATGGAATAAACTAAGTAAGAAGAGGGAATTAATAGAGATAAAAGTTGAAATAATGAAACAGAAGAAGGAAAAGATAAATCCAAAAAATAGTTTCTTTGAAAAAAACCAATAAAGCAGAAACATTTGCAAGCTTAATTAAGGCAAGAAAAAGAGGACAAAAATAGGCAAGATTTGGAAGGCACAAGGGACTATAACCATTTTAAAAATTACAAAATAATACTGTGTGCAACTCTATGTTATCCAGATTTAACACCCAAAGGAAATAGCTCCTAGCAAAATAAAAATCACTAAATTTTACTCAGAAATTAGAAAACTTGAATAAACTAATGGCCATAGGAAAGCCTCAAAGTTGATTCAAGTTCTATGATTGGTACCATTCTCAAGATGAATTTATTCTTTAAAGAATAGATCATTCCCATGTTATTTAGGTATTTCAGGCCATGGAAAATGCAAACCTCATGCATTCACCTTATGAAACCAGCATAATTTGAACACCAATTCCTGATAATTCTTGTATAAAATTTATTTAAACCAATGTTCCTTATGAATATAGAAGCATTGCTAAACTCTATTTGCCAATACTTTCAGAATTTATGTATAAAAATAATAACTAAATATGATTTATTCAAGGAATGCAAGGTCAATATTGTAATCTATCAGTGTAATCCATTATAATAATGCAGTAAGGGAGAAAGTCATATTATATTAACAGATACAGAAATATTTAATAAAATTCAGTAGCTATGCAATAAAAAGAAACTACTTGAATTATGAAAATAAATCATAATCTAAAAATTCCAACAGCAAAAATGAACAGCAAATAAACTCATTTTGATTAATCTGACAATTGATAAGGGATGCATAGTGTGGTCAGTATTTAGTACTAAGTCTGTAAAAATGCAACAATGCAAAGCATGAAATAAGTGGTATAAATATTGGAAAAACAAAGAGTTATAGCTATGTTTTGCTAATGGTTATCTATAAACTCAGAAAATTCAAAGGTTGGGTTATGAGGATTTTTTAATTGTTTTTAAAAAAGCTATGAAATTTTAGAAAGATAGCTGGATATGAATAATATAAAAAATGAAATACATTGCCTTAAAAATCAGTACATAAAAATGTGAAAGCATTATTTATAAAAGACAGGTTCTATAGTGTTTAGAATAAAATTTACATTATTTTAAAGGCACAGGACCATTTGAAGATAATTAGAAAATCATATTGACAATAGGAAGGTCTCCCCAAGAAACTTGTTCTTGAAGGGGATGATTTATTTTAAGTATTAGTTTTTTCTAAGTAAATATGTAAACCTTATGTAATTCCAATTACTACTAGAAATATTTTAAAAATCTGGATGAATAATCCTAGAATATGTATTTAAAAAGTACCTAGGAATAAGCCAGAAAGCTATGAAGAATAACCATGATGGAAAATTCACCTTTTAAGATTATACCAGGAAGTCACTGTTTTAAAATCAATGTTATAGCTGTGTTGGAATAAACAGATCAGGAAAATAGAAGAATTCAAAATAAGAACCAGTACTTGAGAATTTAACATATGACAAAACTGGTTAACTCCATGGGGAAAAAAGAAGTTATGTAATAAATGTGTTAGAACATTTTGCCATCCAGCTTACTGACTCTCATCTAATACTCTTTCCAAAAATACATTTCTCCCTGGTCCAGGTTCCAGTTATGATGGACCAAGGCCATACTGAGTAACCCACCCAACCTCCCTCTTATGAGGAAGCAGATATTAAACCTGGACATAATACAAAAGTAATTGCCTTAAAGTGTGGGAGAGGAAGAGAAGCAGACAGACAGACACCAATGTGAAGTGTCCACCTACTTGGACAGGGGAGATGAGAAGTTGCCCAGGAAAGGTCCCATCTCTGTGGCTCCATATAGTGCACACAGCAGCTGTTGGGGTGCATGTGGACAAACAAGCATCCCTTCTTTCTGGCCTGGGGAACCAGAAAATTGAAGCTGGACTACTATGAACACTGAAGAGAATTGCGGTGGTGGGGGCCATTCTGTGTACCCAGTCTGACCGACTCTCAAACCACACCTATGCAGAAGACTCAAAGCAGCTCAGTTAAAGATGAAAGATCTGAACTGAGATTACAGCCACTGACACTGTTCAAGAAGCAGAGTCTGAAGGGTAAGCCCAGGCAACAAAATTATCTGCCAAAACAAAGGAAAAAACACTTATAAGAGAACAAATAATAGAATCAAAAATTTTCACTTAACATTCATAATATCTAGGATATAATCCAATATTAACATACATAGAACTAAGAAAATAGAACATATTCTCAAGAGACTGTGACTCTTCTAAGTATTCTCAGTGAAGTAAAACAAAACATATTGTCAATGAAAATCTCAGCATAGAAAAAGAACTCTCAGCAGATAAACAGAAATAAAAATTCTAGAATTTTAAAATTCTAGAAAAATACAATCTCTGAAATAAAAATAAATTCACTGAATGAAATGAAAATCCAAATGGCTATGACAGAGGAAGGATAAATGGATTTGAAGACAGAATGAGAAATAAAATGACAACAAAGATGAACAAAAGAAGATGGGAAAAAATAGTTCAATTTGAGTGTTTTCTTACCTTCCATGTCTCTACTTATCACGTTCAAGTTTCTCAAACATATGGAACGCAGTTATAATGACTGTTTTAATGGCCTTGTCTACTAACTCCATCATCAGTGTCATTACTGGGTCTGTTTGATTGGCTTTTCTCTGTATTATGGTTGCATTTGTCCTACTTCTTTGCATGCCTCGTTATTCTTGAATGTGTGCCAAGCTTCGTGAAATTTCTCTTGTTGAGGGCTGTACATTATTGTATTCCTATAAATATACTTGAGTTCATTCTAGGATGCAGTTAAGTGACTTGAAAACAATTTTATCCTATTGGGTCTTCCTTTAAGCTTTGTAAGGAGAGAGCAGAGCAACATTTAGTCTAGGGTAAAATTTTCTCCACTGTGAGGCAAGACTCTTGAATAGTCTACCAATCCCTGTAATTATGAAGATTTTCCACTCCAGATGGTATGAACAGGCACTATTCCCACCCCGTGTAGGGATTTTTCCCTCTAATCCTTTTGATAGTTTTCTCACATGCACACGCTGAAGAGTATTGAAACTTTTGTAGATCTCTGGAGTTCTATTTCTTTGCAGATCTCTTCTCTTCAGTATCTTGCCTTGTGAATTCTAGCAGCCTCAGCCCCAGGGTCCCCCATGCCCCATCCTAGTTCAGCTTAGGGAGACTCTTGTGCTCCTCCTGGGTTGCCTGTCCGTGTGCTGTGTCTGGAAATGCTCTCCAGGCCATAGCTAGGAGAGCACCTCAAAGGTAGGGCTCGTCTAATTTGTATCCCATCTCTCAGGGATCCCTATTCATCTTTACCTGATGTCCAGTGTCTTGAGACACTTTCTTTAATATACTTTGTCAGATTCGTTAGATGCTTCAAGCAGGAAGGCAAATCCCTTCCTTGTTATTCCATCCGCTCTGGGCTCCCTCAGTACCACATCCTCCCAGTTCTGGACTCTGCATCTGGGATGCTCCTGGCTCTGAGAAGCGTAAAAACCAATAGGCTTTTGGAAGAAATTGACAAGTAGATTTAAAAATTTACATAAAAAGAACTTAGATAGCTAATATAATCTGAAAAAGAAGAATTAATTTAGAAGACCTAAACTATCTGATTTTATGACTTACTATAAATCTATAGCAATCAAGATTGGCATAAAGATATTCATAGGCCAGGCACCGTGGCTCATGCCTGTAATCCCAGCACTTTGGGAGGCCGAAGCGGGTGGATCACCTGAGGTCAGGAGTTTGAGACTGGCCTGGCCAACATGGTGAAACCCTGTCTCTACTAAAAATACAAAAATTAGCCAGGTGTGGTGGTGCACGCCTGTAATCCCAGCTACTCAGGAGGCTGAGGCACAAGAATCGCTTGAACCCAGAAGACAGAAGTTGCAGTGAGCTGAGATTATGCCACTGCACTCCAGCCTGGGTGATAGAGTAAGACTTTGTCCCCACCCCCCAAGAAAAAGGAGGGAGAAGAAGGCTTTGTAAAACAAGGACCAAATTTGTGAACAGACATTTTACAAATGAAGATATGTGCATGGCCGATAAGCATATGAAAAGATTCAACATCACTAGTCATCAGAGCTTATTAAAAACTACCATGACTTGCCTACTAGAATGGCTCAACTGAAAAATACTGACAATACCAAGTGTTGATGAGGATGTAGAACAATTGTAAGTCTCACTCATTGCTGGTTAAAATGCAAAATAGTGCAGTCACTTTGGAAAACAAGATATGGTAGTATCTTGAACTTCATGACACACCCTTACCGTATGACCCAGAAGTTCCATTCCTAGGTAGTTGCCCAAGAGAAATAAATACATGTTCACAGAGACATGTACATAAATATTTATAGCTGATAATTTATAGTAGACAAAAACTGGTGAATAAACAAATTGTGATTTCTCTATACTATGTTTAGTTGGTATGTAATAAGAAGTAACAAAAGATTAATGTACTCAAAATCATGGATGAATTTCAAAAACATCATTATGCTAAGTGAAAAAAATCAAACATAAGTCTATACTGAGTGATTCCATTTATACAAAATTCTAGAAAAAGACAAAGCTGTCATAATGGAAAGCAGGCCAGTGATTTCCTGGAAGGGGGTGGAGGTGCAGGGGGCAGAGGAAAACATGGTGGGGGAACTGTTTTAACTCTTGACTGTGATTACTCGATCTCATACAGTTACCACAGTCATCAAACTGTACACTTAAAATAGGTGCATTTTATTTTATATAAATAATATCTTAATTTTAAAATAGGTTTCTTAGGATTGAAATGCTCAAGTGTAAAAAACAAAACTGACCAAACAAACAAAAACTCTTTTAAGAAAATCTTGTAAATCTTGTAACATAGGCATTGTGAGTTTCTTAAAAAGGGGAAGAAACTTAGATGCTATAAGAGAAATGATAATGGCTGGTGTGATGGCATGTGCCTGTGATCCCAGTTACTTGGGAGGACTGTTTGAGCCCAAAAGTTTGAGGCTGCAGTGAGCTATGATTGTGCCACCGCACTCCAGCCTGGGCAACAGAGCGAGGTTCCTATCTCTTAAAAAAAAAAAAAAAGAAAAAAGAAAAAGAAAAAAAGTAGATAATGACCTTTGTGTGGCTAAGGAAACAATTAAAATCAATAGACACATAGATCAAGAAAAAATAGTGTAATGCAAATGTCAGATAGGAGTAAGTTGTCTATATTATTCAAACTGCTTCTCCAAACTGACAAGAAAAGCAGAATATTGTTAAAAAAACAGGCTAACAAAAAGTCACAGAAGAGCAAGTTTAAATGGCCACGGATGTAGAAAAAGATGCTTAAATTCACTGGTAGCCAAGAGAATGGAAATTTAAAGAGCAGTGAGATTTCAGTTTAAATTCATTGGAAAGAGCTACAAAACTTAATGCTCTTAGGGATATAAGATTATAATACTCTCATATTCCTAGTGGAAATGTGCAGTGTCATAGCCTTTGGCTAAAGTAATTTTGTGGCATGTATGAAAAACAAAAACACATGTATCCTTTAACCTTACCAGGCCTCTCCTGAGAGTGCCAATAGAAATAAAAGCAGATGGCCGGGCATGGTGGCTCATGCCTATAATCCCACCACTTTGGGAGGTTGAGGAGGGCAGATCACTTGAGCCTAGGCGTTCAAGACCAGCCTGGGCAACAGAGGGAGACTCCATCTCTACAAAAAATACAAAAACTAGCCAGGCATGGTGGCATGTGCCCAGAGTCCCAGCTACTTGGGAGGCTGAGATGGGAGGTGGAGGTTGCAGAGGGCCATGATCATGCCACTGCACTCCAGCTTGGCTGACAGTGCCAGACTCTGCCAAAAATACAAAACAAAACAAAACAAAACCAAAAACACAGTGACGTAAAAGTAGATGTATTAATGCACTAAAATGTTTATTGCAGCATTGTTTTTAATGCCACAAAGCTAGATCAAAGTGGATGTCCATAGTGGGGGAATACTGGTTGAATAAAGTCTACTGCATCATGCATACTGCATTCTGCTTGGCAATCAGTAAAATGAGTGAATTAGAGCTGTAAGACGGCTACCACTTACTGAGTAAGAAATACAGAGAGATACAGAGACAGGTGTAAAATAGTCTACTGTCTTTTCATAAAACGAAGACTAGGATCTCATTTTACATGCACACATTCCTATGAATATTTGTATAGTATTATGAGTATAAAGGAAAAATATAGAAAGATACATATCAGATTTTGAAACCCTTCTACTAAGATGACCTATGTCATGTGTGTTGATACATGTGTAGATAAGGGTAGGGTCAAGCAACTTATAAACCAACCAACCAACCAAGTCTGCATTTGAAAGGTGTATCTAGGATCATATGTGTATATATCAGTCAGGGTAGGTTAGATTATTCTTATTCTTAAACAATCCAATATCACAATGCATTAATGTAACAAGCATTTATTTCTTGCTTACGTGAAGTCTCAGCCTCTGGAAGACTCTCCAGGTAATTTTCTCAATGGTTTGACTTCACCTTCCAGGACATTTAGGTCTTATGGACTCTTTCTGTCCACACATGGTTTTAGGATGACTGCAGCCAGGGAAGAGAGAACATAAAGAATTATGTGCCAGCAATTAAAGATTTTCATCTGGAATTGATGCATATTAACTTGTTCTCCCCACCCCCCAACCCCCAAATCAAAGCATGTGGTCATAGATAAGCTCAAGGAGTCAGGGAAATCTGTTCCTCTTGTGCTCCTCTAGAGGGGAAGAAGGAATGGAAATACTGGTGGGTAGCAATAATATATACAATATATACTATATACTATCTATATGCTGCACATACATTTATAAAATTATTTATTTATATAAGAAACTAAGCTTTAAAATGATTTTAAAATGGTTTATACTTGACAAGTAAGCAACTTACCAAATATAAGAAGTGAACAATAAAAATGAAACTATGTATATGTCAGCAGATTGGCTAAAATTATAAAGATTGATAAAATCCAGTGATGATGAAAGTGTGGGAGAGAGAAACTCTTACATGCTCCTGGTGTGAGAATAAATTTGTACATTTCTGAAATATAATCAGGCTGAAGATATCAAAATGTAATATTTGAATTCCCATATGGCCCAGTAATATGACTTAGAAGAATTTATTTTTGAAAACAATCAGATAGATACAGATAAATGTAAACAAATATTTGCTACAGCATAATAAAAATGGAAAATAGTCTAAAAGTACATCTATTGAAGCTGAGTTAACATAGGGTAAATGCCTATGATAGAATACTATGAGAGCTACTAAAATAGGTGAGATGGATTTAATTTGTTTTAAAATAAAAAATGCTCCAACCATGTGTTTTGGTTATTTAAATGTTAATGGTACAAACAATGCCAGAACTTAAGGGCTTAAAGTAACTCTTTTTTTCTGCTTCTGGTTTAATAGATCAGCACTCAAGAAGGGCTTGGTTGGGTGGTTTGTGTTATAGTCAGCCAGGTCGGCTGGGAGAGAAGGATCTACTTCCAAGATGGCTTCTTCACTTACAAGTCTTACATGTTGTGTGTGTTGATATGTATGTAGGTAAGAGTAGAGTCAAGCAACAAACCAACCAAACAACAAACAAATCTGCGTTTGAAAAGCATGTCTAGTGCCTTGGTGCGCTTTGATTTCTTTACTTCTCAACAAGGTATCTCATCTTCCAGTTCTTAGCATGGTGGTCTCAGGGTAGTCCTACTTCTTAACATGTCTACCTTCCGAAAAGCAGGAAGTGGAAGTTGCCAGGCCAGTTAAAGGCTATACACAGAATTAGTATAACGTTGTATCAGCTCTATTCTATTGATTGAAGCAATCCAAAGTCCTGCTGAGATTCAGGGAGGTGGCGAAATAACATTTCTTGATGGGAGAGTGGCAAGGAACTTGCAGAAAAGCATGCAGGATGAGGGATATTGTTGTGACCATCTTTGGAAAATTGTCTGCCACAGAATCATATGATTCAATTTGTGTAAATAGTCATGATTTTAATATTTCAACATTTAGAAAAATATAGAGATAAAACAATGTTTCTGTGGGTTATAGCAATTTTGGATAGAATTTTGGGTAGCTACTTTCTACTTCAAATTCTTCAGTGTTTGATTTTCTTTTTCACAGTAAATATGAATTACTTTTGTAATCAGCAAAATTTTTTAAAATCTCAATTTTGACATTAAATAGAAATAGGTTGTTTAAAATCGCCTTCTTACAGAATGTGCAGTGCCTGAAGCATGCATTTAAATGGATGACATGTTTTTTTCCTGTGGAAAATTTGAAGAGGGACCTTTACATTTAAGTTTTCATATTTGCAGATGGAATAGGAGTGATAGCTTCTTAGAAAAATGGAATTTGAATAATGGATTTAAATAATAGAGGCCATTATTCAGGATGAGCTTAATGCAGTCCCCATACAGATGAAAGATTTAGGCAATGAGCAGATAAAAGCCTTACAGATGCCTAATGCAAATTATGTCATATTAAAAACTAAAACAAAACATTTAAAATAAAGCAGACCAAAGATTTCAAGAAGGAAGGACTTAGGGGTTAAACATCCTTTTTAGCCATCAGAAAAAAATGACCTCAGGCTTTAGTGGACATCTGTCTGATTCCTAGTCTCTATTTTCAGCAGTATCATTCCTGTGAGTTATCAGGATCACAATAGATGTGTACACTTGAAAATTTTTCGTTGCTTTCACCCATCTTCTCAAATGTACCCAGAAGTCATAATGCTGGAATTACATTGATACAATCATCCCCATGGAAACAGAGGCTGGTGTCATAAACATGGCATTATGACTTCTCAGCAGGAGGAGGCAGATGGAAGTTTGGCACTGAATGTGCAAGATTTATTCAAAAACACAAATGTCTTGGAGAATAACACCAAGCAAAATAAATAAATAAATAAATAAATAAATAAATAAAAGGGCATGGAGTTGCCCTGACTACATGCATTTCAAAAGATGTTTTCTGAGGATTTATTCGCCTTTGGCAGGACTTGCTTGTGCCTATAGTGTGCCTATACTTTCTTTTTCATTGTTATGTTTGGCATGGCATGTTCTCATCTTAGTCTTGGCTGTTCAGGCTGTCAGGGGCTGCATTTACCAATGGGGGAGTTGAGATCCAGAGAATGGAATGGACTTGCCCAACTCACCTAGCAAGTAAGCGGCCCTGGGGAAGCCAGAGCCCTTCTCCTGACATCTAATCCGCACATTTGAGTGTTCCTTTCAACATCTCCGTTTTATGCTGAGAACACATGTGTATCAATTAGGACATTGGTTCTAATGAGACCACCCCACTGCCACCCCAAAAAGTGTTTTAAATAAGATAGAAGTTTTTCTCGCTCATAGCAGTCCATGGTGTCAGGCTGTGTGTGTATATGTGTATATAATATATATATACATATTTTTTGCTGTATCTGCTGTGCCACCCTGATACACTAGTACAGCACATCACATACTGTATTTATTTTCCAGACAGAGTAAGGAGAGGGTGTTCTCCTGTCTTTTAAGAGCACAATTGGAAAGCTGCACAAATCACTTCTGCTTATATTCCATTGGCCAGGACTTAGTCGTATACCTTGTTTCAAGGAATGCTGAACAGCCATGTATTCCGCAAATGTGGGGGATCTATTATTGCAAGAGAAGGAAAAAACAGATTTGGCAACAACCAGTAATCTCTGCCACACTTGCATCCCCTATGACAGAGCATTGTTTTCAGAGGACTGTCAACTAATTTCCTTTCAGCTAATGCAATGGCTGAAGAGTGATTGTGGTATTCATTTACTCAAGGGTAATTACAATGATAATTACCATATTTGTTATAGAAATCACTGAATTGGCACAAAGATTGGACACCAGGTCTAAGATCAAGATAGAAGTTAATTGACCATTAGAGTATGTATTAGGATTGTGAGAGAAACCCTCCAAGTTAGTGGCTGTAAGAACAAATAAGTCTATTTCTTTTTCTCCTAATTATCTGAGCTGCATTGTCCAGTGTTGATGAAGGTTTGCTTACTATGGGAGATGGGAGCATGGATATTAGTGGGCAGCTAGTGGTTTTCTCTGCAGCGTAGCCAGCTAGAATGTCTGAGCTCCAACCATTTCTTTCATCCTATCACCTTTAACTAAAAGATGAGAGAGACAGAGAAAGAGAGAAACAAAAAGAAGAAAGAAAAAGAAGAGAGAGAGAAAGAAAGAAAGAGAAAGAAAGAAAGAGAGAGAAGGAAAGAAAGAGAGAGAGAAAGAAAGAAAGAAAGAAAAAGAAAGAAGAGATTTTCCAATCAGTTAGGCTTAGGCCATGTACTCACTCCTTAATAGCTTTTGGGGAAGTAGGAAAAGGATCATGAAACCTCTTTTTACATTTGGATTTACATTCCCACTAAGACTGTTCCCAGTGCAATATTGGCCAGGAGTTTCTCTCAAGGACCTTCTGGTTCCAGAAATATTCCTTCTTGTTCTTGTTATTGTAACAACACCCCTATTTCCTCTTGAACGTTAGAATCAATTACCTCAACCAACGCAATAACTTTTTGGTTGTTTTCCAGCAGCATGAAGAGGTCAAAATGATCAGCTGGAATTTTCTATTTTCAGCTTAATGGAAGTGTTGCTGCAACCCCCTGTTAGAAGTATTTTCCTCTTGAATTCTAAAACCTCTAAATTAACGAAGTCCGAAGTTACAGAGATGGGAAGGAAATTTTCTAAGTGCACACTTTGACAAATGGATCATAGTGCACTCTAGAATTTCCCAGGAACTAGTGCTTACTCACAGCCAGAGTCTAATTATTTCTGAATGGTTCTGGTATTTTCATTTTCTTAATCATCATTTACTCTGGTCTCTAGTCCTCTTGGCCATGGCAAGGAAGAAGATTCTCGGTATACATTTGTGTTATCTTACTATTCTTACTCAGTGTTTACCTGGTTTTCCCTTTGTTCCAGGGGCTCTGGGTCTATGAGTTGGCTCAGGCCTTGGAATTGAGTAAGGGACTGTGATTTTTTTAAAATAATGACTCAAATGAGTCCTATTTGCTAGACCCACAGCATGATCAATCACACAGAGCAGGTAGGACCATAGAGTTACTCATTGTTTTGATCTTAGAGACCCCAATGATTAAATAACTTCCATCAAATGTTATTTCACATATTTCTAATTACCACTTGTGCTCTGCTGCCAATTACAGAAACTGTGCCCAACTTGCTTCAGGTCTTTAAATGCTGCCACTTCTCTTCTGTGACTCCTGGATGGCATCATTCTAATTGAAAAAGGAAGGTCTCATTTTATGAGTGGCCTTTATCTTAATCCTCTGCCCACAAAGGATAACTTCTAAGTCTCTTTTCAAAAATAAATGTATTCTGAAATAACATCTTTTGAAGCAACAAAGATGGAACTGGAGGCCATTATCTTTTTCTTTTTTTTGAGATGGAGTCTCATTCTGTCACCCAGGCTGGAGTGTAGTGGTGCAATCTTGGCTCACTGCAACCTCCGCCTCCCAGGTTCAAGTGATTCTCCTGCCTCAGCCTCCCAAGTAGCTGGGATTACAGGTGCCCACCACCACACCCGGCTAATTTTTGTACTTTTAGTAGAGACGGGGTTTTGCCATGTTGGTCAGGATGGTCTCGAACTCCCAACCTCAGGTGATTTGCCTGCCTTGGCCTGGAGACTATTATCTTAAGTGAAACAACTCGGACACACAAATACCGCGTGTTCTCACTCCTAAGTGGGGGCTAAGTAACATGTACACATGGAAGTTGAGTGTGGAATGATGAGCAGTGGGGACTTGGAGGGATGGGAGTGAGTGGGAGGCAGGCAATGATGGAGTTGCTTGGTGGGCACAATGTGCATTGCTCCAGTGATGGATGCCCTGAAGGCGCTGACCTCACCACAATGCAATATATGAATGTAACAAAATGGCACTAGTACCCCATGAATATATACAAATTTAAAAAAGAAAATCAATGCAATTCACTATATTAAAAAATTAGAAGTGAAAAAAATCTCAATAGATACAGAAAAAAATTCTTAGAAATGAAAAGCTCATTAAATATTTGAAAATCAAACTGTAATTCACCTTATTAACATCTTATTAACAGAAAAAAGAAAACATATGACATGATCATTTCAGCAAATGTATAAAAAGCATTTGACAAAATCTGATATCTAGTTATAATAAAAATAATAACCTCTCAGCAAACTTGCAAAGGACAACTACAAAAAAAACCCCACATACAACTAATAACATATTTAATGGTGAAAAACTGAATACTTTCTCCATGCAATACAGAACAAAGCAAGAATGTCTATCCTCACCACTTCAGTTGAACATTTTGTTGGAGGTCTAAGCCAGCACAAGAAGAAAGAAAAAGAAATAAAAGATTGAAAAGGAATAAGTAAACTGTCTTTATTGGCATATGATATAATAATCTATGCAGATAATCCTAAAAATCTACAAAAACCTATTAGAACAAATAAATGAGTTTAGCAAAGTTGCAGAGTACAAGATCAATATGGAAAAAATAAACTTTGTTTTTATATGCTTACAATAAACTATCACAATTTAAATTTAAAAACAAATACTGGCTGGGCGTGGTGGTTCACGCAGCTAATCCTAGCATTTTGGGAGGCTGAGGCGGGCAGATCACTTAAGTTCAGGAGTTCGAGGCCAGCCTGGTCAACAGGGATTTCCTTGAGGCAGGAGAATCGCTTGAACCCGGGAGGTGGAGGTTGCAGTGAACCAAGATCGTGCCACTGCACTCCAGCCTGGGTGACAGAGCAAGACTCCATCTCAAAAAAAAAAAAAAAAAAAAAAAAAAAAAAGATACCACTTACCATAACCTCAAAATATATGAAAACACTTAGGGACAAAATTGACAAAGGATATGAAGACCTGTGCTCTGAAAACTACAAAACATTGCCAACAGAAAGAAATGGGGTCCACACCCATGCACTGGAAGACTCAGTATTATTAGGACATTATTTCTTCCCAAATTGGTGTATATAGTCAATGCAATCAAAATCTACAGGCATTTTTTGTTGAAATTGACAAACTGATTTTAAATTTATGTTAAAATACAAAGGACCTAAAATAACCAAAATTATTTTGAAGAGAAAGAACAAAGTGAGAAGACTTTCCTACCTATTTCCAGACTTATTATAAAGCTGCAAGAATCAAATAATGTGACACTTGTCTAAAGACAGATGTATAGAATAGTGGAACAGAATAGAGTCCAGAAATAGATCCACAGACATATGGCCATTTAATATTTGACAAATTGTGCTTGAAGAATGGAATATCTTCATGGGTGGGGGAGACCCTTGACCCTCACTTCATGGCATATACAAATACACAGCAATGGTTTATAATACAAGAAAGATGATAGATCTACATGTAAAACCTACAATGTTAAAACCTTGAAAACCTTGACACAAATTTTAGTTACCTTGGATTTGGGGAGATTTCTTAAATATGACACAAAAAGCACACCAAATTATAAATTGTACTTCATCACAATTGAACCCATTCATTTACTTTTCAAATGACACTCTTTAGGTCTAACATTTAAGTCTTTAATCCATCTTGAATTAATTTTTGTACAAGGTATAAGGAAGGGATCCAGTTTCAGCTTTCTACATATGGCTAGCCAGTTTTCCCAGCACCACTTATTAAATAGGGAATCCTTTCCCCATTTCTTGTTTTTGGTCAGGTTTGTGAAAGATCAGATGGTTGTAGATGTGTGGTATTATTTCTGAGGGCTCTGTTCTGTTCCATTGGTTTATATCTCTGTTTTGGTACCAGTACCATGCTGTTTTGGTTACTGTAGCCTTGTAGTATAGTTTGAAGTCAGGTAGTGTGATGCCTCCAGCTTTGTTCTTTTGGCTTAGGATTATCTTGGCAATGTGGGCTCTTTTTTGGTTCCATATGAACTTTAAAGTAGTTTTTTCCAATTCTGTGAAGAAAGTCATTGGTAGCTTTCTGGGGATGGCATTGAATCTATAAATTACCTTGGGCAGTATGGTCATTTTCACAATAGTGATTCTTCCTATCCATGAGCATGGAATGTTCTTCCATTTGTTTGTATCCTCTTTTATTTCCTTGAGCAGTGGTTTGTAGTTCTCCTTGAAGAGGTCCTTCACATCCCTTGTAAATTGGATTCCTAGGTATTTTATTCTCTTTGAAGCAATTGTGAATGGGAGTTCACTCATGATTTGGCTCTCTGTTTGTCTGTTATTGGTGTATAAGAATGCTTGTGATTTTTGCAGATTGATTTTGTATCCTGAGACTTTGCTGAAGTTGCTTATCAGCTTAAGGGTACTTTGGGCTGAGACAATGGGGTTTTCTAAATATACAATCATGTCATCTGCAAAAAGGGACAATTTGACTTCCTGTTTTCACTAATTGAATACCCTTTATTTCTTTCTCCTGCCTGATTGCCCTGGCCAGAACTTCCTAAAACCATAAAAACCCTAGAAGAAAACCTAGGCAATACCATTCAGGACATAGTCATGGGCAAGGACTTCATGTCTAAAACACCAAAAGCAATGGCAACAAAAGCCAAAATTGACAAGTGGGATCTAATTAAACTAAAGAGCTTCTGCACAGCAAAATAAACTACCACCAGAGTGAACAGGCAACCTACAGAATGGGAGAAAATTTTTGCAATCTACTTATCTGACAAAGGGCTAATATCCAGAATCTACAATGAACTCAAACAAATTTACAAGAAAAAAACAAACAACCCCATCAAAAAGTGGGCAAAGGATATGAACAGACACTTCTCAAAAGAAGACATTTATGCAGCCAACAGACACATGAAAAAATACTCATCATCACTGGCCATCAGAGAAATGCAAATCAAAACCACAATGAGATGCCATCTCACACCAGTTAGAATGGCGATCATTAAAAAGTCAGGAAACAACAGGTGCTGGAGAGGATGTGGAGAAATAGGAACACTTTTACACTGTTGGTGGGACTGTAAACTAGTTCAACCATTGTGGAAGACAGTGTGGTGATTCCTCAAGGATCTAGAACTAGAAATACCATTTGACCCAGCCATCCCATTCCTGGGTATATACCCAAAGGATTATAAATCATGCTGCTATAAAGGCACATGCACAGGTATGTTTACTGCGGCACTATTCACAATAGCAAAGACTTGGAACCAACCCAAAAGTCCATCAGTAATTGACTGGATTAAGAAAATGTGGCACATATACACCATGGAATACTATGCAGCCACAAAAAAGGATGAGTTCATTTTCTTTGTAGGGACATGGATGAAGCTGGAAACCATCATTCTCAGCAAACTATCGCAAGAACAAAAAACCAAACACTGCATGTTCTCACTCATAGGCGGTAATTGAACAATGAGAACACTTGGACACAGGAAGGGGAACATCGCACACTGGCATCTGTTGAGGGGTGGGGGGAGGGGGAGGGAAAGCATTAGGAGATATGCCCAATGTAAATGACGAGTTAATGGGTGCAGGACACCAACATGTATACATGTATACATATGTAACAAACCTGTACGTTGTGCATATGTACCCTAGAACATAAAGTATAATAATGAAAAAAATAAAAACTGAAAAAAAAAACTCACCATCATTCTTATCACCACTGTTATTGTTAATAACAGCATTCCCAAATCATTCTGTCATCTTTACATTTTGTTACCTGGAAATTTGTTTGTCCTTTCCAAAGGCAAAATATATACAAGTTTTTCTTGACTTTGTGCTGTCAATTTGGCATCAGAGATGTGCTGCTTAACCAGTGATGTTATACTCTCTGGATCACACCTTTCATTCAGATGCAAACTAACATTTAAAAAGAATAAAAGTTATTTTTATCAAAAAAATACATTCTCAAAAAAAGACCACAGACTGAAAGAAAAAAACTGTAAAAAATATATTAAAAAAGGACTTGTAGTCATAAAAGTCATAAAACAGCTAGTTAAATATAACTAGATGTTAGATTCGGTCAAAAGCTTTTTATACATACAACTCAATAAGGCAAATGCAAAAATGGTTCTTCCATATCTGGGAAGATGGAGTAAGTGTACTTTTCTGTATTCCTCTTTCTTTCTTTCTTTCTTTTTTTTTTTTTTTGAGACAGAGTTTCACTCTTTCTGCCCAGGCTGGAGTACAATGGCATGATCTTGTCTCACTGCAACCTCTGCCTCCCAGGTTCAAGCGATTCTCCTGCCTCAGCCTCCTGAGTAGCTGGGGTTACAGGCATGTGCCACCATGGCTGGCTAATTTTGTAATTTTTTTTTAGTAGAGATGGGATTTCTCCGTGTTGGTCAGGCTGGTCTCCAACTCCTGATCTCAGGTGATCCACCTGCCTCAGCCTCCCAAAGTGCTGGGATTACAGGCATGAGCCACTGCTCCTGGCCCTCTATTCCTCTTTCTAAGTACAATTAAAATCCCTGGACATTAATATAAAATAAGTACAAGAAGACAAAGAAACATGAAGAGAATCAGGGAGGCCTGCTAAGGAACTCTGGGCCTGATGAACATTATGATGATGAGCACTCTGGGCATTCTTTTGGCCAGATACATCCTAGACTTGGAGCTGAAGAAGCTGGCAACCTATAAATAATAACAAGTGCAAACAAACAAACAAACCAACAAAAGCCTCAATAAAGGTCTAAGAAAGGGGTAGCCTATGAAGATAGAAAATATGTAGACAACCAAGCAAAGAATTTATAACTCAGTCCTCAAAAGCAAATGCAACAAAAACAAATATTGACAGTTGGGACCTAATTAAACTAAAGAGCTTCTGTATAGCATGGTGCCATGCGCCTGTAGTCCCCAGCTACTTGGGAGGCTGAGGCAGGAGAATCGCTTGAACCTGGGAGGCGGAGGTTGCAGTGAGCTGAGATTGTGCCACTGCTCTCCAGCCTGGTGACAGAGCAAGACTCTGTCTCAAAAAAAAAAAAAAAAAAGAAAGAAAAAGAAAAGAAAAGAAAAGAAAAAACAGACAACTTACAAAATGGGAGAAAATATTTGCACACTATGCATCTGACAAGGGAAAAATCCAGAATCTATAAGGAATTTAAACAAATTGATAAGAAAAAACAAACAACCCCATTAAAAAGAGGGCAAAGGACATGAATAGACACTTCTCAAAAGAAGATGTACAAGTGACCAACAAACGTATAAAAAACTGCTCAATATCACAAATCATCAGAGAAATGCAAATCAAAACCACATTGAGATACCATCTCACACCAGTCAGAATGGCTATTATTAAAAAGTCAAAAAAGAACAGATGTTGGCAAAGTTGTGGAGAAAAGGGAACACTCAGACATTTTTGGTAGGACTGTAAATTAGTTCAGCTCCTGTGGAAAGCAATTTGGAGATTTCTCAAAGAACTAAAAATAGAATTACTATTAGACTCAGCAATCTCATTACTGGGTGTATATCCTAAAGAAAATACATTGTTCTATCAAAAAGACACCTGAACTTGTATGTTCATCGCAGCACTATTCACAATAGTAAAGACATAGAATCAACTTAGATGCCCCAAAACAAGTGGTATTTGGTTTTTTGTTTATGTGTTAATTCACTTAAGATAACGGCCTCCAGCTGCATCCATGTTGCTGCAAAGGGCATGATTTCATTCCTTTTTATGGCTGCATAGTATTCCATGGTTTGCGTGTACCACATTTTCTTTATCCAAGATTGGATAAAGAAACAAAAAACAAAACACAGAAACAAAAAACCAGGTATCACGTGTTTTCACTTATAAGTAGGAGGTAAACATTGGGTATACACAGACACAAAGATGGGAACAATAGACACTGGGGACTCCAAAAGAGGGAGGAAATAGGGCAAGGGGTGAAAAACTACCTATTTGGTACTGTGGCCACTATATGCGTAATGGGTTCGATTGAAGCCCAAACCTTAGCATTATGCAGAGTATCTATGTAACAAACCCACCCTTGAATATGAAAAGAAAAACAAATTTAAAACATTTAATTGGTTTATTAAATTATCAGAACAAACAAGTCTTTCGAAAGAAAAAAAATATTCAGGCAATGATCTCTTCACTTCAGCCAAACACCATGAAAAACATCTGTGGTCTCTGTCCTTCCCTGCACTACCCCTGCCCTGCCCCGCCATGCCATCATGGGGCAAATGGAATCTTAGACTTTCACCCTTGTGTGGCTGTAGAAAGAAACCCAATACCACCCCAAAAAGGTGGTGTCAGAGGAAGACAAGCAGGGAGCTGGGACAGTATGCTTTGTGTATCAGCAAAGATTATGTGGAGTACCTGAGCTTACATCACATTCAGCAGTTATGAGTTAGTCATCCTCTCCCCATTGGTTAGGTGTTAAATCAAAACCAGAGGAGTCAAGACCTTTACTATAGCTTAGTGATAATGAGGCCACCCCCACTAGTGTCAGTGGAGACCATGTGGGGAGCTGAAAATCACAGTCCTGCTGAGCAATAACAAAGAGCCCTCAACACGCAGGTGTCAGTCAAGGCTGAGTGAGAAACCTGAACTTCTACTCCCATCCAGTAGTAATCCAGGATGGCAGCCCCCCTACTTCCCCTTCCAGAGTAGTGTCAGAAAAATACAGCTTAAAGAAATTTAAAATGATATCTTGAGTTTCATTACACAATATGAAAATGTCAAATTTTCAATTGAAAATTACTAATCAAAATAAAAAGAACCAGAAAGAGCTCAAACTGAATAAAAAAGATAATTAATACATATTAATACCAGATAACAGACATTTTAGAATTATCTGACAAAGATTTTAAAGCAGCCATAATAAAAATACTTCCATGGGCAATTATGAATATGCTTGTGATAAGTGAAAAAAATAAAAAGTCTCAGCAAATAAATAGAAAACACAAAAACCAACCAAATGCAATTTTAGAACTGAAAAACACAATGACTAGAAAAACCCCCAGTGGATGAGATCAACATCAGATGAAGAGAACAGAGGAGAGAATAAGTGAAAAGAGTACAATAGAAATTAATCTAAACAACAGAGAGAAAACAGAATTAAAAAACTGAACAGGATTTCAGGACTTATAAGACTATCACAAAAGATCTAATATTTGTGGCATTGGAGTCTCAGAAGGAGGAAAAAAAAGAGTATAGCTGAAAAAATACTTGAAGAATAATGACTGAAAATGTCCCCAAATTTGTCAAGAGATATAAACCTACAGATCCCAAATAAGATAGACCTTCACAATTCATTCCAAGATGCACCATGATTAAACTTCCGAGAACTAAAGAAAAAAAATCTTGAAATCCAAAGGAAAAATGACACTTTCACTATTAGGAAAAAATTAGAACAACAGCATTTTTCTGAAAGAAATAATGAATGTCAGAAGGAAGTGGCACAATATTTTTCAGGTGTTGAGAGAAAAGAAAACTGTCAACCAATAATCCTATACCCAGGGAAAATATTTTTCAAAAATTAAGGGGAAATCATGATATTCTCAGACAAGGTAAACCTAAGTAAATTTGTTGCCTGTAGACCTATCCTCAAAGAATGGCTAAAGGATATTCTCTAAACAGAAAGGAAATGATAAAAGTAGAAACCTAGAAACATCAGGAAAGAAGGGACATGATAAGGAAAAATATGGCTAAGACAATACACTTTGCTATCCTCTTGAATTCTAAATATATATACAGAAAATATTTAAGACAATTATAAATAGGGGAGGGTGAAAGAAAGTAAAGGAAGGTAAGATTTCTGTATGCCACACAAGCTAGAAAACAATGACTATATATACACACATACATATATATATGTGTGCATGTGTACACACACACACACACACACACAACATAATACCTAGAATAACCATTAAAGAAGCTATAGTAAGAGATACACTGAAGATCGCCATAGATTAATCAAAATGGAATTCTAAAAACAATTCCTGTAACCCATAGGAAAGAATGCAAAAGAAAACACAATGGAGAGAACAAACAAAAAAGCAAATGAAAGGTAAATACACAGACTTAAGCCCTAACATATAAACAATTATGTAGAATGTAAATAGTGTATATCTACTCCAAGTAAAAGATAAATCTGCAGAGTGAATAAAAAACATGACCTAAGTATACAAAATCTATTAGAAACTCATTTCAAATGTAACAACATAGGCAAATTAAAAGTAAAATGATGGAAAATATATACCATGTAAGCATTAATCAAAAGAAAGCCAATGTGGCTGTATTTTTTTTTTTTTTTGAGACAGCATCTAGCTCTGTCACCCAGGCTGGAGTGCAGTGGCACAATCTCGGCTCACTGCAAGCTCTGCCTCCCAGGTTCAGGCCATTCTCCTGCCTCAGCCTCCCAAGTAGCTGGGACTACAGGCTCCCGCTACCACGCCCGGCTAATTTTTTGTATTTTTAGTAGAGATGGAGTTTCACCGTGTTAGCCAGGATGGTCTTGATCTCCTGACCTCGTGATCCGCCTGCTTCGGCCTCCCAAAGTGCTGGGATTACAGTCGTGAGCCACCGCGCCCAGCCTGATGTGGCTGTATTAATATCATACAAAGTAGAATTCAGAGCAGATAAAATTATCAGTGACAGAGAGAGGCATTATATAATGATAAAAGGGCCAATCCACCAACAAAACATAGCAATTCTAAAGCCATATGCATAAAACAACATAGCTGAAAAAGATGTGTAGCAGAAACTGATAAAACTGAAAGGAGAAATACACACATCCACAATAGGACAACTAGACAGAAAAGCAGCAAGTTATAAAAGAACTGAACAAAACCATCAACCCACAGGATCTAATTTATAGCAGATTCTACCCATAACAGCAGAATACACATTCTTTTCAAGTGCCTGTGGAGCATATTCCAAGATAGTCCACGTCCTAAGCCATAGAACAAATGCCAACAAAAATCATAAAATTAAAATCATACAGAACGTGTATTTTTTAATTTTTATTTTAGGTTTTGGGGTACCTGTGAAGGCTTGTTACATAGATAAACGTGTTACAGGGGTATGGTGTACATACTATTACATCACCCAGGTATTAAGCTCAGTACCTAATAGTTATCTTTTCTGTTTTTCTCCCTCCTTCCATCCCCACTCAAGTAGACCCCAGTGTCTATTGTTGCCTTCTTTGTGTTTATAAGTTTTTATCATTTAGCTCCCACATATTAGTGAGAATATGTGGTACTTGGTTTGTTTGTTTGCTTAGGATGATGGCCTGTAGCTCCATCCATTTTCCTGCAAAAAACATGATCTTATCGTTTTATGGCTGCATAATTATGGTGTATATGTACCACATTTTCTTTATCCAGTCTGTCATTGATAGGCATTTAGGTTGATTCCATGTCTTTGCTATTGTGAACAGTGCTGCAGTGAACATTTCTGTGCATGTGTCTTATGGTGGAATGCTTTCTATTCCTCTGGATATATACCCAGTAATAGGATTGCTGGGTTGAATGGCAGTTCTGCTTTTAGGTCTTCAAGGAATTGCCGTACTTCTTTCCACAGTGGTTGAACTAACTTACACTCCCACCAACAGTGTATAAGGGTTCCCTTTTCTCCACAACTTTTCCAGCATCTGTTATTTTTTATTTTTATATAATAGCCAAAGAACATATTTTCTAACCACAATATCTAGAAACATCAAGAAAGAAGAAGGGACATGATAAGGAAAAATATGGCTAAGACAATACACTTTGCTATCCTCTTGAATTCTAAATATATATACAGAAAATATTTAAGACAATTATAAATAGGGGAGGGTGAAAGAAAGTAAAGGAAGGTAAGATTTCTGTATGCCACACAAGCTAGAAAACAATGACTCTATATATATACACACACACATATATATATATGTGTGCATGTGTACACACACACACACACACACAACATAATACCTAGAATAACCATTAAAGAAGCTATAGTAAGAGATACACTGAAGATCGCCATAGATAAATCAAATCAATAAGATAAATATAACAGAAAAATTGCCAGGCATTTGACAACTAAACAATATATTTCTAAATAACTCACACATCAAAGATGAAGTTCTTAGATAAATAAAAACTACACCAAACTAAATGGAAATGAAAATATAACATATAAAACTTTGTCTAACAAAGCTAAAAAAGTGCTGAAAGTTAAATTTATAGTACAAAATGCCATTAGAAAAGAGGAAAAGTCTAAAACAAATAATCTAAGCTCTCACTTCAGAAGCCTAAATTTAAAAAAGAGCAAAAAAAATCCAAAACAAGCAGAAGTAAGGGAAAAAAGATACATCACTAGAGAACTCCTCAAACTGAAATACAAAGAAAATAAAGAATAAAAAAATGAAGCAGAATATCCAAGAACCATGGGGCAATAACAAAAGGCATAACATATATGTAATGTGAATTCCAGAATGAGGAGAAAACAACAGAACTATTTGAAGCAATAATGGTTGAGAATTTTCAAAAATTAATGACAGATATGCCAAACCACAGGTCCAGGAAGCTTAGGTAGGGCCTATATCAAAAGTGTCTACATGTAGGGATATCATATTTAAACTGGAAAAACAACCAGGTTACATTCCAAGATGGCCGAATATGAACAGCTCCGGTCTGCAGCTCCCAGCGTGATTGATGCAGAAGATTAGTGATTTCTGCATTTCCAACTGAGCCTCTGCTGGTGATACCCAGGCAAACAGGGTCTGGAGTAGACCTCCAGCAAACTCCAACAAACCTGCAGCTGAGGGACCTGATTGTTAGAAGGAAAACTAACAAACAGAAAGGAATAGTATAAACATCAACAATAAGGACATCCATACCAAAACCCCATCTATAGGTCACCCCAATACCAAAGAGCAAAGGTGGATAAAACCACAAAGATAAGGAGAAACCAGAGCAGAAAAGCTGAAAATTCTGAAAACCAGAGTGCCTCTTCTCCTCCAAAGGATCAGAGCTCTTCATCAGCAATGGAACAAAGCTTGACGGAGAATGATTTTCATGAGTTGACAGAAGTAGGCTTCAGAAGGTCGGTAATAACAAACTTCTCCGAGTTAAAGGAGGATATCTGAACCCATCGCAATGAAGCTAAAAACCTTGAAATAAGGTTAGACGAATGGCTAACTAGAATAAACAGTGTAGAGAAGACCTTAAATGACATCATGGAGCTGAAAACCATGGCATGAGAACTTCGTGACGCATGCACAACCTTCAATAGCTGATTCGATCAAGTGGAACAAAGGGTATCAGTAATTGAAGATCAAATTATGAAATAAAGGGAGAAGACTAGGTTAGAGATAAAAGAATAAAAAGAAACCAACAAAGCCTCCAAGAAATATGGGACTATGTGAAAAGACCAAATCTACGTATGATTGGTGTGCCTGAAAGTGACTGGGAGAATGGAACCAAGTTGGAAAACACTCTTCAGGATATTATCCAGGAGAACTTCCCCAACCTACAAAGGCAGGCCAACATTCAAAGTCATGAAATACAGAGAACACCACAAAGATACTCCTCAAGTAGAGCAACCCCAAGACACATAATTGTCAGATTCACCAAGGCTGAAATGAAGGAAAAAATGTTAAGGGCAGCCAGAGAGAAAGGTTGAGTTACCCACAAAGGGAAGCCCATCAGACTAACAGCAGATCTCTTGGCAGAAACCATACAAGCCAGAAGAGAGCGGGGGCTAATATTCAACATTCTTAAAGAAAAGAATTTGCAACTCAGAATTTCATATCCAGCTAAACTAAGCTTCATGAGTGAAGGAGGAATAAAATCCTTTACAGACAAGCAAATGCTGAGAGATTTTGTCACTACCAGACCAGCCTTACAAGAGCTCCTGAAGTAAGCACTAAACATGGAAAGGAACAACTGGTACCAGCCACTGCAAAAACATGCCAAATGGTAAAGAACATCGATGCTATGAAGAAACTGCATCAACTAATGGGCAAAATAACCAGCTAACATCATAATGATGAGATCAAATTCACACATAATAATATTAACCTTAAATGTAAATGGGCTAAATGCCCCAATTAAAAGACACAGACTGGCAAATTGGATAAAGAGTCAAGACCCATCAGTGTGCTATATTCAGGAGAACCATCTCATGTACAGAGACACACATAGGCTCAAAATAAAGGGATGGAGGAAGATTTACCAAGCAAATGGAGAGAAAAAAAAAAAAAAGCAGGGGTTGCAATCCTAGTCTCCAAAAAAACAGACTTCAAACCAACAAAGATCAAAAGAGACAAAGAAAGCCATTACATAATGGTAAAGGGATCAGTTCAACAAGAAGAGCTAACTATACTAAATATGTATACACCCAATACAGGAGGACCCAGATTCATAAAGCAAGTCCTTAGAGACCTAAAAAGAGACTTAGACTCCCACACAATAATCATGGGAGATTTTAACAACCCACTGTCAATATTAGACAGATCAATGAGACAGAAAGTTAACAAGGATTTCCAGGACTTGAACTCAGCTCTGCACCAAGCAGGCCTAATAGACATCTACAGAACTCTCCACCCCAAATCAACAGAATATATATTCTTCTCAGCACCACATCACACTTATTCCAAAATTGACCACATAGTTGAAAGTAAAGCACTCCTCAGCAAATGTAAAAGAACAGAAGTCACAACAAACTGTCTCTCAGACCACAGCACAATCAAATTAGAACTCAGGATTAAGAAACTCAATAGAAACCGCACAACAACATGGAAACTGAAGAACCTGCTCCTGAATGACTACTGGGTGCATAACGAAATGAAGGCAGAAATAAAGATGTTCTTTGAAACCAATGAGAACAAAGACACATGTACAAGAATCTCTGGGACACATTTAAAGCAGTGTGTAGAGGAAAATTTATAGCACTAAATGCCCACAAGAAAAAGTGGGAAAGATCTAAAATTGACACCCTAACATCACAATTAAAAGAACTAGAGAAGCAAGAGCAAACACATTCAAAAGCTAGCAGAAGGGAAGAAATAACTAAGATCAGAGCAGAACTGAAGGAGATAGAGACACAAAAAACCCTTCAAAAAAATCAAAGAATCCAGGAGGCTGGTTTTTTGAAATGATCAACATAATCCTTTGGGTATACACCCAGTAATGGAATCGCTGGGTCAAATGGTATTTCTAGTTCTAGATCCTTGAGGAATCACCACACTGTCTTCCACAATGGTTGAACTAGTTTACTCTCCCACCAACAGTGTAAAAGTGTTCCTATTTCTCCACATCCTCTCCAACATCTGTTGTTTCCTGACTTTTTAATGATCGCCATTCTCACTGGCGTGGGATGGTATCTCATTGTGGTTTCGATTTGCATTTCTCTGATGACCAGTGATTATGAGAATTTTTTCACATTTCTGTTGGCTGCATAAATGTCTTCTTTTGAGAAGTGTCTATTCATACCCTTTGCCCACTTTTTGATGGTTTTTTTAAATTGTAAATTTGTTTAAGTTATTTGTAGATTCTGGATATTAGCCCTCTGTCAGATGGGTAGATTGCAAAAATTTTCTCCCATTCTGTAAGTTGCCTGTTCACTTGGACGACAGTTTATTTGCTGTGGAGAAGCTCTTTAGTTTAATTAGATTCCATTTGTCTATTTTGGTTTTTGCTGCCATTGCTTTTGATGTTTTAGTCATGAAGTCTTTGCCCATGCCTATGTCATGAATGGTATTGCCTAGGTTTTTTTCTAGGGTTTTTATGGTGTTAGGACTTACTTTTAAGTCTTTAATCCATCTTGAGTTAATTTTTGTATACGGTGTAAGGAAGCGATCCAGTTTCAGCTTTCTACATATGGCTAGCCAGTTTTCCCAGCACCATTTATTAAATAGGGAATACTTTCCCCATTTCTTGTTTTTGTCAGTTTTGTCCACTCATGATTTGGCTCTCTGTGTGTCTATTATTGGTGTATAGGAATGCTTGTGATTTTTGCATATTGATTTTGTATCCTGAGACTTTGCTTGAATTGCTTATCCGCTTAAGGAGATTTTGGGCTGAGACGATGGGGTTTTCTAAATATACAATCATGTCATCTGCAAACAGGGACAATTTGACTTCCTCTTTCCCTAATTGAATATGCTTTATTTCTTTCTCTTGCCTGATTGCCCTGGCCAGAACTTGCAACACTATGTTGAATAGGAGTGGTGACAGAGGGCATCCTTGTCTTGTGCTGGTTTTCAAAGGGAATGCTTCCAGTTTTTGTCCATTCATTATGATATTGGCTGTGGGTTTGTCATAAATAGCTCTTATTATTTTGGGATACGTTCCATCAATACCTAGTTTATTGAGAGTTTTTAGCATGAAGAGCTGTTGAATTTTGTCAAAGGCCTTTTCTGCGTCTATTGAGATAATCATGTGTTTTTTTTCATTGGTTCTGTTTATGTGATGGATTACTTTTATTGATTTGCATATATTGAACCAGTCTTGCATCCCAAGGATGAAAGTGACTTGATCGTGGTGGATAAGGTTTTTGATGTGCTGCTGGATTCAGTTTGCCAGTATTTTATTGAGGATTTTCGCATTGATATTCGTCAGGGATATTGGTCTAAAATTCCCTTTTTTTGTTGTGTCTCCTCCAGGCTTTGGTGTCAGGATGATGCTAGCCTCATAAAAAGAGTTAGGGAGGATTCCCTCTTTTTCTACTGATTGAAATAGTTTCAGAAGGAATGGTACCAGCTCCTCTTTGTACCTCTGGTAGAATTTGGCTGTGAATCCATCTGATCCTGGACTTTTTTTGGTTGGTAGGCTATTAATTATTGCCTCAATTTCAGAGCCTGTTGTTGGTCTATTCAGAGATTCAACTTCTTCCTGTTTTAGTCTTGGGAGGGTGTATGTGTCCAGGAATTTATCCATTTCTTCTAGATTTTCTAGTTTATTTGTGCAGAGGTGTTTATAGTATTCTCTGATGGTAGTTTGTGTTTCTGTGGGATCGATGGTGATATCCCCTTTATCATTTTTTATTGCATCTATTTGATTCTTCTCTCTTTTCTTCTTTATTAGTCTTGCTAGCAGTCTATCAATTTTGTTGATCTTTTCAAAAAACCGGCTCCTGGATTCAATGATTTTTTTGAAGGGTTTTTTGTGTCTCTGTCTCCTTCAGTTCTGCTCTGATCTTAGTTATTTCTTGCCTTCTGCTAGCTTTTGAATGTGTTTGCCCTGCTTCTCTAGTTCTTTTAATTGTGATGTTAGGATGTCAATTTTAGATCTTTCCTGCTTTCTCTTGTGGGCATTTAGTGCTATAAATTTCCCTCTACCCTCTGCCTTAAATGTGTCCCAGAGATTCTTGTACACTGTGTCTTTGTTCTCATTGGTTTTAAAGAACATCTTTATTTCTGCCTTCATTTCATTATTTACCCAGTAGTCATTCAGGAGCAGGTTCTTCAGTTTCCATGCAGTTGGGTGGTTTTGAGTGAATTTCTTAATCCTGAGTTCTAATTTGATTGTGCTGTGGTCTGAGAGACAGTTTGTTGTGACTTCTGTTCTTTTACATTTGCTGAGGAGTGCTTTACTTCCAACTATGTGGTCAATTTTAGAATAAGTGTGATGTGGTGCTGAGAATGTATCTTCTGTTGATTTGGGGTGTAGAGTTCTGTAGATATCTATTAGGCCTTCTTGGTCCAGAGCTGAGTTCAAGTCCTAGATATCCTTGTTAATCTTCTGTCTCATTGATCTGTCTAATATTGACAGTGGGGTGTTAAAATCTCTCATTATTACTGTCTGGGAGTCTAAGTCTCTTTTTAGGTCTCTAAGGACTTGCTTTATGAATCTGGGTCCTCCTGTATTGGGTGCATATATATGTAGGATAGTTAACTCTTCTTGTTGAATTGATCCTTTTACCATTATGTAGTGGTCTTCCTTGTCTCTTTTGATCTTCGTTGGTTTAAAGTCTGTTTTATCAGAGACTAGAATCACAACCCCTGGTTTGTTGTTGTTGTTGTTGTTGTTGTTGTTGCTTTCTATTTGCTTGGTAGATCTTCCTGCATTCCTTTATTTTGAGCCTATGCGTGTGTTTGCATGTGAGATGGGTCTCCTGAATATAGCATACTGATGAGTCTTGACTCTTTATCCAATTTGCCAGTCTGTGTCTTTTAATTGGGGCATTTAGCCCATTTACATTTAAGGTTAATATTGTTATGTGTGAATTTGATCCTGTCGTTATGATGTTAGCTGGTTATTTTGCCCATTAGTTTATGCAGTTTCTTCATAGCTTGGATATTCTTTACCATTTGGCATGTTTTTGCAGTGGCTGGTACCGGTTGTTCCTTTCCATGTTTAGCACTTCCTTCAGGAGTTCTTGTAAGGCCGGTCTGGTAGTGACAAAATCTCTCAGCATTTGCTTGTCTGTAAAGGATTTTATTTCTCCTTCATTTATGAAGCTTAGTTTGACTGGATATGAAATTCTGAGTTGCAAATTCTTTTCTTTAAGAATGTTGAATATTAGCCCCCACTCTCTTCTGGCTTGTATGGTTTCTGCCAAGAGATCTGCTGTTAGTCTGATGGGCTTCCCTTTGTGGGTAACCTGACCTTTCTCTCTGGCTGCCCTTAACGTTTTTTCCTTCATTTCAACTTTAGTGAATCTGACAATTGTGTGTCTTGGGGTTGCTCTACTCGAGGAATATCTTTGTGGTGTTCTCTGTATTTCCTGAATTTGAATGTTGGCTTGCCTTGGTAGGTTGGGGAAATTCTCCTGGATAGTGTCCTGAATAGCATTTTCTACACTGTGTTCCATTCTCCCTGTCACTGTCCAGTATACCAATCAAACGTAGATTTGGTCTTTTCACATAGTCCCATATTTCTTGGAGGCTTTGTTCGTTTCTTTTCACTCTTTTTTCTCTAATCTTGTCTACTTGCTTTATTTCATTAATATGATCTTCAATCACTGATATCCTTTCTTCCACTTGATTGAATCAGCTATTGAAGCTTGTGCTTGCATCAAGAAGTTCTCATGCCATGGTTTTCAGCTCCATCATGTCGTTTAAAGTCTTCTCTACAGTGTTTATTCTAGTTAGCCATTCGTCTAACCTTTTTTCGAAGTTTTTCTCTTCGTTGCAATGGGTTCAAACATCCTCCTTTAGTTTGGAGAAGTTTGTTATTACCGACCTTCTGAAGCCTACTTCTCTCAACTCATCAAAGTCATTCTCCATCCCGTCTTGTTCTCTTGTTGGCGAGGAGATGCAATCCTTTGAAGGAGAAGTGACGCTCTGGTTTTTGGAATTTTCAGCTTTTCTGCTCTGGTTTCTTCCCATCTTTGTGGTTTTTTATCTACTTTTGTTCTTTGATGTTGCTGACCTACAGATGGGGTTTTGGTGTGGGTGTCCTTTTTGTTGATGTTGATGCTATTCCTTTCTGTTTGTTAGTTTTCCTTCTAACAGTCAGGTCCCTCAGCTGCAGGTCTGTTGGAGTTTGCTGGAGGTCCACTCCAGACCCTGTTTGCCTAAGTATCACCAGCGAAGGCTGCAGAACAGCTAGTATTGCTGTCTGATCCTTCCTCTGGAAGCTTCATCCTGGAGGGGCACCCACCTGTTTCAGTTGTCTGTCGGCCCATACTGGGAGGTGTTTCCCAGTCAGGCTACACAGGGGTCAGGGGCCCACTTGAGGAGGCAGTCTGTCCATTCTTGGAGCTGGAATGCTGTGCTGAGAGAACCACTGCTCTCTTTAGTGCTGTCAGACAGGGAAGTTTAAGTCTGCAGAAGCTGTCTGTTGCCTTTTGTTCTACTATGCCCTGCCCCCAGAGGTGGAATCTATAGTGGCAGTAGGCCTTGCTGAGCTGGGATGGGCTCCACCCAGTTCTTGCTTCCAGGCCTCTTTGTTTACACTGTGAGCTACTCAAGCCTCAGCAATGGAGGACGCCCTTCCCCCTATTTCAATAGATATTTAAAAAGCATTCAAGAAAATTGAACATCACTTAATGAAAAAAACTCTCAAAAAATTGGTGAAGAAACATACTTCAACTTGATAAGGACCATGTATGACAAATCCACAGTTAATATCATACTGAATGGGGAAAAATTGAAAGCCTTTCCACTAAGATCTGGAACAAGACAAGAATGCCTACTTTCATCACTTTTATTCAACATTGTACTGAAAGTCCTAGCTAGAGTAATTAGACAAGATTAAAAAAAGTAAAGGGCATCCAAACTGGAATGAAGTCAAATTGTACTTGTTTACAGATGAAACAAACTTATATTTAGAAAAACCTAAACACTCGACTCAGAAACTACTAGAACTGATTAAGGAATTCTACAAGCTATAGGATACAAAATAAAGCTGGAGATATCACACTATCTGACTTAAAATTATACTATAAATCTATAGTAACCAAAACAGCATGTACTGGTACAAAAACAGACCCATAGACCATTGGAACAGAATAGAGAACCCAGAAATAAATCCACACACTTAGGGCAACTTATTTTTGACAAAGACATCAAGAACATACATTGGGAGAAAGGATAATCTCTAATAAATAGTGCTGAGAAAACTGGATATCTGTATGTAGAAGAATGAAACTGGATCTCCATCTTTTACCACAAAGAAGAATCAACTCAAAATGGATTAAAGACTTAAATGTAAGACGTGAAACTATGAAACCACTAAAAGAAAACACTGGGGAAACACTACAGGACATTGATCTGGGCAAAGAGATTTTGAGTAAGACCTCAAAAGCACAGGCAACAAAGGCAAAAATATACAAATGGGATTACATCAAGCCAAAAAGCTTCTGCACAGCAAAGGAAATGGTAAAAGAAGTAAAGGGATAACCTGAAGAATGGGAGAAAATATTTGCAAACTCTCCATCCAACAAGGGATTAATATCTAGAATATAAAGGAAACTCAAATGACTCGATACCAAAAAACAAACAATCTGGTTTTAAAAATGGATTAAATACCTGAATCGACATTTCTCAAAACAAGAAATACAAATGGCCAGTAGATATATGAAAAATGGCCAACATCACTAATCATCAGGGAAAGCAAATCAAAACCACAATGAGATACCATCTCACTCAGTTAGAATGACTGTTATCAAAAAGACAAAAAATAACAAATGCTGGCGGGGATGTGGAGAAAAGGGAACATGCATACACTGTTGGGGAGGAAAGTAGTACACAGTTATGGGAAAAGTATGGAGGTTCCTAAAAAAACTAAAAATAAAACTACTATATGATCCAGCAATTCCACTGCTAAGTATATAACCAAAAGAAAGGCAATCAGTATCTGAAAGCAATATCTTCACTCCCATATTTATTGCCTCATTATTCACAATACCCAAGATAAGGAACCAATCTAAGTGTCCCTTAATGAATAAATTCATAAAGAAAATGTACCTATACAGAATGGAATATTATTTGACCATAAAAAATGAAACCTTATCATTTAAAGCAACATAGATGGAACTGGAGGTCATTATGGTAAGAGAAACAAGCCAGGCACAGAAAGACAAACATCATGTGTTTTACTCATATGGGAGAGCTTAGAAGGTGGATGTCATGGAAGGAAAGGATAGAATGGTGGTCACCAAAGGCTGGGAAGGGAAAAGGAAAGGGAGGTACGAAGATAAATGGATTAAGGGGTAAAAATATACAGTTAGATAAAAGAAATAAGTTCTCGTATTCACTAGTATAGTAGGGAAATTATAGTTAACAATAATTCATTGAGAAGAATTCTAACATTTCCAACACAAAGAAAAGGTAAATGTTTGAGGTGATGTATATCCCAATGATACTAATTTGATTATTACACATTGTATAAAGGTATCAAAATATCACACATACCCCTAAAATATGTACTACTATAATATAGCAACAAAACATTAAAAAAAAAGAATACAAGAAGAAGAAGACCCATTTTCGTGGAGGGAATCAGATAATAAAACAGGACACATAGTAGGCAAGTTGGTGATATGTGATTTGGAGGAAAATAAAACAATGGAGTCTTAGAAGAGAGTCACAATTTAAATAGGGAGGTCAGATAAGGCCTTACAACTCAGTTGATCTCTGAGAAAAGGAGAGAGGGAAGGAGCCATCTTGGTTTCTGGGGGCAGAGTACCTGGTTGGAGGAAATAGCAACTGTGCAGAGCCTGTAGTGGGAACCTGCCTAGATTATTTGAGGTCTTTGTGGCTGGAAGGGAGTTAGTTAGGGGAAGGGCAGGGGGACTAGAATGTATTGTTTTATGGGCCATTGTGGGAACCTTGGCTTTTACTCTTAAGGAAATGAGGATTTTGAACAGAGTTGTGACATACTATGGCTTGTGGTTTAGCAGAAGGTGATATAAAAAATACATGTGGTCTTCATCTCCAGTTTCTGGCACAGAATTCCTAAAACCTTTGGAATTTGCTGAGTGATGGGAGTGTTTTTTGTATGTAAACAAGATGATTCAAGGGGTGGGAAAGCCCTAGAGAGTTTCAGGGTGGGGCTGGTCACCAGAATAACAAACCCTTGCTTAGAGGGTTAGAACTTCCAGACTTACCTCCTAGCTCTAGGGAGAGGAATGGGACTGCAGATGGAGTTCATTCTCCAGTGGCCAATGATTTAATCAAAACTGCCTATGGAATAAAAGCTCCATTAAAACTCTGAAACTACTAGAGTAGGTGAGCTTCCAGGTGGATGAACATATTGATGTGCTGGGAAGTTCAACTGCCTGGAGAAGGCACAGAAATTCTGCACACCCCACCCTCAATCTTCCAATGCCTTCACCTGTGCATCTCTTCCCTTTGGCTGTTCCTGAGTTGTAGCCTTTGTAACAAAACTGTAATGGTAAGAATAGCACTTTCCTTAGTTCTGTGAATCACCCTAGTGAATTATCAAACTGAAGGAGAGAGAGCAGTCGTGGGAACTCTTGAATTAGTAGTTGGCCAGGAAGAAGTGCAGGTAGCCTGGGGACCCCATTTGTGGCTGGGCCCTGAAGTACAGGCAGTCTTGTGGGACTTGTAGAACCCTTAACTTGTGGAGGTCTGTGCTAACTCTGGGTAGTTAGTGTCAGAAATGAATTGAATTATAGGAAACTCAGTTGGTATCAGAGAACTAGAGAATTGGTTATTGGAAAAGAGACAAAACACCGAATGACTCTGACTCTTGTGTGGAGGGTAGTAGGAAGGGGACCAACAGCAGAAGAGTCAGGGAGACAAACCAGCCACCTAATGTAAGTAACTGGGAGAGACAGCAGCAGTCATGATAAGACATACTTGTGATGCAGTGTGGGCAAGCCCCAAATTTGGGGCTTAGCCAGGGAGAGTTCTTGGCTTCACCCAGGAAATAATTCAAGGGTGAGGTGGTGGTGGTAGCAGCTGTTATTGAAGTGGCAGTGTATGGCCGCAGCAGAGGTCCTGCTCCTTGCAGAGCAGGGCTACCCCATAAGGCAGTGCGCCCAGAGCAGCGGCTCAGGGGCAGTTCTGCAGTCACATTTATAACCACTTTTAATTATATGCAAATTAAGGGATGGAGTATTCAGAAATTTCTAGTAAGGGGCAGTAACTTCTCGTGTTGCCATGGAAAGGGGTGGTAAATCTTAGGCGTTGCCATGGCAATGGTAAACTGACATGGAACACTGGTGGGGTGTCTTATGGAAAGCTGCTTTCCATAAGACCCTGTCTTAACTAGTCCTCAATTTGGTCCAGTGTCTGAGCCTTCCTCCTACCTCACTTGGATTATGGATGTATTTTGAAGAGAAAATCACTGTGATTTGCTTATGGGTTCCATCTGGGATGGGAGAGAAAGAGGAATTGAGACTGATTCAAGGAATTGGGCATGTGGAAATACAATGTAACTCTCAATGCCCCAGTGAAGGAAGTGTCTCTGGAGCCCTCTGGAAACATATTGTTAAGGGCTGGGTTAGCAGGTCACACAAGATTGTCAAAAGACAAAATTACAACAAATTCAGTTTGAAGATCTTAATTGGTTTTTATCTGCAATTCTAGAATAAGGCAACAACTCATAAAACAAAATGAGTGTTCCGTTGAGCCAAGCAAAGGAGGTTGGTTTTATAGACAGTAAAGGGCTGAGGAAAGCAGAAACAGAACAAAAAATGGGTTGGTTGTTTCAAAGTTACTTTTCTTCTAAAGCAGAAAGAACTTTTTAAAATTATGCTGGCTTAAACTGGCCTGTTTGGAGATTTGGTTATTCTCTCTCTCTCCTGATTTCTTGGAAAGTTAGATTAACAGCTTAATTTCAGCTTGGTGGTATGGAACTTCAGCAAGAGTGACTTCAGTTTGATTTGGTTTGTTGGGCCTGGTGCAAAAGTTCAGTTCAAACAAATAAATAGCCTCCTCTAAATCTTATTTAGCATAATAAATCCCTTCCAACACTCCCATCCTCCTATGCCTGTGAATTTCTTCTCCTATATTGTACCAAGGAATTTCTGGCATTTACACTACATTCAGTGTAAGTCACCATTTAGTCCACTCTCACTCAACCAAATAAGCCACAGTTAGAACCATAGCTGTCTCCAGCACACTGAATCCAGAGAGTCTAGTAAGTGCATTCACATTGATGGATGCAGATGGAACTACAACTGCTTCTGCCTCCTGTGCACATTCTTCTGGCAAGTTATCTGGTGGCTTCTTGCTCCTGCAACCCACCTCCTCCAGGAAATGTTCCCTGAGTCATTGCCAGCACAGTGACAAGCTCCCCAGAGAGGCAGCCCACTCGTGAGCCCAGCTCACTTATCTCATCTTCCTGCGTTGGGGAGGAAACTGCCTCCAGAGACCGGAATTCCTGGGGCCTGCAGGGATACCCCCGATGCTGCAGGGGGAGGGACGGAGCTCCCAGGCCCCTTCCTACCAGAACGTTCTACAACCCCCATATAAATTCTTAGAACCCAGAGTTCCACGGAGCATGAAACAGTCATCTGCTTTCACTTTCATGTTATTGAAATCATGTGACATCACAAGGTCACAGGGCTGGACCAAGAAGGGAACAAGACTTGGATCTCCTTCCAAGGTGTGCAAGAGGGCCATGTTGTAACATATTAACAGTATCTTTCATAAAAGAGGGGAGACAGCCAGTGGTGATGAAGAGAGATTTTTTTTTTAAGTTTTCAATTAAGGAACTTGAAATTCTGAACATTTACATGTGAAATTCAGCTGCAGCATATCTGGATATAAATAATACATTGAAATTTATGTAGTTAAGCTTTACAGGAGTCGGACAAGCTCTGAAAGGATTTGCATTTCATTCCGTTTTTTAAAAAATGTGTTAACTAAAAATAAAATAATTTCAGGCATATAAAGTAACTAAGTCAGTAAGGAGAATTTGCAATAGAAAATGAGTCACATTTAATTCAGTGCCTGTGTCTTAAACCATTCATGGGATTAATTTACAGGATAAAGTCACCCTGGGGGTGGGAGAGGGAGGAGGCTGCTCTGAATTATAAGCCAGGACATTGGTTCTGGCCTCCGGATTGGTTCCATCTTATTCTTCCCTGCTCTTCTTAGAACTAGCTCTCCTTTTTGTTTAAACAATGCCTGGTAAATATTTCTGCAGCTGGAGAGGTCGCAGGTGTGGCAAAGAAGGACAGGAGGTGAGAGGAGAGGAATAGATGGGGAGACCCATAGGCTGGGCTCTCTCCACATTCATCTTTTCCTTGATCCATCGCTTAGGGCTGCTTTTCTCCTGAGTGTTCAATTCCGAGCAGGCATTCAACAGCCTTTTGGTGATTATATGAGTCTCCTGAGAGGCTATAACAAAGCATGACAAACTGGGGGCTTCAACGAAGGAAAATTTATTTGTTACAGTTCTGGAGGCCGAATTCCAAGAGCAAGGTGCAAGCTGATTCAGTGCCTGGTGAGGGTCTGTTTCCTGGTTCATAGATGGCCCCTTCTTACTGTGTCTTCCCATGACAGAAGGGGCTAGGTAGGCTCTCTAGGGTCTCTTTTTAAAGAGCACTAATCCCAGTCATGACCTGATCACTTCCCAAAGGCCGCTAATACAATCACTTTGGGGGTTAACTTTCAACATATGAATTTTGAGTTGGGGGCACAGACGTTCAGACCATGGCAGTAGGTTTTCAGTTCTCCTGAGACTGTGCTGAAGAGTGGAATTTCTGGGTTGTATGGTAACTCTGTGGTTCATGTTTTGAGGAACCACTCCTTTTTTTTTTTCTCATTTAACATGTAAGGAAATGGAGGCTTGGATAGTTTAGGTCAACTGGCAAATGCAGCTAGTAAGCCAAACTGCTGGGAGTCCAGGCCAGCAGTTTTCACCCGGACCCCGTGCACGGAACTCCTCCATCACACTGACTTGCCGTGCATCCGGAAGGACTGGAAGTTATTTTGGTGAATGGGGGCAGGAAGGACTCCTGGGAAGATGTGTTACATCCTAGAAGTATGGGAGGACTTTTTGCATTTATGTGGGAGGAGAACAACTAGACCATGCATTTTGTGGGATGAACTGACAGAACAGAGGTTGAAGGAGCTGTTCCTTGAAGGGCCTTGCATACCATGCTCAGGAATTGAATGCAGAAAGATTTTAAGCAGAAGCGTAAGTATGAAAAATATATGCATGTAAAAGAAAAATGAAACCCAACCTCATATGAAAAGGCAAACACAGAGGAAAAAATATTTGCAGCCACATGACATTGGGTTAATAGCTTTGTTATATAAAGGACTCTTAAAACTGATGATGAAAACATTTAAACCTAACTAGATAAATGGGCAAAGGACATGAACAGATGATTCACAAAATAAGAAATGCAAAGCAGTAAACAAACATATGGAAACATGTTCAACTTCTAGTATAATCAAAGACATGCAAATTTAAACAACAGTAAGGGAAGCAATTCTTTGCCTATCAGATTAGCAAATGTTTGTCAAAATGATAATAGTCGATTCTGGCAAGAGGGAGCTATAAGAGAGGAATTCCCGCGCATCCTTGGTATGTTCAAATCCCGGATGCCAAATGCTCCCTTCCTCGTAGCTCTGTAATTCTGATCTGGCAATTAGTTCCCTCAGAAGCTCCATCTACATACTGTTTACAATAAAGACAAAAATTAGAAACAAGAAGGCAGAGGGTGTAGGAGACCAAAGTTCAGCGCATCATCTACATGTGAACGTCAGGGGGGTCACTCTAGCCCTGACATCTCAAGGAGCTCCAGAACTATGCAAGTAAAACTTTATTGTTTTATCCAAACTTGCTTTGCCACACTGATTTTTTCTTTCTTTCCAACTTTTAGTTTAGGTTCAAGGGGTACAAGTGCAGGTTTGTTATGTGGATAAATTGCATGGAGTGGGGATTTGGTATACAGATCATTTTATTACCCCGATACTCAGCATAATACCCGATAGGTAGTTTTTCTATCCTCACCCTCCTCCCACCCTCCACCCCCAAATAGGCCCTGGAGTCTGTTTCTCCTTCTTTATGTCCATGGATACTCAGTGTTTAGCTCCACTTATAAGTGAGAGCATGTGGTATTTGGATTTCTCTTCCTGCATTAATTCACTTAAGATAATGGCCTCCAGCTCCATCCATGTTGCTGCAAAGGACGTGATTTTATTCTTTTTTTTTTGTGGCTGTGTAGTATTCCGAAGACCACTCCCATTCTTAAGTTTCCTTAACAGTATCACTGGCTGAATTGTAATCCATTTCTCTCCTCCTCTTTTCCTTCATTTAATCTATTCCCCTCAAATTTTATAGTTATACCCCAGAAAGCCCCTTGAATCTGTTCTCTCACCTTCTTTCTAATTGCCATTGCTTTAAACCATCCCTTATTTTCTCACTCCTCAATTATTTCCAGAGCCTCCTCTCACAGGCTGTATCTCCTGTCTCCTGTCCCAGGGGGTATGGAGTGAGAAGGAAGGGGAAGTATCAAGGAAGAGACACAATAAGGCCTTCAACAGTATCTGTATGCTTTTATTTCTTATTTTTAGAATATCTGAAGCAAATATCCCAAAAGGGTAGGATTTATTGAATCTATTATATTAACCAGATATTCAGTACATTCTCTAAATTTGGAGTATTTAATAACAAAATGTTTCGCATCTCTTGTCTGATCTCCTATTTGGAAATTCCCCTTTATTCTCTTTCTTCTTTCACAATTCCTTTAAATATTTTAATAATAAGTAAATCTGATTATGTCACCCTTGACTTGAAAATTTCCATTAGCTTAGCTTTCTGTTTCTTACAGAATAAAATCCAAACTCATTAGCTTGACACAACGGGCTCTTCATACCCTATACCCAAGCCATGCTACACTTTATAGTTCCCCAAACCCTAACCTAAATGACTCTAGCCCCTACCCCGCACCTCTGCACATACCCTGCCTAGCACATCCACTCTCCAGCTCCCCATCTGGCAGCTCTCAACCCACTTTTCAAAGTCAAGGTCAAGCATCTCTTCCAGAAGAAAGCTTTCTCTGATGTTCTCAAAGCAGAGTTTGGTCATTCCTTTCTTTAGCTTCTCAAAAATATTTTGTTCATGACATTTATCATTGCTTTTACCACACTGCTTTGAAATTTGTCTTCATTGTTTCCTGTAATAACAGATTGTGAGTTCTGCAAGGACAGGGCTGGTGTCCTATTCATCTTGCAAATCCCAGGCTGAGTGCAGTGCCAAGAACATTGGGAGCCCTGTGAGTGCCATTAGAATGGAGGAAAGAGGAGAAGCAGAGAGTCCGTGTGCACCAGAACAGGTTTTTCCCTCCTCAATGGAAATAAGAGTGCAGACCAAAGTTTGTGTAGACTCAGTTTGGATGGCAGGTAGAGCCAAGCCAGTGAACAGAGAGTACTGTTGGAAGAGAACCTATTCCAATGGCAGAAGGCAGGATGGAAATGTTGAAAGTTTGAGGGCATTCTGTGAGGGCAGACGTGCATCCTGGACCAATCAGGCATACCCCTGGCCTTCAGTGATACAGAAAATGTGGTGGCTTGATGCTCAGATCTGCTTTAGATTTGAGGCATCTGTTCCCTTAGCTGCAGGGAGTGTGGCAACCAACCACTCTTGGTTGAGTAGCTTTGTAGGACTTGCCCTCAGCCCAAGAAAGCCACCTCATCTAAGTTCATGCCCCTTCCTGAGGTCAATGACTGGGCTGGCCAATGAGGGATGCAAAGGTCCAGCCTGCTTGCCTCCAGGCTGGGCAACTAAGGGTAACTCTAGCACCAGAGCTCCACATGGGATCATTTGAGGCTTTTTTGTTTCTGCAACAAAGTTCACCTTTTCCCCTTACCCATTTCTGCTTTCTTCACTGTCAAACAGGTGCTAATTCCTAAGTCACTCTTTAATAAACTTCTGGCATGAAAATCTCCATCTCAGTCTGTTTCCCAGAGAACTGACCTAAGACAAGTGATGTTGCAAGCGTTTATGTTTCTATTCCAATCTTTTTACTACGTTGGAAAATGCTTCCTTATACACAGCTACCAACATTCGCTCCCCAAATTTTTGAAGTTTTTTTTTTAATCATTTTGTTATTGGTCCGAAGGTTACTGACCAATGATCCCACCTCCTCTTCTTAAGACCTGAGTAAATGTTTTCTTGTTTTTGTTTTTGTAAAGATTGCTAAAGTGTCACTTATTTACTTACTTGAGTTGCATTATATTTCATCATATAGAGGTTTGAAATTAAAACAAATTGGCATTGAACTAGGAAGGTATAGACAACTTCGATATTTGGTTCCCCTCTCTATTAGCTAAATTGTTAGGGAAAAAACCTTTTAAAACTTCTTAGAATACTCCAATTTTAAAGGAAAAATAACTTTGACCAGACATATTTTTATTCCCAGTGAGTTGACTTTGAGGGATGAAGGCCTGTCTATATGAGCTGAGTGATAGGCTGTGGTTTGAGGGAGCTGGCTATAAAGTATGTTTGAGATTTTTAATTCGTGGGTTGGAATGCCAATTGTTTATTTGGAACAGCAAAGGCTGAGATGGTCAAACATCCAAACATGGTGGTATGTGCCCTTGAATGGCCCGTTTCAACAACGGGCTTTGCTTTGAGGATGTGTGTGGCTATGGTGTTGCATTGGAAAGAAGATAGAATTTGTGGGAGGAAACTTTGGAAAGCTGTCAGAAAATGAGACCCTCCTTCCTCCCTTTTCTCTTTAGAATGAACTTTAGTCCATTTTTCTCAATCCTGCCTGGGACTTTGTCCTCATTTTTGAGCCCCAATCCAACAGGGTCCCTTCTCTCCAGCAGTCTCTACAGTTCTGCTCCTTCACCCATATCCTATTCATGTCATGGCAGATTTTCTATGTGTTCTGCAACAGATTGTTTCATAGAATTGTTTTTTAGTATTTGTGAATTCATTTGGAATGCAGACATTGCAATCATGGGTAAGATTGACTATTAGGAGAAATACTCTCTCCTCCCCTCCCTTGGAGCAATTGAATAGCATGCCACACATCAGATCAAACGAACAGGCTTTAGCTTCATTGGTAAACAGTTTACACTGCAGAGCTACTGCCATCTTGCCAAATCGCCTAAGAATTAGATATGGATTCCAGCTCACCTTGCTAATTAATTCAGAATGAGAAGATATTCCAAAAAGCAACATTCTTTTATACCGGTGGAGAGTCACACAGACATTTAAAAATGCTTGAAAACTGGGGTGGGTGGAATATCTATCCTGCCTGTTATTTTTAGCTTAAGAAGATTTCTTTGCCAAAGTCTGTTTCCAAAATTTTATCACTTTCTGAGAAAAATAGTGTGCATAAAAGCATTTGGGTATTATGGCTGACTGATTCATCTTTGAAACACCAGCACCTAGCATAGTTCTGGGCATATTGTAAACATTTGGTTGTTATGGTATTGAATTAAATCCTAATGTGCTTCAATAGTGTGGTAGCCAATTCAGGAATTCACGGGGATAACTGAGATGAATTTCAGTACATTTCCAAGTAATGCTTATTCCATGTGCTTTTGTAACCAACTCTCTAGGAATGGAACTTACCTAAGGCCCCATTGTTAGTAGGCAGGGGACCTAGGGGACCAGATTTTGAATTTAGTACTGGTTGATTCCACAGTTTGCAATGTCTCCTTCTCGTCCTGCTGGAGAATCTGTTTTCAAGATCTCTTGTCAGTTTTGTTTGGTCTTAGGTATACGTATGTTCTTGCTGTTTGAAACACTTATGCCTGTATTCAGAGCCCCTAGTCAGACATCCAGTGATTTCACCCTTCCTGGACTGTAATGAGAATGGGAAAAGAGGGTATGATCAATAGACTTTTATTAAAATGCTACCTTCATGAGGGTGTTTGCATTTTAAATGGGAACCTGGAAAAGTAGAGTTTTAAGTTACTAAAAAATGTACACTCAACAGCCTGAGGGATCTTTTAGAAATATACATAAAGTCATGTCATTTCCTGTCTTAAAATCTCCCAGTTGGCCTCTTACTGTACACAGAAGCATGTACCAAGTTCTGTACCATGGCCTGCAAGGCCCCACATGATCTGGCCTCTGCCCACCTCCCTGGTCCTATATCATCCCACTTGCACCTTGATTCTAAACTTTCTGGTTCCCTGAAAACACTGAGCTCATTCACAACTCAAACCCTCTACAACTCACTGATCTCTCTGCCTGGAATACTCCTCCCTCAGATATTTTTCATGTCTGCTTTCTAATTTTTCAGGTCTCCTTAGATAAGCTTTCCTTTTTTGCCCAATCCAAAGGTGCCTGCCTCCACCCAATACCCAGTCACTGTTTCTCCTTATGGTCCTCTTCTAATTTCTTTATGGTACTTATTGCTGTCTCATTTGTTTGTGTGTTGTCTGTCTCTTCCATCAGGATGTAAATTCCCTGATTGCAGGGACCTCATCTGCCTTGTTCACTGCCTGTATCCTCCATGCCCAGAATAGTGCCAGGCACTATTTTCCTTATTATATTTCTGAAAAATGAACGAATGTCTTCAAAGGTGAAATTCAGGCTTTGTAGGAGTAGAATGGAGGAGAAAGGGGCTTTAGAGGTCAGAAAACATCTCTGGAGGCATCCAGTTCCCTCGCCCCATCTCTAGATGGGCTTGCCTCTGGTTCTGAACCTTATTGCTGACCTGGAGCTGTGATTGGAGTCTGGGAGCTGATCTATGTGGGTGGCTGTTGCCTGCAAAGTGCTTGGCAGGGAGCAGAGGGAGAGGTTCAGTGGGTGGGAGGTTGTACAATGCCAGTGGCTGCATTGTGCTTTAGAGCCCTTTATTATGTCAGGTACATGTGAAGCAAGGAACTACATTTTGGTGAGGATTTAGAGTTTGAGGATGCAGGAAGGGTAGTTCTGCTTCTGTTGAGAGGTTAAAGTTCCTTTCATGTGTCCTCTCCTCTCTGATTATGAAGCTTCCAGTGAACCATGTGCGTGGAGAGCACTGGGCAATAGCAGAAAAGTACCGGCTGTCCCCTATTTTCTCCAGAGGTAAAAGAAGCAGATATTTATGGAGGGAAGAAAGGAGAATTTTAGTAATTAATTGGATTGACTAATCACTCTGCAGCTATTTTAACGAAATAAGTTCTTGAGCTAACTGACACACTTAAAAGCTGGTTTAAAACGTTGTTTGCCTTTCTTCCTTTAAAATTTTTTTAAATTTCTGTGGATCATAGTAGGTGTATATATTTATGGGGTACATGAGCTATTCTGATACAGGCATACAATGCATAATAATTATGTCAGGGTAAGTGGGGTATCTATCTTAAACATTTATCCTTTGTGTTATAGACAATCCAATTATACTATTTTAGTTATTTTAAACTATGTAATTACTAATGACTATAGTCACATTGTTGTACTATCAAATAATAGGTCTTATTCATTCTTTCTATTTTTTGTACCCATTAACCATTCCTCACTCCCATGACAACCCACCTCCCACCCCCACTACCTTTCCCAGCCCCTGGTCATAGCAACGGGGCTGTCTTGCTGTCCGTGGTGCTGAAACAAATTTTCTTTCCACGAGTGCCTGAATGGAAATAACATTTCTGTGGTTTTCCACTTCTTTCACACTACAGGGAAATTTATGGGTTTCAAACTCTTTTCACACATATCTTATGCCTTTTTCCTGAGAGTTCTCTAGACTATGTAGGGAAGGCAGTTCCCTTTCCCCTCACATTATGGATTAAAAATCTTTGGCTTGAATCTAAAAATCTCTAGTCTTATCGGAATTTCTCTCATTTCCATGGATGTCTTGTAAAACAAATATTTTTAATATATGCAAGCAAAGTTAATTGTGGGAATTTTTCAGAAATGCAGATAAACAAAAAATAAAATGAAAATATGGCCCCACACCCATAGAGAACTACTAACATTTTGGTAAACATCCCTTGATATAGATAGATAGATAGATTAATAGAAGATATATGATATAATCCTGCATATATTGTCTTTACAGTTGTTATATCAGCCTTTTATTTTTTCTAAATACAGTACAATTTTATAAACCATAGTCTTCATGTTGTACATTAACTCTCTAGACGTGTTCATCCTACATGTCTGCTACTTTGTATCCTTCAACTTACATTTTCCCATTTCCTCCCTGCTACCAGCTCTCGGAAACCACAGTTTTATCTCAATCTTTATATATTTGACTTTTAAAAAGATTCCTCACATAAGTGAGATCATGCAATATTTTTCTTCTGTGCCTGGTTTATTTTACTTAGCATGATATCTTCCAGGTCCATTCATGTTGTGGCAAATGGCAGGATCTCTTTTTATGAGGCTGAATAATATTGTATTGTTTGTCTATATGCACTGTGTGTGTATATGTGTGAGTGTTTATTTTTACTTATATCTCACATTTTCTTTATCCATTCATTCATTGATGAACATTTAGGTTTTTTCATATCGTGGCTACTGTGAATAACACTTTAATGAACATGAGACTGCAGATATCTTAATGAGGTGGCGATTTCATCTCATTTGGGTATATGGCCAGAAGATAAATTGCTGAGCCATATGGTAGTTCTAATTTTAATTTCCTTAGGAACTTCCATACTTTTTTCCATAATGGCTGTGCAAATCTGCATTTCTATCAACAGTGTACTAGGGTCCCCTTTTACTCCACTGTCACCAATATTTGTTGTTTCTTGCCTTTTTGAGAATAACCATCCCAATGGGTGTGAGGTAATATCTCATGGTGTTTTTAATTTGCATTTACCTGATGATTAGTGATGCTGAGCACCTTTTCATATACCTGTTGGTCATTTTTATGTCTTCTTTGGAGAAATGTCTGTTTAGGTCCTTTGCTTATTTTTTAATTTGGTTATTTCTTTTACTGCTATTGAGTTGTAAGAATTCTTACTAAATTTTGGATATTAACCCCTGATCAGATATGTGGGTGGCAAATTTTTTTTCCAGTTCATAGGTTGCATTTTCATTTTGTTGATTGCTTCCTTCACGGTGGAGAATCTTTTTCGTTTGATATAGTCTCATTTATTTATTTTTCCTTTTGTAGCCTGAGCTTTGGTGTGATACCCCAAAAATCATTTCCAAGAACAACATCAATGAGCTTTCCCCTTATGCTCTCTTTTAGGAGTTTTATAGATTCAGGTGTTGCATTTAGGTCTTTTATTCACTTTTTGTTAATTTTTGTTAGTGGTATATGATAAGGGTCCAATTTTGTTATTTTGCATGTGGAAGTCAAGTTTTCCCAGCACCATTTATTGAAGAGACTATCCTTTCCCCATTGTGTCCTTTTGGTGCCCTTGTCAAAAATTAGTGGACCATATATGTTCGGATTTATTTCTGGGTTCTCTATTCTGTTCCATTAGTCTATGTTTCTGTTTTTGTGCCGGTACCGTACTGTTTAAGTTGCTATAGCTTTGTAATATAATTTTAAGTCAGGAAGTGTGTTGTCTCCAAGTTTGTTTTTCTTTCTCAGAATTGCTTTGGCTATTCATGGTTTTCTGTTATTCTCTTTGAATTTTAGAATGTTTTTGTCTCTTTCTATAAAGAATGCCATTGGAATTTTAATAAGGTTTGCATTAAATCTGTATATTGCTTTGGGTAGTATGGACACTTTAACAACATTAATTCTTTCAATCCATGAGCGTGGGATACCCTTCATTTTAATCAAGGTTTTAAAGTTTTCAGTGTACATATCTTTCACCTCCTTGATTAAATTTATTCTTATCTTTTTTGATGCTATCATAAATGGGATTATTTTCTTGATTTCTTTTTAGCTAGGTTATTATTTGTGTATAGAAATGTTACTGATGTATGCAGTTTGATTTTTATATCCTGCAACTTTACTGAATTAACTTATTAGTTCTAACAGTTGTTTTGTAAAATATCTGGGGCTTTCTACATATAAGACCATGTCATCTGCAAATAGAGATAATTTCACTTCTTTTGTTCTGATTTGGGTGTCTTTTTTTTTTTTCTTTTCTGATTGCTCTTGCTAGTACTTCCAGTTCTATGTTGAATAGAAATGGTGAGAGTGGGCATCTCTGCCTTGTACTGAATCTCAGTGAGAACGCTTTCAGTTGTTCCCTGTTGATTATGATGTTAGCTGTAGGTTTTTAATAAAACACCTCTATTCCGTTGAAGGACTTTTCTTCTATACCTAAACTGTTAAGAGTTTTTATCAAGAAAGGATGCTGGACTTTGTCAATGCTTTTCCTGCATCAGTTGAGATGATCAAAATTTTTATTTTTCATTCTGTTAATGTGATGTATTACATTGATTGATTTGAATATGTTAAACCAGCCTTGCATGCTAGAGATTTATCCCACTTGGTTGTGATGTAAAATCTTATTGACATGTTGTTGAATTCAGTTTGCTAATATTTTACTGAGGATTTTGGCATCAATATTCATCAGAGATATTGGCCTGTAGTTATCTCAGAGATATTGACCTGTAGTTTTATTTTCTTGTAATACCTTTGTCCAGCTTAGGTATCAAGATGACACTTGCCTTGTAAAATGTGTTTGGAAGTATTCTCCAGCTCTATTTCTTTTTTGCAAGACTTTAATTAGTATTGATAATAATTCTTCTTTAGATGTTTGGTAGATTCAGCTGTGAAGCTGTATTAGTTCATTCTCACACTGCTATAAAGAACTACCTAAAACTGTGTAATTTTTTTTTAAAAAAGGGAGGTTTAATCAGCTCATGGTTATGTGGGCTATACAGGCTTCTGCTACTGGTGAGGCCTCAGGAAACATACAATCATGGTGGAAGGTGAAGGGGAAGCAAGCACATCTTCATATGGCAGCAGGAGAGAGAAGGGGAGGTGCGACACACTTTTAAACAAAGAGATTTCAAGAGAATTCTATCACAAGAGCAGCAAGGGGAAAGTCTCTCCCCATGATTCAGTCACCTCCCACCAAGCCCCTCCTCTAACATTGAGGATTACAATTAGACATGAGATTTGGATGGGGACACAGAGGCAAACCATATCATTCTGCCCCTGGCTTTTCCCAAATCTCATGTCCTTCTCACATGTCAAAACACAATCATGCCTTCCAAACAGTTTCCCAAAGTCTTCACTTATTCCAACATTAACTCAAAAGTTGAAGGTCCAAAGTCTCATCTGAGACAAGGCAAGTTCCTTCCTCCTATAAGCCTGTAAAATAAAAAACAAGTTAGTTACTTCCAAGATACAATGGGGCTACAGACATTGGGTAAATGCTCCCATTCCAAAAGGGAGAAATTGGCCAAAACACAGGGGCTACAGGCTCCATGCAAGTCCAAAACCCAGCAGTCATTACATCTTAAAGCCATAAAATATTCTTCTTTTGACTCCATGTCTTACATCCAGGCCACACTGACACAAGAGGTGGGCTCCCAAGGCCTTGGGAAGCTCTGCCTCCATGGCTCTACAGGGTATAGCCCCTATGGCTGATTTTACAGGTTGGTGATGAGTGCCTGTGGCTTTTCCAGGAAGATGGTACAAGCTGTCAGTGGATCTACCATTCTGGGGTCTGGAGGCCGGTGGCCCTCTTCTCACAGCTCCACTAGGCAGTGCTCCAATGGGATCTCTGAGTGGGGGCTCCAACCCCACATTTCCCCTCTGCACTGCCCTAGTAGAGGTTTTCCAGGAGGGCTCTGCCCCTACAGCAGACTTCTGCCTGGACATCCAAGCATTTCTGTACATCCTCTGAAATGTAGGTGGAGGCTCCCAAGCCTCAACTCCTGCCCTCTATGCACCCACAGGCTTAACACCACGTGGAAGTCACCAAGGCTTGCTGATTGCACCTTTTGGAGCAGTGGCCTGAGGTGTATCTGGGCCCTCTTAGCCATGGCTGCAGCTGGAGTGGCTGGGATTCAGGATGTCATGTCCTGAGGCTTCACAGAGCAGCAGGACCCTGGGCCTTACCCACAAAACCATTTCTGCCTCCCAGGTCTTCAGGCCTGTGGTGGGAGGGGCTACAGCTAAGGTCTCTGAAGGCACTTTCCCCATTGTCTTGTCTATTAACTTTCAGCTCCTGTTATGCAAATTTCTGCAACCTTCTGGATTTCCTCCTTGGAAAATGAGTTTTTCTTTTCTACCACATGATCATGCTGCAAATTTTTCAAACTTTTATGCTCTTCTTCCCTTTTAAATATAAATTCCAATTTCAGGTCATTTCTTTGTTTATGCAGATGCGTGTAGGCTTTTAGAAGCAGCCAGGTCACATCTTGAATTATTTTCTGCTTAGAGATTTCTTCTGCCAGATACCCTAAATCATCACTTTCATGTTCAAAGTTCCAGATCTCTAGAGCAGGGGCCTAAAGCTGCTTGTCTTTTCACTGAGGCATAGCAAGAGTGACCTTTACCCCAGTTCCCAAAAAGCTTCTCATCTCCATCTGAGACCACAATGTGTCCATATCATTATCAGCATTTTGGACACAACTATTTAGCAAGTCTCTAGGAAGTTCCAAACTTTCCCTCATCTTCCTGTCTTCTTTTGAGCCCTCCAAACTGTTACAACCTCTGCCCATTACCCAGTTCCAAAGTTGTTTCCACATTTTTAGGTATCTTTATAGCAATACCCCACTCTTGGTACCAGCTTTTTTGTGTGAGTTTATTCTCACACTGCTATAAAGAACTACCTGAAACTGGGTAATTTTTTTTTTTTAAAGAAGAGTTTTAATTGGCTCATGGTTCTGTGGGCTGTATAGGTTTCCACTTCTGGGAAAGCCTCAGGAAACATAAAGTCATGGCAGAAGGTGAAAGGAAAGCAAACACATCTTCACATGATGACAGGAGGGCAGGGGTGGTGCTACACACTTTTAAACAAGCAGATCTGGGGAGAACTCTATCAGAAGAACACCAAGGGGGAAGTTCTCTCCCATGATTAAATCACCTCCCACCAGGTTTCTCCTCCAACATTGAGGATTACAATTCAACATGAGATTTGGGTGGGGACACAGAGCCAAACAATATCAGAAGCCATCTGGTCCTGGGCTTTTCTTTATTGTTACTAGTCTGTTCTGGTTTTCTGTTTCTTCCTAACTCAATCTCAGTAAGTTATAATTTCCCAGGAATTTATCCATTTCTCAAGTTTATCCAATTTATTGGCATATAATTGTTCATAATAGTCATTTATGATCCATTTTATTTATTAAGTGAGTGTTGTAATGTCTCCACTTTCATTTCTTGAGTCTTATCTCTCTCTCTTTTAGTTAGTCTAGCTTCTAGAAGTTTTCCATTTATTTATTTAGAGACAGAGTCTCACTCTGTCACCCAGGCTGGAGTGCAGTGGTGCAATCTTGGCTCACTGCAACCTCCGCCTCCCAGGTTCAAGTGATTCTCCTTCCTCAGCCTCCTGAGTAGCTAGTATTACAGGTGCATGCCACCACACCTGGCTAATTTTTTGTATTTAAAGTAGAGATGGGGTTTCACTGTGTTAGCCAGTCTGGTCTCGATCTCCTGATGCCATGGTCCACCCACCTCGGCCTCCCAAAATGCTGGGATTACAGGCAAGAGCCACCATACCTGGTTGAATTTTGTTTATTTTTTCAAAAAACCAACTTGTGGTTTCATTATTCTTTCCTATAGGTTTTCTGTTCTCTATTTGATTTATTCTCTTCTGATCTTTATTATTTCCTTCCTTCTACTAGCTAGTTTATTTTGTCTTTTTTTTTTTATTTCCTTGAGATACAGTGTTAGGCTATTCATTTGGAATCTTTCTTTTTAGTGGAGGCATTTATTTTTCTAAACTTCCCACTTAGAATGCTTTTACTGGCCAGGCGCAGTGGCTCATGCCTGTAAACCCAACACTTTGGGAGCCTAAGGTAGGAGGCTCACTTAAGGTCAAGAGTGTGAGACTAGCCTGGACAACATTGCAAGATCCCCTCTCTAAAAAAATTGAAAAATTAGCTGGGTGTGGTGGCACATGCCTTTAGTCCTAGTTACTCAGGGGGCTGAGGCAGGAGGATCACTTGAACCCAGGAAGTTGTGGCTGCAGTGATCCATCAGTGAATCATGATCACATCACCGCACTCCAGCCCAGGTTACAAAGTAAGACCCCCTCTAAAGAAAAAAAAAATTGATTTTGCTGAGTCTTATAGGTTTTTGGTGTATTGTGTTTCTATTTTCATTTGTCTCAAGTTTTTTTTTCATTTTGATTTATTCTTTGACCCATTGGTTGTTCAGAAAGATATTGTTTAATTTTTACATATTTGCAAAATTTCCAAGATTTCTCCTGTTATTAATTTCTAGTTTCATACTATTGTGATCAGAAACAATAGTAGATATAATGTTAATCTTCGTGAACATGTTTAGACTTGTTATGTGTCCTATATATGGTCTATCCTGGAAAACATTCCATGTGCACTACAGAATATGTATTTTTCTGGTATTAGGTGGAAAATGATATATATGTCTGTTAGGTCCATTTGGTCTAAAGTGCAGTTCAAGTCCAGTATTTTCTCATTAATTTTCTGTTTGTTGATCTATTCATTGTTGAAAGTGGGATATTAAATTTTCCTACTATTATTGCATTCTATTTATTCCTTCATGTCATTAATTTTGCTTTATTTATTTGGGTACTTTCATATTGGATGCATACATATTTCTAATTTTTCTGTGCTCCTGAATAATTGACTCCGCTATCATTAAATAATGACCTTCTTTATTTCTAGTAGTAGTTTTGACTTGCAATCCATTTTACTTGATATTAAGTATAACTACCTTTGCTCTCTTTTGGTTATTATTTGCATGGAATATCTGCATCCCTTCATTTTTAGCCTATGTTTGTCCTTGAAGCTAAAATAGGTCTCTTGTATGCAGCATATGATTGGATCTTTAAAAAAATCTGTGCAGCCACTTTATGTCTTAAGAGTTTAAACAATTTACATTTAAGGTTATTATTGATAGGTAAGGACTTATACCTGCTATTTTGTTGTCTTATGGTTGTTTTGTAGCTCCTTTGTTCCTTTCTTCCTCTCTTGTTGTCTACCTTTGTGATTTGGTGATTTTCTTATAGTGCTAAGTTTTAATTCCTTTCTCTTTCTTGTTTGTGTATCTGCTGTAGTTTATGCTTTGTGGTGACCATGGGGCTTACATAAAACTTTTTACAGTTGTAATAGACTATTTAAGCTGAAAACAACTTAACTTCAGTCACATAAAAATACTCTAGACTTTTACGTCTGCCCCAAAATTTATATTTTTATTGTTACAGTTTACATCTTTTTATATCGTGTATTCCTTAGCAACTTATTGTAGCCGTATTTATTCTTTTGCCATTTTGATTTTTAACTTTTATACTACAGATTTGAAAGATTTACACACCACCATTGAAGTAATGAAGTATTCTGAATTTGACAATGAATTTACCTCTACCAATGAGTTTTATAGTTTTATATATTTTCATGATAGTATTGTCCTTTCATTTCTAGTTGAAGAATTCCTTCCCTTAAGAATTTCTTATAGGGCAGGTTTAGTGGTAATAAATTTTCTCTCTTTTTGCTTGTCTGGTAAAGACTTTAGTTCTCTTTCATTTCTGAAGAACAGCTTTGCTGGGTAGAGTATTCTCGGCTGACAGTCTTTTTTATTTTCAGGATTTCACTACGCCATCCCATTCTCTCCTGGCCTACAAGGTTTCTGCTAAGAAAGCCATTGATAGTCTAACTGGGATTATCTTGTGTCACTTGACACTTTACTCTTCTTGCTTTTAAAATTCTCTTTGTCTTTGGCTTTTGACATTTTGATTATAATGTACCTCAGTGAGGACCTCTTTGGGTTGAATCTGTTCCCAACCTTTGAGTTTTATGCATATGAATGTCCATATCTCTCCCAAGACTTTGTAGTTTTCAGTAACTATTTCATTAAATAAGCTTTCTGTGCCTTTCTCTATCTCTTCTCTCTTCCATAATATCACTATTTGTTTGCTTTATGCTGTTGCATAGATCCTGTAAGTTTTCTTCACTCTTTTTCATTCTTTTTTTTTTTTCCTCTGACTGGGTTATTTCAAAAGACGTGTCTTCAAGTTCAGAGATTGTTTCTTGTTCTTAACCTATCTGTTGTTGAAGCTGCCAATTGTATTTTTATTTCATTCATTGAATTCTTCTGCTCCAAGATTTATATTTGGTTCTTTTTATGATGTCAATCTCTTTGTTGAATTTCTTGCTTAGGTCATGAATTGTTTTTCTGATTTTATTGAATTGCCTACTGTATTCTTTTGTATCTCAGTGTATTTCCTTAAGATCATTATGATGAGTTCCTTTTCAAGCAATTTGTAAATTTTCGTTTTTTGGAGGGTGGGTCAATTATTGGATAATTATTGTGTTCCTTTTGTGGTATCATATGTCCTTGCTTTTTCATGTTTTCTATGTCCCTGCATTAATGTCTGCACATCTGGTGGAGCTGTTACATCTTCTAGACTTTACAGAGAAAACTCTCATGAGGAAATAATTTCACCTGCCAATGGGTCTAGGGTGACAGTTGGGAAGGATGTAGTGGATCTGTTTCTAAGCGAATGCAGTGGCTTAGCTTCTGTACAGGTTCTTCATCTGAGATCAATTTTGGTGATGACTGTGGGTATCTCAGTGGCCTAGATTGCAGGAGTTTATGGCTGAAGGGATCCCCTATGGTGTCAGTTCAGTTATGGCTCATAGGCAGCCACAGTGGTTCTGGGGTCCAGGGTGCAGGTTCCCAGAGCAGCTATAGAGTGGAGGTTCTAGACTCAGGATCTCACCACTCTACTATGGTGTCTGGTACTTCAGGTGCAAGGTCACTGTCTCAGGCATGAGTAGATGCAGGCTGATCACAGAACTAGAGTCTGTGACTCTGAGGCACACTCCAGCCACTTGGACTTAAGGAGCTAGGTTGTAGCCGTGACTCTAACCCAGCTCTGGGGAAGAAGAGGTGCTCTACAGTTTCAGGCTCCAGGGAGCAAGGCACAGCAGCAATTCAGGAATCAGAGTCAGTAGGGCACAGTGGAAACTCAGGCCTTGCGGGATGAGGCACCACATAGTGGTGGCTCTGGACCCTGGGATGGTGGGACGGGACACAGCAGTATCTCAGGCTCTGTAAGGCTAAGTGCAGTGGCAGTAAGAATCCAGGAATGCTGTGGCACAGCTGTAGCCTGGGTCCTGAGGGGCAGGGAACAGTACAGCAATGATTCCACCACCCAGGGAGGTGGGATGCCTCAACAGCTCAGACCCTGGGGGCTAGTCCAGTTCCAGGGAATCAGGGTACTATCGTTGCTTGGCCTGGAGGGTGAGGTGTCCCAGCTCAGTTGGTGCTCTGTTTCCCTGGGACACAGAGTGCCACATTGGCCCAGCTCTGAGAGGTGCAGCTACTCACCTCAGCCAAGACACTGATAAACTCATGAAGCAGGGCACTATTTCAGCTCTGATGCCAAGGGGTGTGACTGCTGTGGGAGGCAAAGGCACTGTTTCCCTAGGGGGTGGGTGCTGTTTCAGCACAGGTGTCAAAAGGGCAGGGTGCAGCAGTGACTGGGATGGGAAGGGCACAGCTGTCTGGCTTGACTTGTATATGGTGAGCCACCAGGCAGGGATGTTCAGTGGTGACAAACCCTCCGAAATGGAAGGGTGTAATAGCTACTTGCCCCTGGAGCAGAGCACACTCCAGCAATGGTTCTGGTTCCAGAATGGTGCAGAGCAGTAGCCACGTGGGCCAGGAGGGGAGGAGAACACCATTAGTTACTTCTCTGGGAGAAGCACAGCTATGTGGACTCCAGACAGCTCCTTTAGCTGGGCACCTGTGAGGACTACAGGAGTCATCAATGGTGAAGACTGTGACCAGGGTGGTGATGGGGGATGCTGGGTTCCTTTTGCTTACCTTTTCCCCTCAGGTTCCAACTGGTCCTGACTGGGGAATAGGATGGCAGAGGTAAGTGTTTGCTTCACTTTGCTATACTGCCTTCCTGGGTGTGCATCTGCTACAAGACTTCTGCTATTCCTTTGCTGTACTTTGGTACTCTTCTTTAGTTATTTTCATCAAAATACAGTTGTTTATTCATTGCTTTGGATGTCTTGTAGGGGGGATGAGTGCAAAGGGCTATCTTGCTGACATCACTCTTCATTTATATTATTTACAACAAGTTTTTCACTGAGAAATTTATTAGGTACTTTTCCCTGTGTTAATAAACATAGTTCTTCAACACTTCAACATAGGAAGAGTATATAATTGTGGGTTTATACCATGATTTATGGCCATTATTTTTTGTTGGACATTTAGATCATTTCTGTTGTCTTTGCAATAAGCGATACTGTAATGAAAACTCTTGTAGCTAAATGTTTATGCATGTTCTTATTTATTTCTTCAAGATAACTCTTAGAATTAGAACTGCTGGGTCACACAATTTAAGGCCTTTAATCCAAGTTGCTAAATAGCCCAATTTGCACTCCCACCAGCAGCCCATTTTTCTCTACACTCATACACACTGAGTATTATTATTTAAAAACATACTTTTCTTCATTTTGTGGGTGAAAAGGCATCTTGCTGATTTAATTTGCCTTTCTTATATTACTAGTGAGATTGGATTTTTTCAAGCATTTTTTTGTCATTTAAATATTTTGTAACTTCCTTCTCATAATCTCCTATTTTCCTGTTTGAGAGTTTTAAAATCCAGATCTTCTAACTCTAAAGTCAATGCTGTTTCCTTGAACTCCCAAGGGACATCTGATATGAAAATAAATAGGTGTCCAAGACTGGTCCTTAGGGTGTAACATGGTTCTCACCTTTCAGGATCCTTCTCCTTCAGATGCCGCCATAATGTCTGTGTTTCTTTGTTACCAACATATCACCTCATTCAATTCTTACAAGTGTTTTGAGAGGCAGATGGGGTAAACCATGGTGTCTGTACAACAGGGAACGGAGGCACATTGAGGCTAATGGATTTGGCCAAGATCACAAACTATTGCATAAGCCAAGGTGAGCCTTGAAAAAGGTTCTCTCAGGGGTCTAGTGGGAAAATTATCTGATAAGCTAATCACACTTCTGTTTAATGACTCTCATAATGTATTATCTTTTCCAGAGTTATTTGCATTTAAATAGAGGAACCTGAGGCGATCTCTATTTAATGTGCTCCATCAAGCCGGGGAGGAGCTATATTAGGATCTGGAGCCCGCCCACCCCTTAAATCACAGTGTGGGTGCCCACCTACTTCATCTATGCGTGGTCCTCACACTTCTCAACATGAGTTGCTTGAAACACCGACTTTGATGATCTGAATATACACAATGTGAGGCCAAAAACTGAAAGAAAATAGAGGCAGCTCTCTCTCTCTCATTTTTTTCTCTCTCTCTCCTTATCTCTATCTCTCCATTTTTAAACAGTCTTCTATGCTCTGAAAACTGTTTATCCATGTTCTTCACAAATTATTCAGAACCACTCTTCTCTTTTCTCTGAGGTTAGCAAGTTAGTAAGTAGCTCTCAGAAATGATCTCTATGCACCTGGAACAATAAGCAGCTGGCTTAAAAGTCATAGGACTCTGAGCAGAGATAGCTCCTCTCACCGACTCACTGTCTGATGAATTCAGGCTTCTGTTTGTCACAGCTCCCCAGTGACCTTTTGTGGCAGATCTACTATAGACTCACAGTGGACACCAGGCCTCCTCATCATAGCAGGTGAGGATGACCTGATCACCACTTCTCTGGTGCTCTTTCTGCATGGTGACGTTTCACATAGTACAAAATCACAAAGATGCATGAAGACATTATCAGGGCATGTTTCTCCCTCACCTTAGATGCTGGCCTTCCACTGACACCACTGCCTTAGGTTTCTCCTTGGTAAGATTCACCTGCAATGACTTCAAATGTTTTATGAAAGAGGCATCTTTGCAATTTTTTGGTGATATTTTTATAGAATTTTTTTGTAATATTTTACTCATGTTCTTTTAATAATGATTGAAGAAAATTGCTTATTTCAATGACCATCTAGTGCCCTGCCCATATTCCCTCTATCTCTGTACCACTTTTTTGAGGGATTTTCTAAAGGTCTTTGTTGGTACTTTAATTTTTTGTCAATTGACACACTCATGTTAAGAATCCTGAGGCTTGGATACAAAATCAATATGCAAAAATCACTAGCATTCCTATACATCAACAACAGGCAAGCCAAAAGCCAAATCACAAATGAACTCCCATTCGCAATTGCCACAAAAAGAATAAAATACCTAGGAATACAGCTAACAAGGGAAGTGAAGGACCTCTTCAAGGAGAACTACAAACCACTGCTCAAGGAAATGAGAGAGGACACAAACAAATGGAAAAACATTCCATGCTCATGGATAGGAAGAATCAATATCATGAAAATGGCCATACTGCCCAATGCATTTTATAGATTCCATGCTATTCCCATTAAACTACCATTGACGTTCTTCACAGAATTAGAAAAACTATTTAAAAATTCATATGGAACAAAAAAACCCGAATGGCCAAAGGCAATTCTTTATTTTTATTTATTTATTTATTTTTGAGATAGAGTCTCCCTCTATCACCCCAGCTGGAGTGGAGAGGCCTGATCTTGGCTCACTGCAACGTCTGCCTCCTGGGTTCAAGTGATTCTCCTGCCTCAGCCTCCCCAGGTAGCTGGGGCTACAAGCATGCACCACCACATGCCTGCCCAGACAAAGGCAATTCTAAGAGAAAACACACACACACACACACACACACACACACACACACACACACACACAACCAAAGCAAAGCTGGAAGCATCATGCTACCCAACTTCAAATTATATTACAGGGCTACAGTAACCAAAACAACATGGTACTGGTACAAGAACAGGCATAAAGACCCATGGAACAAAATAGAGAATGCAGAAATAAGATTTCACACCTACAGCCATCTGATCTTTGACAAACCTTACAAAAACAAGCAATGTGGGAAAGGATTCCCTATTTAATAAATGGTGCTGGGAAAACTGCCTAGCCATATGCAGAAAATTGAAACTGGACCCCTTCCTTACACCTTGTACAAAAATCGACTCAAGATGACTTAAAGACTTAAATGTAAAACCCAAAACTATAAAAACCCTAGAAGAAAACCTAAGCAATACCATTCAGGACATAGGCACAGGAAAAGATTTTGTGACAAAGATGCCAAAAGCAATTGCAACAAGAGCAAAAATAGACAAATAGGATCTAATTAAGCTAAAGAGCTTCTGGACAGCAAAAGAAACTATCAACAGAATAAACAGACGACCTACAGAATGGGAGAAAATTTCTGCAATCTATGCATCTGACAAAGGTCTAATATCCAGCATCTATAAGAAACTTAAACAAATTTACAAGAAACAAACAACCCCATTACAAAGTGGGCAAAGGACATGAACAGACACTTCTCAAAAGAAGACATTCATGTGGCCAAGAAACATATGAAAAAAGGTTCAACATTACTGATCATTAGAAAAATGCAAATCCAAACTACAGTGAGATACCATCTCACACAAGTCAGAATGGCTGTTATTAAAAAGTCAAAAAAACAACAGATGCTGGCGAGGTTGTGGAGAAAAAGGAATGCTTTTACGCTGTTGGTGGGAAAGTAAATTAGTTCAACCACTGTAAAAGACAGTGTGGCAATTCCTCAAAGACCTAGAGGCAGAAATGCCATTAGACCCAGCAATCCTATCACTGTGTATATACCCAAAGGAATATAAAGCTTTCTATTATAAAGACATATGCATGTGTATGTTTATTGCAGCACTATTCACAATAGCAAAGATATGGAATCAACCTAAATGCCCATCAATGATAGGCTGGATAAAGAAAATGTGGTACATATACACTGTGGAATGCTATGCAGCCATGGAAAGGAATGAGATCATGTCCTTTTCAGGGACATGGATGGAGCTGGAGGTCATTATCCTCAGCAAACTAAAGCAAGAATAGAAAACTATATACTGCATGTTCTCACTTCTAAGTGGAGGCTAAATGATGAGAACACATGGACAAATTGTGGGGGTGGGTGTGGAACAACACACAATGGGGCCTGTCGGAGGCTGGGGGAAGGTAAGAGGAGGGAGAGGATCAGGAAGAATAATTAGTGGACACTAGGCTTAATACCTAGGTGATGGGATGATCTGTGCAGCAAACCACCATAGCACACATTTACTTATGTAACAAACCTGCACATCCTGCACATGTACCCCTGAACTTAAAATAAAAGTTAGAAATAAATTAAAACAAAAAGAATCCTGAGCCTTGAGGTAGACTGATAACATTATGAGTTTTTTCTTCTTGTGAAGTTGTGAGGATTGACACACAGTTACTCAAAATTGGCTGATGATTGCAGGAAGGAAGGGGGTCACTGATCCATACTTTGATTATTAATGCAGTTAACTTTTTTAATCCAGTGATGGAGTAACCATGGTCAAGGTAAGGAAGGGCTAGGAGTGGTCTCACATCTCCAGGGTAAATAATCAGGTGGCAGATAATCACTACTAATTGACACCTCTCGTGTGTGTGTGTGTGTGTGTGTGTGTGTAACAGGAGGTCATACTATCTGTATAAGTTTGCTGACTCATCTTGCAGCTTTTCATGATCTACAGTTTTTTTCTTCTCCATCAAATGGTGATGATAATCTCTGCCACATAAACCTAATAGGTGAAAGTCAAGTTTAACATGGAAGGACTTTGAGAAGCAGATAATGCTACACAAATGCAAAGAGATTTTATTTCCTGCTGTTTATTGGAGTGGATGGGCTCCTACAGGGATCCAGAGCACATGGCTAGCAGGTCTGCTGGAGCTGGATAACTGACACATCAGGTGTAGAGCTGTGAGGCCCCATCCTGAAGCATCTACACCTTTGAAGAAGACATTTCAAAAGCTAGAATGACAGGTGCCTGAGAATTGATTTTTAAAACACAGCTCTTTTCAAGCAAGAAAGGGGCCCACATAATTTGTTTCAGAGAAAGACATGTCCTAGCTACAAGAGTCAACTCCTCTGGGTATCTTGGGATATTTCACATTCATGGGCATGGGGGTTAGATCTGCCCAGGTGAGTGGGCAGGGCATGGTAGGCAGATGTTCCTGCTGGAGCCAGAACCATACTTTCTTCTTATTTTGTCAGAAACAATGTGTTATTTTGGTAACTCTTTATTTTCCACACTGTAGCTTCCCATGTAATTATTGATTGCAATTAGGTATTCCATACTGCATAATTAACTATCTGTGCCTCTGACATATATTAAAATAAATGATCACAAAAGTCCATGCTGAAAAGCCTCCATCCAAAGAATAAACCCAGGCTTTCTACCTACCTGACAGTGTGTCTGAATCAGGCAAAAAACAAATTTAAACATCTTGGTTCCTTCTCCATCTGCTATACACATGAATGAAATTTAACATTAGCAAGCAGAGCAAACTGGCTTTGTTGACTTTTCTTTGTCATTTTAAGCTACGGTTTTTTTATTCTGGTTTACGCAGATATCTAAATAAAACCTCTCTATAGCATGAAAAAAGAAGTGATGGATGGATCAGTGTCCAAGGATGATCCATAAATCCAACTTAACTAACCAGTGCACAAGGTAGCTGCAAGGTCTTGCTTTCTCTCTACATCAAATTTATTCTTGTGCCCAGAGGGAAAAAACTAGCAAGGCATACTCGAGTGAGAGCTTTGCATTTTATACACATCTATATTAACCAGGATACTTTTGATTGCAAGTGACAGAAACCCAATTCCAAGCAGCTTAAGCAAAGATGGGAATTTATTGGTAAGTTACTGGGGTATCTCAGAGAACAAAAATGAGCTGCAGGATTGTGTGAAGCTCAGAGACCAGAACTGGCAACTTGATGACACCAAGGATCTATATGTCTCTATTCATCTCTCGTCCTTGGTTTTCTCCCTGTCTTGGCTTCATTCTCTTGTACAGCAGACACGTCTTCTCTATGTGGCTGTGATCACTGCTGCCGGAAACTCTGGGATCTCATTTCTGTAGCTTTTGTCAAAGGAAAAGGAGTGTCTTTCATGTTAGTTCTGTTAAGAAAAACAACAGTGAAATTCTGTGAGTGACCTAGATCGGGTCAAGTACCCCTATCACCCCAGAACTGTTGCTGGCTTGAGGAGTAGGGAAAGGTACTTGATTGGTCCAGCCTGGGTCATATACTCTGCCCTGTGCAGGGAAAAAGGTTTGTGACCAGAAGAAGGTGACAGTGGGACAGGGGAAGCATGCTGCGTAGGTGGCAGCGGTAGCTCTGGAGAAACCATACATGATAGGATGCACATTTGAGGAGCATCTCCAGGGCCTGAGAGAATAACCCAAAGTATAGAGAAGCGAGACTATTCTGTATAAAACCTTAGAATTTTGTTTTCCATTCTTGGAACTTGTGTTTTCTCTCATGACCAGGACTCTTTATTCTCCAGTGAGGCTATGTAGAAATGCATAAAAATTTCTTGTCAAATTATTTTCTGAAGAAACCCAGTATCAAAATCCCAGATATGGTGGCAAGGAGTGGTGATAGTGAGGATAGTCAAAGCCTTTGGGAGATGGGGGTGAGTGCTGATGCCTTCTTGGCTTCAAGTCAAGCAAGGCAGCCATGGAAGAAAGAACGTTGGTTATCTTAGATATCTCAGTCATAGGAAGGTCCATGTCTTATCTTCCTCTTGTTTCACTTAAAGATTGAAGATTGTTTGTTTTGTTTTGTTTTGTTTTGTTTTGTTTTGTTTTTAGAGACAGAGTCTTGCCCTGTCATCCAGAGTGGAGTGCAGTGGCAGGATGAAAGCTCACTGCAGCCTTGAACTCCTGGGCTCAAGTGATCCTCCCACCTCAGTGTCCTGAGTAGTTAGGATTACAGGTGCACACAAATGTACTCATCTAATTTATTTAAAAAAATTGCAGAGACAGGGGTTTTGCTGTGTTGCCCAGGCTAGTCTTGAACTCCTGGCTTCAAGTGATCCTACCCCCTTGGCCTCCCAAAGGATTGGGATTACAGGTGTGACTCACTGTGCCTGGCCACTAAGATCATTTTTGAAAAGGAATTTTATCTCTTTCTGTAGATAGATAGATAGATAGATAGATAGATAGATAGATAGACAGACAGACAGACAGACAGACAAAAGTGAATGCTCAATGATAATGCCCCAAATAAATGCCCAACAGTCATCACAAACCCAACATAGCAACATAGGACTCTGGGTGTTTCTATTGGACTATAAATTAATTGTCACATTGTCTGATCTGATTCATGGGTCTTCCCAATGTCTTAGCTTAGTATCCACAGAAAGCAAGGCCTGAGGCGAAGCTCATGTGTTACCTCTTTATTAGGGAGTAAAATCGCAGGGACAAGGGGAGTGAGCCAGAGAAGGAGGGAGAGCTGTGATAAGTTGGCAACTACTTGGTAAGGGTAACTGGTTGCTCTATTGCATGGGGCCATCTTCTTCAAGACCAAATAAAAAGATAATCCTTAGCGTAGTCCATCTGATTGAGTAAGGGAAGAGAGTTTCTGCCAGATACCCATCTCTCATTGGCCTAACCTTTGACCTACAGGGCATGAATGGCCTAGTACTTTGTAGCCTGGGTGTTCATGCCTCAGTGTCAAATGAGGGTGTCCCAGGATAAGAAGCTAGTGGTGGGTGCTGCAGGCCCAAGGCAAACCAGTGTCGGGTCATGTGCCTGTGAGGCTGGGGTTGAGTTGGGCTGAGCTGCTCATCACAGTGCTGGCTGGGGCTGAACAAGTGACTCAAGGCCCCGAGACAGGTGAGAGCAAGAGGACAGAAGGGACGTGTGGAAAACACCTGTTTCCTTCAGAATCAGAATTTCAAACCTAAGAGAGACCTTTGAGATACTTTTCAGATAAGCAAATTAAAACCCAGAGAGTGTAAGAAACTTGCTAAGAAACTCACAGCCAACCACTGCAGTTAGTGATAGAGCTTAGAAAGTGCCCCACTCCCAACTCTTTCATTTCGTTGCTTCTTCATGGCTCCTCCAACATCAGACCCCCCACTTGTGAACATTTACGGCAAAATTTCCCAAATGCCTGATGAGATGAGAAGCAAGTCAATACCTCCTAAATATGCATGAGCTGTTCAACGGTTCAATCTCGGTGGGTAGCAATATGTCTATCAGGATCTATTTATTCTCATGACTTCAGTGCTGCTCTGGAGCGATGCATTATGAACAATTTATGGTGTGTTGACAGGACAGATGAATGCTAGGAGAATAGGCTGACGGGGAGAAAATCTCACTCTGGCAAACGGAATGCAGAGGTGTGACTCTGAGCAGGCGGAAGGAAGAGAATGTGATGGTTCACGTGTTTAGCCGATTGTGTGCCAGCCTGCAGCCCTGTAGTTTTGTGCCACAGCCTCTGCTTGCACTGCCTGTCTTCACAACAGGACCTGCAGAATCTCCCCTTCCCCAAAGGGCAGCCCTACGGCTGGGGAGGTGCAGTTGTCAGCAGCCTGTAAGCATGAACACCCTTGTATTCCTGATGCCTTGGTGACTTTTGGATGGAGAAGTCACTTTGTTCACTAAGCCCTAAAATCATCTCACTCAAGTTTTTGGTGAAGATTAAGTTTCTGAACATCAAGACTAAAAGCTGTGGCTACTTTGTTTGATCATTTAGAGCTGCTGCTTTGGAAAGTGTGTCTGAGGTGAGAGCCAGTAAATGGCGGGCATTCTCTCCAGCAATGGGCATCTATCCTTCTCTGCCATTTGGAATGATCATCTACGTTTAATACTTACCCAGAGTCAGGGCAGGACACTGCTTCTCTTAACCCTACATACCTCGCTTATAAAAGCCCCAAACAAGTTTTTTGTTTGTTTGTTTTTCAATGTACCTGTATTTTCTTTTTTTGTAAATTGACATCTTGAGTTTTTCAATTCGTGAACATGGTGTATTTCCCCATTTATGTTGGTTTTCTGGAGTATCTTTAAGTAGTTATATAGTTTTCTTCTTCTATGCCTTGCACATATTTTCTTTTTTAAAAAATTTTATTATTATTTTACTTTAAGTTTTAGGGTACATGTGCACAATGTGCAGGTTTGTTACATATGTATACATGTGCCATGTTGGTGTGCTGCACCCATTAACTCGTCATTTAGCATTAGGTATATCTCCTAATGCTATCCCTCCCCTCTTCCCCCACCCCACAACAGTCCCCAGAGTGTGATGTTCCCCTTCCTGTGTCCATGTGTTCTCATTGTTCAATTCCCATGTATGAGTGAGAACATGTGGTGTTTGGTTTTTTGTCCTTGCGACAGTTTGCTGAGAATGATGGTTTCCAGCTTCATCCATGTCCCTACAAAGGACATGAACTCATCATTTTTTTATGGCTGCATAGTATTCCATGGTGTATATGTGCCACATTTTCTTAATCCAGTCTATCATTGTTGGACATTTGGGTTGGTTCCAAGTCTTTGCTATTGTGAATAGTGCCACAATAAACATATGTATGCATGTGTCTTTATAGCAGCATGATTTATAATCCTTTGGGTATATACCCAGTAATGGGATGGCTGGGTCAAATGGTATTTCTAGTTCTAGATCCTTGAGGAATCACCACACTGTCTTCCACAATGGTTGAACTAGTTTACAGTCCCACCAACAGTGTAAAAGTGTTCCTATTTCTCCACATCCTCTCCAGCACCTGTTGTTTCCTGACTTTTTTTTTTTATTATTATACTTTAAGTTTTAGGGTACATGCGCACATTGTGCAGGTTAGTTACATATGTATACATGTGCCATGCTGGTGCACTGCACCCACTAACTCGTCATCTAGCATTAGGTATATCTCCCAATGCTATCCCTCCCCCCTCCCCCCACCCCACCACAGTCCCCAGAGTGTGATATTCCCCTTCCTGTGTCCATGTGATCTCATTGTTCAATTCCCACCTATGAGTGAGAATATGCGGTGTTTGGTTTTTTGTTCTTGCAATAGTTTACTGAGAATGATGATTTCCAATTTCATCCATGTCCCTACAAAGGACATGAACTCATCATTTTTTATGGCTGCATAGTATTCCGTGGTGTATATGTGCCACATTTTCTTAATCCAGTCTATCATTGGTGGACATTTGGGTTGGTTCCAAGTCTTTGCTATTGTGAATAATGCTGCAATAAACATACGTGTGCATGTGTCTTTATAGCAGCATGATTTATAATCCTTTGGGTATATACCCAGTAATGGGATGGCTGGGTCAAATGGTATTTCTAGTTCTAGATCCTTGAGGAATCACCACACTGTCTTCCACAATGGTTGAACTAGTTTACAGTACCACCAACAGTGTAAAAGTGTTCCTATTTCTCCACATCCTCTCCAGCACCTGTTGTTCCCTGACTTTTTAATGATTGCCATTCTAACTGGTGTGAGATGGTATCTCATTGTGTTTTGATTTGCATTTCTCTGATGGCCAGTGATGATGAGCATTTTTTCACGTGTTTTTTGTCTGCATAAATGTCTTCTTTTGAGAAGTGTCTGTTTATATCCTTTGCCCACTTTTTGATGGGGTTGTTTTTTTCTTGTAAATTTGTTTGAGTTCATTGTAGATTCTGGATATTAGCCCTTTGTCAGATGAGTAGGTTGCAAAATTTTTCTCCCATTCTGTATGTTGCCTATTCACTCTGATGGTGGTTTCTTTTGCTGTGCAGAAGCTCTTTAGTTTAATTAGATCCCATTTGTCAATTTTGTCTTTTGTTGCCATTGCTTTTGGTGTTCTAGACATGAAGTCCTTGCCCATGCCTATGTCCTGAATGGTATTGCCTAGGTTTTGTTCTAGGGTTTTTATGGTGTTAGGTCTAACATGTAAGTCTTTAATCCATCTTGAATTAATTTTTGTATAAGGTGTAAGGAAGGGATCCAGTTTCAGCTTTCTACATATGGCGAGCCAGTTTTCCCAGCACCATTTATTAAACATGGAATGCTTTCCCCATTGCTTGTTTTTGTAAGGTTTGTCAAAGATCAGATAGTTGTAGATATGCGGCATTGTTTCTGAGGGCTCTGTTCCGTTCCATTGGTCTATATCTCTGTTTTGGTACCAGTACCATGCTGTTTTGGTTACTGTAGCCTTGTAGTATAGTTTGAAGTCAGGTAGTGTGATGCCTCCAGCTTTGTTCTTTTGGCTTAGGATTGACTTGGCGATGTGGGCTCTTTTTTGGTTCCATATGAACCTTAAAGTGTTTTTTTCCAATTCTGTGAAGAAAGTCATTGGTAGTTTGATGGGGATGGCACTGAATCTATAAATTACCTTGGGCAGTATGGCCATTTTCACGATATTGATTCTTCCTACCCATGAGCATGGAATGTTCTTCCATTTGTTTGTATCCTCTTTTATTTCATTGAGCAGTGGTTTGTAGTTCTCCTTGAAGAGGTCCTTCACATCCCTTGTAAGTTGGATTCCTAGGTATTTGATTCTCTTTGAAACAATTGTGAATGGGAGTTCACTCATGATTTGGCTCTCTGTTTGTCTGTTATTGGTGTATAAGAATGCTTGTGATTTTTGTACATTGATTTTGTATCCTGAGACGTTGCTGAAGTTGCTTATCAGCTTAAGGAGATTTTGGGCTGAGACAATGGGGTTTTCCAGATATACAATCATGTCATCTGCAAACAGGGACAATTTGACTTCCTCTTTTCCTAATTGAATGCCCTTTATTTCCTTCTCCTGCCTAAATGCCCTGGCCAGAACTTCCAACACTATGTTGAATAGGAGTGGTGAGAGAGGGCATCCCTGTCTTGTGCCCGTTTTCAAAGGGAATGCTTCCAGTTTTTGTCCATTCAGTATGATATTGGCTGTGGGTTTGTCATAGATAGCTCTTATTATTTTGAGATATGTCCCATCAATACCTAATTTATTGAGAGTTTTTAGCATGAAGGATTGTTGGATTTTGTCCAAGGCCTTTTCTGCAACTATGGAGATAACCATGTGGTTTTTGTCTTTGGTTCTGTTTATATGCTGGATTACGTGTATTGATTTTCGTATGGTGAACCAGCCTTGCATCCCAGGGATGAAGCCCACTTGATCATGGTGGATAGGCTTTTTGATGTGTTGCTGGATTCGGTTTGCCAGTATTTTATTGAGGATTTGTGTATCAATGTTCATCAAAGATATTGGTCTAAAATTCTCTTTTTTTGCTGTGTCTCTACCAGGCTTTGGTATCAGGATTATGCTGGCCTCATAAAATGAGTTAGGGAGGATTCTCTCTTTTTCTATTGATTGGAATAGTTTCAGAAGGAATGGTACTAGCTCCTCCTTGTACCTCTGGTAGAATTCAGCTGTGAATCCATCTGGTCCTGGACTTTTTTGTTGTTGGTAGGCTATTAATTATTGCCTCAATTTCAGATCCTGTTATTGGTCTATTCAGAGATTCAATTTCTTCCTGGTTTAGTCTTGGGAGGGTGTATGTGTCAAGGAATTTATCCATTTCTTCTAGATTTTCTAGTGTATTTGTGTAGAGGTGTTTATAGTATTCTCTGATGGTAGTTTGTATTTCTGTGGGATCGGTGGTGATATCCCCTTTATCATGTTTTATTGCATGTATTTGATTCTTCTCTCTTTTCTTCTTTATTAGTCTTGCTAGCGGTCTATCAGTTTTGTTGATCTTTTCAAAAAACCAGCTCCTGGATTCACTGATTTTTTTTGAAGGGTTTTTTGTGTCTCTATTTCCTTCAGTTCTGCTCTGATCTTAGTTATTTCTTGCCGTCTGCTAGCTTTTGAATGTGTTTGCTCTTGCTTCTCTAGTTCTTTTAATTGTGATGTTAGGGTGTCAATTTTAGATCTTTCCTGCTTTCTCTTGTGGGCATTTAGTGCTATAAATTTCCCTCTACACACTGCTTTAAATGTGTCCCAGAGATTCTGGTATGTTGTGTCTTTGTTCTCATTGGTTTCAAAGAACATCTTTATTTCTGCCTTCATTTCGTTATGTACCCAGCAGTCATTCAGGAGCAGGTTGTTCAGTTTCCATGTAGTTGAGTGGTTTTGAGTGAGTTTCTTAATCCTGAGTTCTAGTTTGATTGCACTGTGGTCTGAGAGATAGCTTGTTATAATTTCTTTTATTTTACATTTGCTGAGGAGTGCTTTACTTCCAACTATGTGGTCAATTTTGGAATAGGTATGGTGTGGTGCTGAAAAGTATGTATATTCTGTTGATTTGGGGTGGAGAGTTCTGTAGATGTCTATTAGGTCTGCTTGGTGCAGAGCTGAGTTCAATTCCTGGATATCCTTGTTAACTCTCTGTCTCGTTGATCTGTCTAATGTTGACAGTGGGGTGTTAAAGTCTCCCTTTATTATTGTGTGGGAGTCTAAGTCTCTTTGTAGGTCACTAAGGACTTGCTTTATGAATCTGGGTGCTCCTGTATTGGGTGCATATATATTTAGGATAGTTAGCTCTTCTTGTTGAATTGATCCCTTTACCATTATGTAATGGCCTTCTTTGTCTCTTTTGATCTTTTTTGGTTTAAAGTCTGTCTTATCAGAGACTAGGATTGCAACCCCTGCCTTTTTTTGTTTTCCATTTGCTTGGTAGATCTTCCTCCATCCCTTTATTTTGAGCCTATGTGTGTCTCTCTGCACATGAGATGGGTTTCCTGAATACAGCACACTGATGGGTCTTGACTCTTTATCCAATTTGCTAGTCTGTGTCTTTTAATTGGAGCATTTAGCCCATTTACATTTAATGTTAATATTGTTACGTGTGAATTTGATCCTGTCATTATGATGTTAGCTGGTTATTTTGCTCGTTAGTTGATGCAGTTTCTTCCTAGCCTTGATGGTCTTTACAATTTGGCATGTTTTTGCAGTGGCTGATACCGGTTGTTCCTTTCCATGTTTAGTGCTTCCTTCATGAGCTCTTTTAGGGCAGGCCTCGTGGTGACAAAATCTCTCAGCATTTGCTTGTCTGTAAAGTATCTTATTTCTCCTTCACTTATGAAGTTTAGTTTGGCTGGATATGAAATTCTCGGTTGAAAATTCTTTTCTTTAAGAATGTTGAATATTGGCCCCCACTCTCTTCTGGCTTGTAGAGTTTCTGCCAAGAGATCCACTCTTAGTCTGATGGGCTTCCCTTTGTGGGTAACCCGACCTTTCTCCCTGGCTGCCCTTAACATTTTTTCCTTCATTTCCACTTTGGTGAATCTGACAATTATGTGTCTTGGAGTTGCTCTTCTCCAGAAGTATCTCTGTGGTGTTCTCTTTATTTCCTGAATTTGAATGTTGGCCTGCCTTGCTAGATTGGGGAAATTCTCCTGGATAATATCCTGCAGAATGTTTTCTAACTTGGTTCCATTCTCCCCGTCACTTTCAGGTACACCAATCAGACGTAGATTTGGTCTTTTCACACAGTCCCATATTTTTTGGAGGCTTTGTTCATTTATTTTTATTCTTTTTTCTCTAAACTTATCTTCTCACTTCATTTCATTCATTTTATCTTCCATTGCTGATACCCTTTCTTCCAGTTGATTGCATCGGCTACTGAGGCTTGTGCATTCGTCACGTAGTTCTCATGCCATGGCTTTCAGCTCCATCAGGTCCTTTAAGGACTTCTCTTCATTGGTTATTCTAGTTAGCCATTAGTCTAATTTTTTTTCAAGATTTTTAACTTCTTTGCCATTGGTTCGAACTTCCTCCTTTAGCTTGGAGTAGTTTGATCTTCTGAAGCCTTCTTCTCTCAACTTGTCAAAGTCATTCTCCATCCAGCTTTGTTCCATTGCTGGTGAGGAGCTGTGTTCCTTTGGAGAAGGAGAGGCACTCTGATTTTTAGAGTTTCTGGTTTTTCTGTTCTGTTTTTTCCCCATCTTTGTGGTTTTATCTACCTTTGGTCTTTGATGATGGTGATGTACAGATGGGTTTTTGGTGTGGATGTCCTTTCTGTTTGTTCGTTTTCCTTCTAACAGTCAGGACCCTCAGCTGCAGGTCTGTTGGAGTTTGCTGGAGGTCCACTCCAACAAACTCCTGGGTATCAGCAGCAGTGGCTGCAGAACAGCAGATATTGGTGAACCGCAAATGCTGCTGCCTGATTGTTCCTCTGGAAGTTTTGTCTCAGAGGAGTACCCGGCTGTGTGAGGTGTCAGTCCACCCCTACTGGGGGGTGCCTCCCAGTTAGGCTACTCGGGGTTCAGGGACCCACTTGAGGAGGCAGTCCGCCTGTTCTCAGATCTCAAGCTGCATGCTGGGAGAAACACTACTCTCTTCAAAGCTGTCAGACAGGGATATTTAAGTCTGCAGAGGTTACTGCTGCCTTTTGTTTGTCTGTGCCCTGCCCCCAGAGGTGGAGCCTACAGAGGCAGGCAGGCCTCCTTGAGCTGTGGTGGGCTCCACCCAGTTTGAGCTTCCCAGCCACTTTGTTTACTACTCAAGCCTCAGCAATGGTGGGCGCCCCTCCCCTAGCCTCACTGCTGCCTTGCAGTTTGATTTCAGACTGCTGTGCTAGCAATGAGTGAGGCTCTGTGGGTGTAGGGTCCTCCGAGCCATGTGCGGGATATAATCTCCTGGTGTGCCTTTTGTTAAGCCCATTGGAAAAGCGCAGTATTAGTGTGGGAGTGACCCAATTTTCCAGGTGCTGTCTGTCACCCCTTTCTTTGACTAGGAAAGGGAATTCCCTGACCCCTTGCACTTCCCAGGTGAGGCGATGCCTCTCCCTGCTCACTGCTCACGCACAGTGCGCTGCACCCACTGTCCTGCACTCCCCAGTGAGATGAACCTGGTACCTCAGTTGGAAATGCAGAAATCACCCATCTTCTGTGTCGCTCACGCTGGGAGCTGTAGACTGGAGCTGTTCCTATTTGGCCATCTTGGCTCCACCCCACAGGGCACTCCAGACAAGTTTTAAAAAATCATGTTGAGCTTCTTTTTTTCTCTCTAGGATACTACATTATGGAAAAAATTTGTTAAATACCTGTTAGGTGTTATCCACTTTTTACAAAGGAGAAAAAAGACATAAAATGGGGTTAAGAAATTTGCTTAAGGAGACAGAGGTGGCATGCATTAGAATCTGAAGTCAAAGTCAGATTGCTTGGATTCCCCATCTGGCTTTCAGGACTATCCTGCCCCTACATGACCTTTAGAAATGGTGTTTCTCTCTCGGTGCTTTGAACTCCTCATCTATAAAAGGCAGATTCAGGTAAATTGCCTACATACCTCAAAGGCAGGTTCTGAGGATAAAATAAATAGGTAAATCTGAAAGCACATTGAAAAATGTTACAAGACATGGGGAAGACAAAGGAAGAACTTCTCCCCTTTGTTGTTATTGATGTTGATTTGTTTTTCTCCAAATTCATTTTTTTCAATGTCATTTATTTAATTATTATTATTATTTCTTTTTGGACAGAACCTCTCTTGCCCAGCCTGGAGTGCAATGGCATGATCTCGGTTCACTGCAACCTCCGCCTCACTGGTTCAAGCAATTCTCCTGCTTCAGCCTCCCGAGTAGCTGGTGCTATAGGTAAGTGCCACTACGCCTGGCTAATTTTTTGTATTTTTAGAAGAGACAGGGTTTCACCATGTTGGTCAGGTTGATCTTGAACTCCGGACCTCAAGTGATCTGCCCGCCTCAGCCTCCCATAGTGCTGGGATTACAAGCATGGGCCACTGTGCCCGGCTAATTTTTGTGTGTGTGTTTTTGTTTTGTTTTGTTTTTTGTTTTTTGTTTTTTTTTAGCATAGACGGGGTTTTGCCATGTTGGCCAGGCTGGTCTTGAACTCCTGACTTCAAATGATCCACCCACCTCAGCTTCTCAAAGTGCTGGGATTACAGACATAAGCCACTGTGCCTGGAGTATTTTTAATTTTAGATCCAGAGGGTCCGTGTGCAGATGTGTTGCACAGGTGTATGGTATAATGCTGGGGTTTGGGCTTCTATTGAACCCACCACTCAGACTGTGAATATAGTACCCAATAGGTAGTTTTTCAAACCTTGACTCCTTCCCTCTGTCCCTCATTTCAGAGTCCTCAGTGTCTATTGTTTCCATCTTTACATCCATGTGTACCCATTGTTGAGCTCCCACTTATGAGTGAGAACATGTGATACTTGATTTTCTGTTTCCACATTAATTCACTCAGGATAATGACCTCCAGCTGCATCCATGTTGCTGTAGAGGACATGATTTTGTTCTTTTTTATGGCTGCATACTATTCCATGGTGTAGCTGGACCACATTTTCTTTATCCAATACACTGTTGTTGGGTACTTAGGTTGATTCCATGACTTTTCTATTGTCAACAGTGTGATGATAAACACGAATGTGGATGTCTTTTTGATAGAGTGATTTCCTTTCCTTTAGGTAGATACCAAGTAGTTTGATTGCTGAGTTTAATGATAGTTCCATTTTTTGTTCTTTGAGAAATCCTCCATACTGTTTTCCATGGGGTTGAATTAATTTACATTCTCACCAAAAGTGTATAAACATTCCTTTTTTTCCATGGCCTTGCCAACATTTGTTATTTTTCACTTTTTAATAATAGCCACCCTGACTGGTGTGAGATGGCATCTCATTGTGGTTTTAACTTGCATTTTTGTGATGATAGTGATGTCATCACTCCAAATTCTTGAGTGTTAATTGGATGGTCCCACCACATGATTTCTCAGATCTACCACACTATGAACTACAGTGTGAACTACAAATCTACTATGAGTGTGAACTACAGTGTTCTGAAGAAACACATGTATGCATATATGCATTTGATCTGAAGAATCCTGTGGTAAGACAAGGATCATGCCCTTGTATTTCAGGGCAAACTTGAGTCTTCTGTGGACTTATTGGCCAGAGCTGGTGAATGAGCTGCTCTATACAGCAGAGCAAGCGAGGGGCCGAGCTTAAGAAAATCTTGGAATCAGTGCTGGGGGTGTATGCTGGGCAGGTTCCTGGGGCTTGGGGTATAAGGGGAGAGGATTCTGTAGATTTCCTTGTCGGCTCTTCCTTCACTCCTACACTGCCACCCACCTCTCTGAAGCACCTTTTCACTTTCTCAGCCTTGGATTTTGTGCTACTCTCTTTTTCTACAGTACCCAACTCCAGAGTGACATACATCAAGAGAGGGAAGAAGAAATCACAGCAATCCCATGTTGTTATCTAAACATTTTCTTGATTTGGTTATTGTACATGTACTTGCAACAATTTTTAACTGTTGATATTTATGTTGCATAAATAATTGAATGGCTTATAAGGGGCACTAAGAAAGACTTCGAACAGTCAAGTTCACCTGCAAATGCATGCTTCTAATGAGCTGAAGCTGACTGATGGGTCTATAGGTGTTCATTAGATCAGTGGTCAGTATACTATTTTTTAAAGGGCCAGATAGTAAATATTTTAGGCTTTGCAGGCCATATGGTCTCCATCACAACTATTCAGCTCTGCCATTGCAGCATGAAAGCAGCCATAGACAATATGTAAATGGATAAATGTGGCTGCATTCCACTAAAACTTTATTTACAAAAACAGGTGGCAGGCCAGATTTAGCTCATGGGACAAAATTTTCCAACTCTGCCTTATTCTATCTAGTTTAGTAGATGTTTCAAAATTTCCATGATAAACTTTAAACTATTTGTGCTTGAAGTTATATGTGACAATTTCTTAAGGAGTGAGATTGTAATTATAAAATTATTACCCTATATTGCTATGCACAGAGTGAATAGTCACTCAATGACAGTAATTACTTTTTGGTAAAAACAAGCTTTTTCCTTGTGAATGAGATAGAATATTTGGCAATTATCTAAAAAATGTTGGAGATAACTAGACAGAGTTTCTGCAAACTCTGGGTTAAAAAAAAGTACCCTAATTTTGCCTGAATTATTTAGACTGACTAGTGAGACTTAGCTGAGGAGTTAAGCATCAAATTTGGCATAACTCTCTTTTTTAATTTCCAAAGCCAATAATCTACAAACTCCAGCCATGTCCCTTATGTCTCAGGCTGGGCAGGTGTGATTTAGGAAGCGACAGTCCTGCTTTCGGGCAGCAATTGTTTCTGACGCTCACCAAAGCCAATTTTCACTCCTCTGCTGCTACATCTGTTTCCATAGAAATGGACACCAGCTCAGCTAAAACAAGGTAACTGAAGTTTTAAAACAGAGATTATTTGGACTCTCAGTTTCTATGAAAATCTCAGTTAGCAATCAAGGATCACTGTTTAGATCGTGATTTCTTTTTTCATCCCCGAGATAAGATACCAGACTTCGTGCAACAGTTTCGTCTGTCAAATGGGGATGATAATAGAACCTGCCTTATAAGAACATTACGTGGGTTAAATGAGGTTAGCACAGGGCCTGACATTTGATAACTCTCCAGGCGACTAAAGACAAGTGGTAAATTTTGGTTTATTCCACAGCTATTAAAAATAGTATTATGGAGGGTGATGAATAGCAGGTAAACTTCTTACATTAAAGAGTTAAGTGAAAAATCAGGCCAGGCATAGAGGCTCACGCCTGTCATCCTAGTCCTTTGGGAGACTGAGGCAGAAAGATTGCTTGAGGCCAGGAGTTAGAAACCAGCCTGGGCCTCGAACCCAAGACCACATCTCTACAAAAAAGATAAAAATTAGCCAAGTGTGGACCAGGTGTGGTGGCTCATGCCTGTAATCCCAGCACTTTGTGAGGCCGAGGCAGGCAGATCACATGAAGTCAGGAGTTCGAGACCAACCCGACCAACATGGAGAAACCCCGTATCTACTAAAAATACAAAATTAGCTGGGCGTGGTGGTGCATGCCTGTAATGCCAGCTACTTGGGAGGCTGATGCAGGAGAATCGCTTGAACCTGGAAGGCGGAGGTTGCGGTGAGCCGAGCTTGTGCCATTGCACTCCTGCCTGGGCAACAAGAGCTCTGTTGTCTCAAAAAAAAAAAAAAAAAAATTAGCCAAGTGTAGTATGCACCTGTAGTTCCAGTTACTCTGGAGGCTGAAGTGGGAGGGATGCTGAGCCCAGGAGTTTGAGGCTGCAGTGAAGTATAATCATGCCACTGCACTACAGCCTGGGTGACAGAGCAAGATCCTATCTCTTAAAAAAGTTAAGTAAAAAAAAAATGATAAAAATAATCCTATGCTCTTTTCTCAATAACAAAATATGCATAGAGAAAAATTAGAAATAATGCTGTAGTAAACTCAAATTATTTTCATCTTTGCAAAGTAAGTCTATGTTCAATGTTTAATACTAGCTTCTAGCATTATGAATTGGTTTATGTGACTACATTTTGTGTGCGTTTGATTTTTGTATGATTTGAATGTTGCAAAGCGAACCTGTAAGTGTGTTTACTGTGGGCAAAAAGCTGTTTTTTGTATATACGGTATAAAATGCTGTTTTGAATTCAATCACTTAATAGCATTTCCCATGGGATCTAAAATGCGTCAAAGTAAAATGAAATGAGCATTCTGTGTTGTTTTGGGCAGGGATGAATTCTGCTGGGCAAGACTGGGGTTCCCAGTTTCCTCCACCTGCAGGATGGAGCAAGTGGACTAAGTCCCAGTGGAATTACCAGTGGAATTTTTTGTCTTACCTACTTGTGGCTGGGCTTAGAAGGTGGTCCTAAAAGTAAGAGAAGTGACATGACTGCTGCTACAAAAAATAGTTGGAAAACAGAGTTTTCTGTTAAGGAGGAAATTAATTTTGTTCTCTTTGTCTTTCCTGAAATCTGATTCACTCAGTGATTGCCCACCGTGATATTTTAGTTGGGAGTACAATGCGTTCTCTTTTTCTTCCCCTCCCCCCTACCGTACTCTCTCTCTCTCTCTCTCTGTAGTGTGCTATATTTTAGACAAATTAAATGACATTTTTTAGAGTTCCTCTCTGAGCAATGTGAAATAGAAATTAGAGAATTGTTAAAATACGAAACTTTCAAATACTGACAAAGTGCTCTTATGTATTATTGGTTGAAATGACCTAATACCTCTTCTTTTTTTTTTTTAAATATACATTCAACTTTTAGATTCAGGGGGTACATGTGCAGGTTTTTTACATGGGTAAATTGCTTAATATTGAGGTTAGAAGTACGATTGATCCCATCACCCAGGTATTGAGCCTAGTAGCCAATAGATGGTTATTCAACCCTTGCCCCCACTCTCTCCTCCCTTTACCAGTCTCCAGTGTCTGTTTTTGCCATTTTTATGTCCATGAGTATCAAATGTTTAGCTTCCACTGATAAGTGAGAACATGTGGTATTTGATTTTCTGTTGCTGCATTAAATCGCTTGGGATAATGGCCTCCAGCTCCATCTGTGTTGCTGCAAAGGACATGATTTCTTTCTTTTTATGGCTGTGTAGTATTCCATGGGGTATATGTACCACATTTTCTTTATCCAGTCCACCACTGATGGGCACCTAGGTCGATTCCGTGACTTTGCTATTGTGAATAGTGTTGTGGTGAACACATGAGCGCATGTGTCTTTTTTGGTCGAACGATTTTTTTTTCTTTTGAATATATACTCAATAATGGAATTGCTAGAAATGACCCAATATTTCTGAAGAACAATAAGGTAGAACATATCAAGAGTCTTAACAATATTTGTATCCTTCAATTCGCTGATTACTCTTCCAGGAATTTATCCTGAAAAAACAATCCAGAATGTTGGCACGGATGTTCCTTGAAGTGTTATTTTTCCAACCAAAGAGGAAAAACTGAAACTAACTCCAATGCCCATAAGGGGCGAACAATTTAGTGAATTATAGTAGATGAGACTTTGTGCAATCGTTAAAGATGCTTACAAATTTTTCTTCTATAAAGAAATCTTTATGTCATAATTAATTTAAAAATAAAGATTTTAAGTTGCAAATATAGTCTACTCATATCTATGTAATAATATAACATATAAATATACAATGTATACAATGGAAAGACATAGCCCAACAAGAGGCTCATTTATTTTAAAGTTAATGTTTAATTATATAAAATGTATGAATACATTTTTATATAAAAAAATTAAAATATTACACTAACACTCAATCCCCTTCAACAGCCATGCCCAGTTCTAACTACCTGTCTTCCTATTCTAAGATAATACCTGGAGTTTTTTTTGTTATTGGATTTTTAAAACAATCTTCTTTATACTTTTCTATTTTCCCCAATTTTTCTGTATTTCTGTAATAGCGTATGTTACTTTTAGAGTGTATATGTATTTATGAGGTCAGAAGATAATTTCAAAGAGAAGTGAAAAATAAAACAATCATACGATGCCATTTCACACCCATCAAAGTGAAACATTTGTTTTTAAAAATCTGATAACACTATTTGCTTGCAAGGATGTAGGAAAGGAGTGAGGAATGCTAAACCATTTCCAGAAGAAGTGTTAATTGATACAACTACTTTAGAAAGCAATTTGGTAAAACACAGGATATATCTTTCTACTCAACAATCACACCTCTAGGTATATGTCCTGGAGAAACTCTCACACGTGGACAAGGAAACACGTACAAGGATGTTCTTTACAACATTGCTTGCAACAGTAAAAATCTGGAAGCAAACTAAATATTTATCAATAGGGGACCAGATACAGCAGTTTCTATGTTTGTATTATTCAGATCTATGTGATAATACAGAATTAGGTGAAATATTATGTTGCGAATAAGACAGTCTGATACAATTTCTATAAAATTTAGAAATACACAAACCACTTTCAATTCCAATTAAGGTGGACTAAGCACATTCTATTCTGTTTTTCCCACTGAATGCAACTAAAAGTCTGGAACAGAATATGTGCGGCAACTATCTGAGGACTGAAAAGTAAATTGGGGATCAGGCAGACTGGGGAGAAAATCTGAACTTGAAATATGGCTGATGTGGCAGTGAAGTCCCTGCCATTTCCTCCTCTATATATTCTGGTGTTAGCTCAAAGGCAAGAGAATCCTGGAACAGCTCACTAAATGTGAAAAAAAATAAAAAGCCTTAGGCTGGGTGCAGTAGCTCATGTCTGTAATCCCAGCAATTTGAAAGGCCGAGGTGGGCAGATCACTTTAGTTCAGGAGTTCAAGACCCGCCCGGGTAACATAGTGGGACCCCCGTCTCTACCAAATAAAATTTTAAAAACAGCCAGGCATGGTGGTACACACCTGTAGTCCCAGCTACTCGAGAGGCTGAGGTAGGAGGATTGCTTGAGCCCAGAAGGTGGAGGTTGCAGTGAGCCAAGCTCATGCTACTGCACTCCAGCCTGGGTGGACAGAGCAGGATCCTATCCCCAAAGCAAGCAGGCAAGCTAGCTAGCTTCAAGGGAACCCCTTTCTAGTCAGAAAAGTAGGCAGAGGAGCTCTTAGCAGACAGAGAGAGCAGAGAAGGTGTGGGAAATTTGTTTGTATTTTTTATTTCTCTCATCATTCCTGAAAGTTCCCTGTGGCAATGATGGCGGCAGTGGCCAGGCCAGCACCTAAAATTCTAAGGAACATAAATCCTTCTCTCTGGCTATAACTGCTGTCTGAAGAAGTGGGGAGATCCTTATTGTTTTTTTCTCTCTGTAGACTCAAACCACTTGGCCTCTGAGGTGGCCCCAATGATGGGAAGTGCACAGCACTTTAGGGAGACTAAAGCCCAGGGTTTCTAGCCAGAGGACAGGAAAGGAGCCCCCAAGGAGAGAGTGTAGAGATCAGACTGTGGAGAGGGGAAAGCTTGAGAAAAGGATTCCATGAGGTTATGGATGAACCCATGGGTTCAATCCCTAAGCAGCACATGCTGATTGTAAACAGCATGCTAATGATTTTGAGAACTGAACTATAGGGGTAGACCACCAGCCTAGTCTCCAGCGGGCCTAGGTGTGGGTGACACACACAGCATATGTCTGAATAGTATTGCAAATAATTTAAAAACAGAACTGACATTGAAACTACAGTTGATCAAAACTTGTGGCTGATCCTAACTGAGTCTATTGCCTACTAAACATAAATAAACAAACAAATAAGTATTCTCCATAGGATTTAAATAGGACTGGGAGTCTCAACACAATATTCAAAATGTTCGGTATACAACCTGAAATTATTCAACATACAAAATACCAGAAAAAATAAAACACCATGCAAGAAGAAAGACAACAGATGCCCTCTCCAAGATGATTCCAATGTCAGAATTATTAGACATCATAGTCTGTAAAGTGGCCATTAAAATCATGCTCCAAGAAGTAAGCTTGAATGATCTTGAAACAAATAAAAAGTTTCAGCAAAGATACACAGATATAAAACAAAAAAGAGCCAAATGGAAGTTTTAGAACTATTTAGAATATAAATGTACATACTGAAATAAAACATTAACTTAATATCCTCGGTAGCAGAATGGAGATTACAAAGGAAAGAGTAAGTGAACTTGAAGATAGATAAATAGAGAACACCCAAGCTGAAAGACAGAGGAGAAAAAGATTAAAAAATAAAATTACCCATGAGATAATATCAAAAGGTCTAACACTTACATGACTGAAGTTTCTAAAAAACAGAAGAAGAAATGTGAATAAAATATGTTTGAAGAAACATATTTTATGTTGACAACTTCCCAAATTTGGTAAAAGATATAAAGTTACAGATTCAAGAACCTCAGCAAACCTCAGACAGGTCAAACTCAAAGAAATATACACACAAACACATCATAATTAGACTGCTAAAATCCAAAGATGAAAAAATTGTGAAAGCAGCCAGAGAAAGACAGACATAAGTAAGCTGAATAACTTCAGATTTCTCATTGGAAACCATGGAGGCCATGAAGCAGTGGAACAATATTTTTTAAGTGCTCAAAGATCCAGAATTCTGTATCCAGTGAAAACATCTTTCTTGAATAAAGATTTAAAAAGGACACCCTTGGGTGAAGGAAAATTAAGATAATTCACTGCCAGCATACCTGCTCTAAAAGATATGTAAAAATAAGTTTATGTTTGTCACATGGAAGAAAAATAATACTAGAAAGAAATTCAAGGTAAAGGAAGAACAGCAGAAATGCTTTGTTGGCAAATGTAATAGACTGTTTTCTCCCTTCAAGTTTTTAAGTCAAGATATGAATGATGGTTGAAAGTAAAAACTGCAAGGCCAGGCACGGTGGCTCATGCCTATAATCCCAGCACTTTGAGAGGCCAAGGCGGGCAGATCATCTGAGGTCAGGAGTTTGAGACCAGCCTGGCCAATATGGTGAAACCTCGTCTCTACTAAAAATACAAAAATTAGCCAGATGTGGTGGTGGGTGCCTGTAATCTCAGCCACTTGGGAGGCTGAGACAGGAGAATCACTTGAACTCAGGAGGTGGAGGCTGCAGTGAGCTGAGACCGGCCCATTGCACTCCAGCCTGGGCAACAAGAGTGAAACTCTGTCTCAAAAAACAAACAAACAAACAAAAAAATTAACATTGTCCAGTAGAATTTTCAATATACATTTATATACTACATATGATAATTGCAGGATAAAGAGGGAAGGGTAAAGGGATCTGTATGGTGATAAAGTTTTGACGTTCCAAATGAAGTGATAAACACTAATTCTAAGTAGACTGTGAAAATTTAAGTTCAGTTGATTCTTGTTACTTATAGTAGTTTTGTTCTATAAAATCTCCATGAGCATTGAATTAGCAAATATTAAACTATTGCTTCCAGGGTTATGTTCCTGTAAGCCTTTGGTCACACAATTTTTAGCAACTGATCAATACATAAACTTGCTTTATGTATGTTTCTGTTTAAAGGTGCCTTATTTAATATATTTTGTTGATTCATTGACATTGAACTCACAGCCAACAGCACTTCAACTTGTTCTTGAGCAAAGCTGATCTAACACACATCTTTTCTTTGTAAGGCACAGCACAATATTCTTGTGCTTAAGGACACAAGACAACACTTCAGGATTGGAGGCCATTTTAAACATTGAATTTACAAAAAAGAAAGCATAAAAGTGTAAAAAATGTGGCACTAAGTAGACCATGAAAAGGACAGTTGGCTACATTATGAAAGCTGAATCAAGGAAGTGACTATCACCTGGTTCAACTTCAGCTGAGAATGTGCACATTGAGTGACTCAAACTTGTCACCATTCTGTGCATGTCTGCAAAGGACTGCAAAAGTGCCTGCCACAAATATTGACTCTGTGGTTAACAAATTTTAGTTAGCAGGGGAATTCACAAATACAAAATTCATAAATAATGAGGATCAGATGTATGTTTATTATAATCCCTAGAGCAGACACTTAAAAAAAAGTATACAATAAGACATAGTAAAAGCAGTAGAGTTATATCTCAAAATAATAATATTTTCAAATCACCAGAAAAATACTACAGTTCCAAATTTGTATGCTCCTAAAAACATAGCCTCAAAATGTATAAAGGAAATTATGACAAAGATAGAATAATAAAGGAAAATCTGTAATCATAACGGGGATTTAAAAGTATCTTTCCTTCTGCAACTGCTTGAAAAGGCAGGCAAAAAATCAGTAAGAATATATAATATTTGAATAACCTGTGTTTTATAAAGATTAAAAGACTACAAAAACTGCAAAATATTTATTCTTTTCAATCATACAGAAATCATTTGTAATAATTTACCATTTTCAGTTATTCACTTGCATTAATGACCCTTTAAAAAGTGTGGTGGCTCATGCCTGTTATTTCAGCACTCTGGGAGGCCAAGGTGGGCAGATCATCTGAGGCCAGGAGTTTGAGACCAGCCTGGTGAACATGGCAAAACCCTGTCTCTACTAAAAATAGAAAATTAGCCAGGCATAGTGGCACATGCCTGTAACCCCAGCTACTGAGGCACAAGAATTGCTTGAACCTGGGACATGGAGGCTGCTGTGAACAGAGATTGTACCACTGCACTCCAGCCTGGGTGACAGAGTGAGACTGTCTCAGAAAAAAAAAAAAAAATTATACATTCAAAACTTTCTTGTGGAATGTAACTAAAGCTATGCCTAGAGGAAAAATTATAATTTTAAATGCATATTTAAAAAGAAGGGCTGTTATCAATGAACTAAGCATCTATTTTACGAAGCTGGAACAAGAATGTGAAGTCAAACGTGAAGAAATTAGAAGAAAGGAAATACTAACTCCAAGAGAAGAATTGATGAAATATTAAATTATTAAGCAGATTAATAATATTTGATATCTCTCTTGAGGCTGATTAAAAAAAAGAGGGAATACTGAAATAACCAATGTCAGATATGAACAAAGCAGGCATCACTTCAAATCCTACAGACATAAAACATTAATAGATAAAATAGGAAATTTTCTTTAAAATGCAACTTACTAAAAATGACACAAGAAGAATTAGAAAATCTGAATAGTGTACTGTTCTGTATATGTGATATATGTCACACTAAAAAAGTTTACAAGTTTGAAAATAAAGTTAAGAATCACAGGGCTGGAGGGTCATCTAGTAAGTCAGTTGCTTTATTAACTGCTTTTAAGCAGATGAATATGTGGATTCAAATTTTATGAAACCCTAAATACGCAACATAATTTAAAAGGATAGGGGTTACTTACCTTTAATTTCAATTTAGATAAATGAAAAGTCAATTTATAGTCTTTCATATGATAGTGCTTGAAAAACTGGATAACATGATGTTAGAACTTGATAAAACCCCTGAAAGGTTAATAATCAAAAGAAAGGTAGACCCATCTATGGTCTTCTTGACACAGCTTTCATTCGGCTTTCATTCCTCTTAATTTCCTTGACACTCAAACAATTCTTCCTATTTTGATGTCAGTACATTTCATTCTTATGTGAATTAAGAAAAAAAACTGGTCTGTATCTGCCTTGTAACACCTTCTGATGGAAGAAACCAGCTCACCCATTTTTCCTGTTTTCCCTAAATGAATATTATACTTTTCACTTGTCCTGGGATGACATGCTGGTACACGATGAATGTATTTTTGGGGGGCCTACACTGAGTTTTAAAAAGAGTTTCGATTCCTTATAAATCCAGCTGGATTTAGGCTTCATCACAATGCAAGCACTTACTGCCTGTTGTACTTACGTTAGCTGCTCCTTTTAGAACAATGACTCTATTATTTCACCAAACCCTGTCTCTACAGAGTTCCAGCCATACAGCTGGGGTTTTGGGATTGATTCTGACCTCTAAGAGGGGAAAGCCAGTTTGCTCAGCACTCAGGCTACTGAGATGCTGCTGGTGTGACTCTGCCTCTTTTCTACTTTGATTCTGTGATTCTGTGACTGGTTCCTCCCTCTACTCCGTTTATGGTATTATGTTTTCATATGTGAATCTCAGTCATTATAGCTTTGCCATATGCTTCAGTTTCTCACAAAAACCTTCCCCTCTCCACCCCTGTCCTCTCCCCTCTCCTACCACTGAAAGACTGCTCCCTAGTCTTGGCTGAGTGACTGTGTTCCCATCTCTTGTTCAGAGGCTTCCCATCATGACCAGGGTGCTGAGACATTGCCAGTCCCCCTTACAGGGAAGGACAGCATGAAATGTTGCAAGGGGCTTAAAATCAAATAGATGTGGGTTAAGAATCTTGACTCTGACATGTACAGGCTTTTTCCTATTACTCAACCTCTTTGGGTTTCATTTTTCTCATCTGTAAAGAGAAAGTGATGATGACTATCATAAATTTGTAGGAGAATTAAATGAAAACTTATAACAAGCACTCCTTTTGGCCCGTATTCCCACCCTTTCCTAAATTTCCAACACCAGACCTACTTTTGCTGCCTGTGGAGTAAAGAACTTACATGCTCCCCAGTGTCCTCCACTGGCCCAGTTTCTTCCCATCTGGTTCCTTATGTTACCTCCTAAGACTTACGTTCTTAGTCTGTAACCCCGGTTTCCCCTCATCCTTGTCAATATTTTGTGGTCGAAACTTTCGTAGAAGGGAAAGCCAAGACATAACCTATCCAGTGTAGTAACTTTCTGTTATGGCATCCATTCTATTTCAACCACAACTTGGTATCCTACAATTTACTTCTGACTCTAGCCACCCAGAATTAATGTTCAACTCTAGAGATTTAAGGGCTCAGTCCTCCACAAGACTGTGCTGACTTCAGATACCAAACACACCCTGGGGGTTTTCGGGCTGCACTTCTGATGAACTGGCTATAAGTTTAGGGGTCCCCATGACCCTCTCAGTTTTGATAGTTCACTAGAATGACTCACAGAACTTAGGAAAGCAATACACTTATGAATACAACTTTATTTTAAAGGATGCATATAGGGAAGGGAAGGTCTTGAACATAGAGCTTCCATGCCCTATTTCCAGGGAGTAAGGCTTGTGACTTTCCTGGCACATCAGTGTGTTTAGCAACCAAGAAGCTACACTGAGCTTTGTTATCCAGAGTGTTTATTGGAGTCTCATTACACAGGCACACTTGATTAAATCACTGGCCATGTGATTGAACTCAATTTCCAGCCCCTGTTCTCTTCCTGGAGGTTGATCTGGCCAAAATCCCAACACTTTAATCACCTTGTTGGTCTTTCTGGTGATCAGTCCCCATCCTCAAGCTATTTAAGGGCCCACTATGAGTAATCTTATTAGCATAACAATGACACCTATGGCTCAAGAAATTCCAAGGGTGTTAGAATCTCCCATGACAAAAACTAAATTCTGTATTATACTTATGACATCTAATAAGTACTCTTTGATTAGGATGAGAGATTTTATTCTTCCCAGAAGATAAAGGACATAATTCAATGCCAGAAAGTGTAACAGATTAAAACCTAGAAGGCAGATATATTTTGATACATTTTGTTCCTGAACTCAACTCAATTCAAGGTGCACATAGCTAAGCAATTCAGTGAATGCCTTTTTAAAATAATAGCTTACCAAGTAGAGCTTTCTTTGACTTCTCAAGTATGAGTTTTGTAGGGGTTGGTAGCATGTGTACTAGAAATTCTTTTCCACTATTCAAAAAACATAGTTTCAGGATCTTTGCTTTGCAAATGCCATGCTCCACAAAGCAGACTTCCAGCTGTAGTAGCTGTTTTGGCTAATTTTTGATGTTATCAAATTATTTTTCTGTAAGGAAAGGCTAGGAATAAAAAAAGAAAAGATAACTATAGTATTGAATTCTATGGTTGGTCAAGTCCTCAAGTTCTTCTAGTTCAATCCCTGGATATGATATCTGGGTTATTTCACAATATTTCCAACAAGGCTTTGTCCAGTTTTTACCTAGATATCTCCTATGCTTGGGTATTCACTACCTCCAGGGCAGCCTATTCCATGATTGGACAGCCCTGTCTGTGAGAAAGTTCTGTTACATTGAGTTGACACCAGTATCCTCATATTTTCCAGCTGGTGGTTCTAGCTCTTATTCTTGCAGATTGAGAAAAGGATGAGGTACATTCTATCAAAGATGCATGAAAACAGCTATTTCTGCAGGTAGAAGAGGGGTCTTGATATCTTGAGAGTTTTAGCTCCAGGAAAGAGGGTGGTCAAGAGTCTGTTTTATGGCTCCCTTTAGATGTTAACCTGGGAATTTTGTCACTAGAAATTCTGCTAATAATGATATTGAAGTCAATAAAATATTAGCTAGCATTTTTAGTGCTATTATATGCCAGGAGCTTTCTTTGCATGGTAACTTAATTTTCAAAACAATCCTATTGATAGACACGATTGCTTTCATTGCTTTGCAGATAAATTGATGGAGACTCAGAGAGGTCAAATGACTTGCTCAAGATCTCTCAATGAAAGGAGCCGGTTCCAAACCTTGTATCTTAACTCCAGAACCCGTATTCTTAGTGGAAGATTCACTGTCACCTTGCACAGGGGTAGGGCAGTTTGGGTAGCTGGAGTCCCAGCATAAGATGGTAGTGGCAGCACAGTGGGAAAAAAAATCCAAAATAAAAATAAAATGGTCGTTGGTACCAGAATCTAATTCTGTGACTGGTGGCCTAAGAGTCTATTTTTGTAATCTAGACAACTTTCCTGGAAACATCCCACCCCAGGGCATGTTACTAGCTGGATGTCACCTCACAAATGGTTTTACAGATAATTGGTACCATCAAGAATATTGGTCTGAAATTGCTTCATGGGTTAGTAACTGCCCAGGGTCATGGTAACTCAATGAGTGAAGGTTTCTCTGGGCTGAGGATGACAAGTAGCTCCACAGTGAAAGACTTAGGACTGAGGCAATGAAAGGAAGGTTTCAGGGAGTCTCATCAGAGAATGAACCCAGGGGCTCTCCCCATTTCCTTGCCCTCAAAACCTCCATAAGATATCTGACCACACTTGCTCAAGATGCCACCATTGTCAAAATACACACAGTTCCTGCCCTATGCATTTTCTTTGATAAATCCAGCTAAGCTAGGACTGAAGACATAAATCACCTGTGGCATCTGCCTTGGAAATCCAGAGATCCATGTGAAAGATAAGATGAATGCACAAATCTTGGCAATACAAGGCATGCAATGAATGGTCTAAGGGGGAAATAAGCAAAATGATGTGGTGTCTAAAGGAGAGAGCAGTCATTTTTTTCTTGTTGAGAATAAAAGAAGGGTTAACCAAGAAGGCGGTATTTTAATCTGGCAGTCAAAACTGGAGGCCACCATCTGAGTCTAGCCCATAGATGTGTGGTAAAGCAAAGGATGCTACTTGTGTAAGGTAACACATCAAACAAGCATGGGGGTTATATGGGAAAACTCTTTGCTAGATGTTTGTTGTGATGGAAACTGTAGAGGGCACATGAGAGGTTGAATTTGGAAGATAGGCCAGGACTAGATTATGGAGCAAGTTGCCAAGAAATGTGAATTTTCTTTCTTATTAAATATGTGCCACAATGGGATCCTTGTGGGATAGAACTGTCCTGTGTCTCTCTAGCCCTTCTCTCCAGGAGAACACTGAAGAAGGATGGAGGTGAAATCATCAAAATACTCATGAGTCATTCCTGCTTATTTGGTGACAGTATTATGTGCCAAGGGGTGGTTATCGTTACAGGACTAGGAGGACTCTAAGAGGATTAGCAGATGATATATTTTTATGTGGTTAAACTAAGAAACAAGCACATCTTAAATGATACATTATTGGGAATAGAGTGTATTGTGTGTGAGCTTCATTTTATACACAACACACAGATAAGAATTCCTGAAAAAGGCAGCTCTAAACTGTGGCTGCCTCAGAATCACTAACAGCGGCCAGCCTTCTTCCTGCTGTACTCCAACCAGCCAGACTCTGTTTGCCTTGCTCTGAGTACTGTAGGTTGGAAGGATTCCATCTTTAGTCTTCACTTTATTTTCATCTAATATGCCAATTATGGGTCTTGCTGATCTGTTCATGGGCAGTTTTCCAGAAGGCCTGTCTCACTTTGTATAGATTAAATCAATTATGCTGATTCTATTCCATTGACAACACATGGAGGACAATTATTATTCAGGTTCTCCACTTCTAATTCCTGATTTGGATCTACAGCTTGTTCCAGGAATCATCCCTCTTCTTCTTGTACCGTCTCTATCTGGACACAGATCCTGGAGTTATTTCTCTCTCCCTGCCTGAGGAAAGATGAATTTAGCATTACCACTTTGGAGTCATCACAGAATTGTTTGAATGCAAAGCTCTATTGGCTACATCTTGCTATGACAGAGCCTTAGCTGTCACTGAACTTTTCCAAGAATGTGATGAAACCATTGACCTAGAGCCTAGAGACCTGACCTTCAGCCCTGACTTTGCCAGTAACTTTCTCGGGTGGACTTCTGTGGATTGTATCCTTAGCACTGATTCTCTTCTCCCTTTCACAATGGCATCCAACATTTCTCAGCCATTAGATTTTGGTGAACTGATCCTACCTCCTGTTCTAAGGCAGAGTCCTGTTTTGCTTAAGCCAATCTGCACATCCCATTCCAATGGCTACAGTGTTGGGTTCAGAGATGTACTATGTCCCAGGGCAGGTGAATCAGGCCAATGAAGCTAACTTCTGGAGCTTCAATTGAGTTGCTGAGGAAAATGGAGTCCTAGCAAGGAAGCATGTAAGATGCCTTAATGCCCATTTTGGTTCTACAGTGGGAGATCCAGAGGGAGAGAAAGAGAGACAGAGGGAGAAAGAGAGACAGACAGACAGAGAGAGAGAGAGAGGAAGAAGAAAGAGGAGGAAGTGAGGAGAAGAGAAGAGGTTGGCGGGAGAGAGAGACTGACTTAATCCAAATCTTAGTATTGGGGTCCCAGATCAAGTCTGATCTAAAGCTAGATATACCTCTAGACTGTTCAATTATATGAACTAACAGATTCCTTTTGGTGTAAGCCTGTTTGGATTGAGATTTTAATTCTTGCAACCCAAAGCATATGAACTGTGTGGTGTTTGGTGAGCTACTTTCCCTGTCTGAACCTCAGTTTCCTCATCTGCTGCACAAGAGGCTGGGCTGGCTAAGGTCATTTCCAGGTCTGAGATTCTGAAACTCTTTGGTTTTTGCCCCCATTTCTTTATAGTGCACCTGGTGTTTTACCTGATAAGAACAAAAAAAGGAAGTATGAGTTTAGACTTTCTCACCATATTGTAGACTGTGGTAGGAATGCATCAGGAAAGGCCACTCTGAGGAAAAGATTTTTTATTTAGGCCTGAAGAATGAGAGACAATGAGCATGGCAAAACATGATGGGTACATTCCAGGAAGTGGGAGAAGCCATTTGTAAATGGATGATTTGGGGACAGGTTGGCTTCGCTGCAAGTCATAATTGGAAAAGCAAGCATCTATCCAATCTAGAGGTGCACACACCCATTCCTCTCTCGCGTCTAACTTCATAAAGATTTTCATTTCCCTCATGTAAGCACCTTCTATTTCTATTGTGAATGCAAGTTCCTTGAGCATGGAAGTTGTGTCTTAATCAGCTCAGTGCCTCCACAGTGCCTAGCATGATGCTCTGCCAGCACACAGTGGGGATTCCAAGTGGCAGAACAGGGTGAGTAAGGTCTCAAAAGTGGTAGACAGCAAGACAAGCTTTGACAATGAAAAGGAGACCGAGCTGGCTGGAGTGAGGACTTAGTTGGGAGACAAGAGGAAAGGGGTCTACAAAATTATGTTTGGAGAGCACCTCAAATGCCAAGATAAGGTATTTAGGCCATAAGATACTTTTATAGAGGGCATTAAATAATAAGATAATCAGAGGACACATCTGTGCAACCAAAATGCATTCAGTCTCTTTAACAATCCAGGCCATTGACAGACCATTTGGCAATGGAGATTTGTGTGCGCTGAAAATACATTATGCTCTGGAAACAGCTTGGGAGGTTTCTGGCTTCTGTTTTTGGCAATCTTCCAAGAATAATCAATTATATATTTAGGCCCATTCCCCTCACTGGTGTGGACAACCACGGTACTGGTAAGAGGGCTAATTCATGGTAGGGATGTGGCACATTCAGACAGTTACTGGGGTGGACCCAGAGCAAGCCAAGCCAAACATTGCTTGGCTCCCCCGACCAAAGACACACATATACATGCATACATGTACACACATACACAAACACACATATACACACAAACACACACTGCATCTAGCATCTCTTATTATCCAAATGCTCATGGGGACCTGGAATCTGAACATACTGTGAACTACTCTATCAACTCAATGTTTCCACAATAACAAACTCATTCTTTTTCTTCCTCAACCCTAATCTTCTTCCTGACTTATGCATTTCTATTTCCCTTCTTTTTCTAATAAGACACCAACATCTTCTCAATCTTCCAGGCCTCAAAATTTAGTGTCATCTTAGACGCCACCTGCTGTCACTGCTCCCTCATCCAAACAGTCTCCAAGTCTTGCCAATTTCATGCTCATCATCTTGTGTTTACTCTGATAAGGGCTCTGATAATTTCACATTTGTAATTTCATTGAGACTTACCTGAATAAGTATTAAAATTGTTAGAGTAGCCTTCATTTTTGAAACAACCTGAAACTTACGCAAAGCTGTAAAAACAATACAAAGACTTATTTCCTCTTGAACCATTTAAGAGTAAGTTGCTAATATTATGCTCCATTACCTTCAAATAATTTAGTAACCACAGTAACCACAATACAACAATAAATTCAGGAAATTAAAATTGATACATTACTCCAGTCTAATCTATACTCTCCCAGTCCATGTCTTGACTTTTTTTGTTTCCCCAATTTTTCTTTAGAGTTAAAATACATACAACATAAAATTTACCATCTTAGATGTCTTTTCCTTTTAATAGAATTATTTAAAGAGCAGAAGTTTTAAATTTGATAAAGCCCAGTGTATCGAAACAATTTTTATGGATCATGCTTTTGGTATCACATGTAAAAAAATCTTTGTATAACCAAGGTCACAAAAATTTTCTTCTAGAATTTCTTGTAAAAGTTTCATAATTTTAGGTTTTACAATTTGGCCTATAATTCAATCAAAGACCTATGATTTATTCATTGAATTACCTTTTTACCTCTGTCAAAAATCAACTGATAGGGGTGAGATCAGCAAGATGGTGGACTAAGAAGCTCAACATCCTTATTCCCTTACAGAGATCCTGAAATAATAGCAATATTGGATGAAAATACATTTCTGAGTATTCTGGAAACCATTTGGGAAGCTACAGGACCCAGGGAAATGCACAACCAAGAAAAAAAAAAAAGCTGAAAAGTGAAGGAAAGTTGAAGGCATTTTGCTCACTCTAGCTTCTCTTCCCACTCGGTGCAGTGTAGCACCACTGGGAGGAAACCTCCCAATTACTGGCTCCTCCCTTGGGACAGGAAGAAAAGAGTGGAACTTGAATTCAACATTCTGGCTTATTGGGGGCCCCTTGAGGGACTGGTTCTGTTTCTCCTAACTTGGAGTGCTAATGGCAGCAGTTTAGATACCAAGGATAGATTAGATAACAGGTTGGAGGCCACAGTGAAAATAGAGGCAAACACTGCAGCATGTTAGCAGCAGGGAGTCTGCAGTTCCACTGACAGGCATTAGGGAAGCAAGAAATTATGGTCACAGGAATATAATAGAAATGGAAACCAAAAGCTCCTGAGAAGAAGCAGGGGCAAGCTTGTAAGGGAAAATAAGACAGCTAAAAGCAGCCATATATACTGGAATAAAAAACACACTCACAAGTACAAAGAAGACATATGACCAGAAAATGTTTGAGAGATCTCAGAGCCTCTAGCCAGACTCATTGGCGAACGTCTTTTTCTGCACAAAGCCAGCCTATAAAGACTGGGAGAGGTAGGTGTTTATTCAAATCCCCAAATATCAACAAAAGATCACAAGACTTACAAAGAAACAGGGAAACATGACTCAATCAAAGGAATGAAATAAATCTTTGGAAACAAACACTAAAGACATTCAGATATCTGAATTATCTGACAAAGCATTTAAAATAACTGTCAGTGGTTTTAGAGGTGTTCAGCCATATAAAAGAGAACATAGACAACGAGAAGAAATCAGGAAAAGGATGTATGATAGACTAGGAATATCAACAAAGAGGTAGAAACTATGAAGAAGAACTAAAGAGAAATTCTGAAGTGGAAAAATACAATAACTGAGTTGAAAAGTTCAATAGAAGAGCTCAATAGCAGACTTAGTCAAGCAGAAGAAAGAATCAGTGAACTTGAGGACAGGTCATTCGACATATTCTAGTCATAAGACCAAAAAAAAAAAAAAATCACAAAAACCACAAAAGAATGGAGAAAAGTGAAGAGAACCTAAGGGAGTTAAGGGATGCCACCAAGTGGACCAATACAGGCATTATGAGAGTTCCAGAAGGAGAAGAGAGAAAAAGGGGAGAAACTTATTTGAAAAAAAGATGGCTGAAAACTTCCCAAATTTGAGGAAATAAATGGATATGCAATTCCTTGTTATCCCAGCACTTTGGCAGGCTGAGGTTGGTGGATTGCTTGAGCCCAGGAGTTCAAGACCAGCCTGGGGAGGATTGTGAGACTCCATCTCTACAAAAAAACACAAAAATTAGCCAGGCATAGTGGTGTATGCCTGTGGTCCCAGCTACTTAGGAGGCTGAGTTGGGAAGATCACTTGAGCCCAGGGAGTTGAAGCTGCAGTGAGCTATGATTTCTCCCCTGCACTCCACCTAGGTAACAGAGTGAGACCCTACCTCAAAAAAGAAAAAAAAAAGAACAAATTCAGGAAGCTCAACAAATTCCAACTAGGATAAGTTGAGAGAGACCCACACTGAGACACATTCTAATCAAATTGCCACAGGTGAATCACAAAGAGAGAATCTTGAAAGCAGTAGCAAGAGAAAAGTGGCTTACAATGTACAAGGGAGCCTCTATAGGATTATCAAGTTATTTCTCAGCAGAAACCTTACAGACCAGAAGGCAGTGGGATTCAAACTGCTGGGAGAAATAACTTGTTGACTAAGAATAATTGATATGGCAAAACTGTCCTTCAAAAATGAAGGAGAAATTAAGGTTTCCCCCAATAAACAAAAGCTGAGGAAGTGTATTACCACTAAACCTGCCCTACAAGAAATGCTAATGAGTCTTCTAAGGTGAAATGAAAGGACACTAGACAGCAAGGTGAAGACATGTGAAAATATAAAGTTATCTAGTAGAGGTAAATATATGGACAAATATAGAAAACTGTATCATTGTAATTTTGGTGCATAAATCTACCTTAAATTCTTGCAGAGAAGGTAAATTATTGTATAGAATTTTAAAAACAAAAGCATAAAATAGCTATAAAATACATGAAATAAACTAAGATTAGAAGAAAACTACCTCAACATAATAAAAGCCATTTATGAAAAATTCACAGTGAACATGATACTCAATGGTAAAAGAGTGAAAGCTTTTCCTCTATGTTCAGGAACAAGGCCAGGATACCCACTTTTGCCACTTCTGTTCAATGTAGTTCTGGAAGTTCTATCCAGAGCAATGGGCAAGAAAAAGAAACAAAAGTCATCCAAACTGGAAAAGAAGAAGTAAAATTATCTCTGTTGACAGATGATATCTTATATGTAGAAAACTTTAAAGATTCCACAAAAAACCTGTTAGAACTAATAAACAAATTCAGTAAAGTAGTAGGATACAAAGTCAATACACAAAAATCGTTGCATTTCTATGTGTGAACAATGAACAATATGAAAAGGAAATTACAAGAATAATTCTATTTACAATAGCATAAAAACAATTGGGAATTAACCAGGGAGGTGAAAGATTTGCACATTATAAACTATAAAACAAGGTTGAAAGAAATGGAAGAAGACATAAAGGGAAATATATCATATGTTCAAGGATTGGACAACAATATTTTTAAGATGTTACTCTACTTCAGATAATCTACAGATTGAATGAAATCCCTATCAAAATCTCAATGACTTTTTTTTCAGAAATAGAAAAGTATATTCCAAAATTTTCATGAAACTTCAAGGGATTCTGGACAGCCATAACAATCCTAAGAAAAAAAATACAGCTAGAGGATTCATATTTCCTAGCTTCCAAACTTACTAAAAAATTATAGTAATTGGCCAGGTGTGGTGCCTCATACCTATAATCCCAGCAGGGAGGCTGAGGTGTGAAGATCACTTGAGCTCAAGAGTTCCAGATTAGCCTGAGCAACATGGCAAAACCCTGTCTCTACAAAAAAAAAAAAAGAAAGAAAAAAGAAAAAAATACAAGAATTAGCTGGGCATGGTGGTGTGTGCCTGTGTCCCTGCTACTCAGGAGGCTGAGGTAGGAGTATCACCTGAGCCCAGGGAGGTAGAGGATGCAGTGAGCCATGATTGTACCACCTCACTCCAGCCTAGGTGACAAAGTGAGACTCTGTTTCAAAAAAACAATAATAATCAAAACAGTGTGGTACTGGCATAATGACAGACATATAAGCCAATATAATAAAACAGAAAGCCCAGAAATAAACTGGCCAGATGATGATCAGGGTGCTGAGACCATTCAATGGGGAATAGTCTTTTCAACAAATTGTGCTGAGAAAACTGGTTATCTACACACAAAAGGATCAAGTTGGACCTTTACCTAACACCATACACAAACATTAACTCAAAATGGATGAAAGATCTAAATGTAAGACCTACAACTATAAGACTCTTAGGAGAAAACATAGGGCAAAATCTTTACATTTGATCTGGTCATGATTTCTTGGAAATGACCTCAAAGACACAGGTAATGAAAGAAAAAAATAGACAAATTAGGCTTCATGAAAGTTTTTAAAAATTGTGCATCAACAATGGTTGAACTAGTTTACAGTCCCACCAACAGTGTAAAAGTGTTCCTATTTCTCCACGTCCTCTCCAGCACCTGTTGTTTCCTGACTTTTTAATGATTGCCATTCTAACTGGTGTGAGATGGTATCTCATTGTGGTTTTGATTTGCATTTCTCTGATGGCCAGTGCTGGTGTGCATTTTTTCATGTGTTTTTTGTCTGCATAAATGTCTTCTTTTCAGAAGTGTCTGTTCATGTCCTTCGCCCACTTTTTGATGGGGTTGTTTGTTTTTTTCTTGTCAATTTGTTTGAGTTCATTGTAGATTCTGGATATTAGCCCTTTGTCAGATGAGTAGGTTGTGAAAATTTTCTCCCATTTTGTAGGTTACCTGTTCACTCTGATGGTAGTTTCTTTTGCTGTGCAGAAGCTCTTTAGTTTAATTAGATCCCATTGGTCAATTTTGGCTTTTGTTGCCATTGCTTTTGGTGTTTTAGACATGAAGTCCTTGCCCATGCCTATGTCCTGAATGGTAATGCCTAAATTTTCTTCTAGGGTTTTTATGGTGTTAGGTCTAACGTTTAAGTCTTTAATCCATCTTGAATTGATTTTTGTATAAGGTGTAAGGAAGGGATCCAGTTTCAGCTTTCTCCATACGGCTAGCCAGTTTTCCCAGCACCATTTACTAAATAGGGAATCCTTTCCCCATTGCTTGTTTTTCTCAGGTTTGTCAAAGATCAGATAGTTGTAGATATGCAGCGTTATTTCTGAGGGTTCTGTTCTGTTCCATTTATCTATAAGAAGTCAGTGTGGTGATTCCTCAGGGATCTAGAACTAGAAATACCATTTGACCCAGCCATCCCATTACTGGGTATATACCCAAAGGACTATAAATCGTGCTGCTATAAAGACACATGCACACGTATGTTTATTGTGGCACTATTCACAGTAGCAAAGACTTGGAACCAACCCAAATGTCCACCAATGATAGACTGGATTAAGAAAATGTGGCACATATACACCATGGAATACTATGCAGCCATAAAAAATGATGAGTTCATGTCCTTTGTAGGGACATGGATGAAATTGAAAATCATTATTCTCAGTAAACTATCGCAAGGAGAAAAAACCAAACACCGCATATTCTCACTCATAGGTGGGAATTGAACAATGAGAACACATGGACACAGGAAGGGGAACATCACACTCTGGGTACTGTTGTGGGGTGGGGAGAGGGGGGAAGGATAGCATTAGGAGATATATCTAATGCTAAATGATGAATTAATGGGTGCAGCACACCAGCATGGCACATGTATACATATGTAACTAACCTGCACATTGTGCATATGTACCCTAAAACTTAAAGTATAATAAAAAAAATTGTGCATCAAAATACAATATAAACAGAGTAAAAAATCAACCAATAGAATGGGAGAAAATGTTTGCAAATCATATATCTGATTGTCAGGCCTCGGAGCCCAAGCTAAGCCATCATATCCCCTGTGACCTGCACCTACACATCCAGATGGCCAGTTCCTGCCTTAACTGATGACATCCCATGACAAAAGAAGTGAAAATAGCCCGTCCCTGCCTTAACTGATGACATTATCTTGTGAAATTCCTTCTCCTGGCTCATCCTAGCTCAAAAGCTCCCCTACTGAACACCTTGTGACCCCCATCCCTGCCAGGCAGAGAACAACCCCCTTTGACTGTAATTTTCCTTTACCTACCCAAATCTTATAAAACGACCCCACCCCAACTCCCTTCACTGACTCTCTTTTCAGACTCAGCCCGCCTGCACCCAGGTGAAATAAACAGCCTTGTTGCTCACATAAAGCCTGTTTGGTGGTCTCTTCACATGGACGTGAGTGAAATGAAGTGAAATTTGGGCCGTGACTCAGATCGGGGGACCTCCCTTGGGAGATCAACCCCCTGTCCTCCTGCTCTTTACTCCATGAGAAAGATCCACCTACGACCTCGGGTCCTCAGAACAACCAGCCCAAGGAACATCTCACCAATTTTAAATCTGGTAAGCGGCCTCTCTTTACTCTCTTCTCCAACCTCTCTCACTATCCCTCAACCTCTTTCTCTTTTCAATCTTGGTGCCATACTTCAATCTTTCCTTTTTCTTAATTTCAGTTCCTTTCCTTTTCTGGTAGAGACAAAGGAGATACATTTTATCCGCGGACCCAAAACTCTGGTGCTGGTCACGGACTCAGAAAGACAGTTTCCTTTGGTGTTTAATGCCTGCCTGATTATTCACCCACGTTTCAGAGGTGTCTGACCATGCGAGGACACCTGCCTTGGTCCTTCACCCTTAGCAGCAAGTAGCACTTTTCTGGGGGGCAAGCACCCCATGACCCCTTCTCTCCGTGTCTCTACCCCTTCTCCACTTTTCTGGGGGCAAGCACCCCCCGACCCCTTCTCTCCATGTCTCTACTCTCTCTTTTCTCTGGGCTTGCCTTCTTCACTATGGGCAACCTTCCACCCTCCATTCCTCCTTCTTCTCCCTTAGCTTGTGTTCTCAAGAACTTAAAACCTCTTCAACTCTTGTGTGACCTAAAATCTAAGCATCTTATTTTTTTCTGCAACACTGCTTGACCCCAATACAAACTTGACAGTGGTTCCAAATAGCCAGAAAATGGCACTTTGGATTTTTCCATCCTACAAGATCTAAATAATTCTTGTCTTAAAATGGGCAAATTGTCTGAGGTGCCTGATGTCCAGGCATTCTTTTACACATCAGTCCCTCCCTAGTCTCTGTTCCCATGCAACTCATCCCAAATCTTCCTTCTTTCTCTCCTGTCTGTCCCCTCAGTCCCAAGCCCAAGCATCGCTGAGTCTTTCCTCTTTTGAATCTTCCTTTTCTATGGAACCATCCGACCTCTCCCCTCCTCCCCAGGCTGCTTATCACCAGGCCGAGCTAGGTCCCAATTTTTCCTCAGCCTCTGCTCCCCCACCCTATAATTCTTTTATCACCCCTTCTCCTCACACCCAGTCTGGGTCACAGTTTAATTCCACGACTAACCCTCCCCCACCTGCCCAGCAATTTCCTCTTAAAAAGGTGACTGGAGCTAAAGGCATAGTCAAGGTTAACACTCCTTTTTCTTTATCTGACCTCTCCCAAATCAGTTAGTGTTTAGGCTCTTTTTCATCAAATATAAAATCCCAGCCCAGTTCCTGGCTCATTGGGCAGCAACCCTGAGATGCTTTACAGCCCTAGACCCTAAAAGATCAAAAGGCCGTCTTATTCTCAATATATGTTTTATTACCCAATCTGCTCCTGACATTAAATAAAACTCCAAAAATTAAATTCCAGCCCTCAAACCCCACAACAGGACTTAAGTAACCTTGCCTTCATGGTGTATAGTAATAGACAAAAGGTAGCCAAGTAGCAATGTATTTCTGAGTTGCAATTCCTTGCCTCCACTGTGATACAAACCCCAGCCACATCTCCAGCACACAAGAACTTCGAAACACCTGAACAACAGTGGCCAGGTGTTCCTCCAGGAGCTTGCCACAAGTGCCAGAAATATGGCCACTGGGCCAAGGAATGCCCACAGCCCGGGATTCCTCCTAAGCTGTGTCCCATCTGTGTGGGACCCCACTGGAAATTAGACTGTCCAACTCACCCAGCAGCCACTCCTAGAGCCCTTGGAACTCTGGCCCAAGGCTCTCCGACTGACTCCTTTCCAGATCTTCTCAGCTTAGCTGCTGAAGACTGACACTGCCTGATCGCCTCGGAAGCCTACAGGACCATTAAAGACACCGAGCTTTAGGTAACTCTTACAGTGGAGGGTAAGTCCTTCCCCTTCTTAATCAATATGGAGGCTACCCACTCCACATTACCTTCTTTTCAAGGGCCTGTTTCCCTTGCTTCCATAACTGTTGTGGGTATTGATGGCCAGGCTTCTAAACCCCTTAAAACTCCCCAACTCTAGTGCCAACTTGGACAATATTCTTTTATGCACTCCTTTTCAGTTATCCCAACCTGTCCAGTTCCCTTATTAGGTCTAGGCATTTTAACTAAATTAGCTGCTTCCCTGACTATTCCAAGGCTACAGCCACACCTCATTGCCGCCCTTTTCCCCAGTTCAAAGCCTCCTTCACATCCTTCCCTTGTATCTCCCCACCTTAATCCACAAGTATAGTACAACTCTACTCTCTCCTTGGTGACTGATCATACACCCCTTACCATCCCATTAAAACCAAATCACCCTTACCCCACTCAATGCCAATATTCCATCCCACAGCATGCTTTAAAAGGATTAAAGCCTGTTATCCATCACCTGTTACAGTATGGCCTTTTAAAGCCTATAAACTCTCCTTACAATTCCCCCATTTTACCTGTTCAAAAACCAGACAAGCCTTACAGCTTAGTTCAGGATCTGTGCCTTATCAACCAAATTGTTTTGCCTATCTACCCTGTAGTGTCAAACCCATATACTCTCCTATCCTCAATACCTCCCTCCACAACCCATTATTCTGTTCTGGATCTCAAACATGCTTTCTTTACTATTCCTTTGCACCCTTTATCCCAGCCTTTCTTCACTTTCACTTGGACTGACCCTGACACCCATCAGGCTCAGCAAATTACCTGGGCTGTACTGCCTCAAGGCTTCACAGACAGCCCCCATTACTTCAGTCAAGCCCAGATTTCTTCCTCATCTGTTACCTATCTCGGCATAATTCTCATGAAAACACAAGTGCTCTCCTGCTGATCATGTCCAGCTAATCTCCCAAACCCAAATCCCTTCTACAAAACAACTCCTTTCCTCCCTAGGCATGGTTAGGTACTTCTGCCTAGGTACCTAGGTACCTAGGATACCTAGTTTTACCATCCTGACTAAACCATTATATAAACTCACAAAAGCAAACCTAGCTGACCCCACAGAGCCTAAATCCTAGCTGACCCCACAGAGCCTAAATCCTTTCCCCACTCCCCTTTCTGTTCCTTAAAAACAGCCCTAAAAGCTGCTCCCACACTAGATCTCCCTAACTCATCCCAACCTTTTTCATTACACACAGCCGAAGTGCAGGGCTGTGTGGTTGCAATTCTTACACAAGGACCAGGACCACGCCCTATAGCCTTTCTGTCCAAACAACTTGACCTTACTCTTTTAGCCTAGCCCTCATGTCTGCGTGCAGTGGCTGCCACTGTTTTAATACTTTTAGAGACCCTCAAAATCACAAACTATGCTCAACTCACTCTGTACATTTCTCATAACTTCCAAAATCTATTTTCTTCCTCCCACCTGATGCATATACTTTCTGCTCCCCGGCTCCTTCAGCTATACTCACTCTTTGTTAAGTCTCCCACAATTACCATTGTTCCGGACTTCAATCCAGCCTCCCACATTATTCCTGATACCACACCTGACCCCCACGACTGTATCTTTCTGATCCACCTGACATTCACTCCATTTCCCCATATTTCCTTCTTTCCTGTTCCTCACCCTGAACACACTTGGTTTATTGATGGCAGTTCCACTAGGCCTAATCGCCACTCACCAGCAAAGGCAGGCTATGCTATAGTATCTTCCACACCTATCATTGAGGCTACCACTCTGCCCCCTCCACTACCTCTCAGCAAGCTGAACTATTGCCTTAACTCAGGCCCTCACTCTTGCAAAGGGACTACACATCAATATTTATACTGACTCTAAATATGTCTTCCATGTCCTGCACCACCATGCTCTTATATGGGCTGAAAGAGGTTTCCTGTCTATGCAAGGGTCCTCCATCATTAATGCCTCTTTAATAAAAATGCTTCTCAAAACTGCTTTACTTCCAAAGGAAGCTGGAGTCATTTGTTGCAAAGGCCATCAAAAGGCATCAGATTCCATGGCTCAGGACAATGCTTATGCTGATAAGTTAGCTAAAAAAGCAGCTAGCATTCCAACTTCTATCACTCACGGCAGTTTTCCTCCTTCTCATCTGGCCACTCCCACCTACTCCCCGACTAAAACTTCCACCTATCAATCTCTTCCCACACAAGGCAAATAGTTCTTAGACCATGGAAAATATCTCCTTCCAGCCTCACAGGCCCATTCTATCCTGTCATCATTTCATAACCTCTTCCATGTAGGTTACAAGCTGCTAGCCCACCTCTTAGAAGCTCTCATTTCCTTTCCATCGTGGAAATCTATCCTTAAGGAAATCACTTCTCAGTGTTCCATCTGCTATTCTACTACTCCTCAGGGATTGTTCAGGCACCCCCCCCACCCTTCCCTACACATCAAACTCAGGGATTTGCCCCTGCTCAGGACTGGCAAATTGACTTTACTCACATGCCTCGAGTCAGGAAACTAAAATACCTCTTGGTCTGGGTAGACACTTTCACTGGATGGGTAGAGGCCTTTCCCACAGGGTCTGAGAAGGCCACTGCAGTCATTTCTTCCCATCTGTCAGATATAATTCCTCGGTTTGGCCTTCCTACCTCTATACAGTCTGATAACGGACCAGCCTTTATTAGTCAACTCACCCAAGCAGTTTCTCAGGCTCTTGGTACTCAGTGAACTAATGGTCTTTTAAAAACACACCTCACCAAGCTCAGCCACCAACTTAAAAAGGACTGGACAATACTCTTAACACTTTCCCTTCTGAGAATTTGGGCCTGTCCTTGGAATGCTACAGGGTACAGCCCATTTGAGCTCCTGTGTAGACCCTCCTTTTTCTTAGGGCCCAGTCTCATTCCAGACACCAGGTCAATTTGGACTGTGCCCCAAAAAACTTGTCATCTCTACTATCTTCTGTCTAGTCATACTCCTATTCACCATTCTCAACTACTCATAAATGCCCTGCCCTTGTTTACACTGCCAGTTTACACTGTTTCTCCAAGCCATCACAGCTGATATCTCCTGGTGCTATCCCCAAACCACCACTCTCAACTCTTAAATAAATAATCTTTGCTGGCAGGGCTATGCTGAACTTCCTTAGGCACTCTCTAATTGGATGTCCTAGGTCCTCCCAATTCTTAGTCCTTTAATACCTGTTTTTCTCCTTCTCTTATTCCGTTTAGTTTTTCAATTCATACAAAACCATATCCAGGCCATCACCAATAATTCTATATGACAAATGCTCCTTCCAACAACCCCACAATATCACCCCTTACCACAAAATCTTCCTTCAGCTTAATCTCTCCCACTCTAGGTTCCCATCCCACCCCTAATCCCACTCAAAGCAGCTCTGAGAAACATCGCCCGTTATCTCTCCATACCATCCCCCCAAATTTTTGCTGCCCCAACACTTTACCACTGTTTCATTTTATTTTTCTTATTAATATAAGAAGACACTGATAATGGATTAATATCCATAATATATAGTAAACTCCTAAAACTCAACACCAAAAAAGGAAACAACATAATTCAGCAATGTTCAAAGGACTTGAATATACATTGAATCTCCAAAGATTTACAGATGGCCAATAAGCACATGAAACGATGCCCAATATCACTGAATTACTGATCATTAGGGAACCGCAAAGAAAAACTACCATGTGATACCACCTCCCACCGATTAGAATGGCTGCTATTAAAAAAAAAAAAAAAAGAAACCACAGAAAACAAGTGTTAGTGAGGATATGGAGAAATAGGAACCCTTGTGCACTGCTGCTGGGAATGTAAAATGGCACAGCTGCTATGGAAAACAGTATGAAACTTCCTCAAGAAAATTAAAAATAGAATTACCATATGATTCAGCAATTCCACTTCTGGATATATATCCACAAGAATTGAAAGCAAGGTCTTGAAGAGATCTTTGCACACCCATGTTCATAGCAGCATGATTCCCAATAGCCCAAAGGTGGAAGCAATCCCAATGTCCATTGACAGATGAATGGATACACACATATATACATATTTATTAATTTGTTAGTGCCACCATAACCAAATATCACAAACTGGGTGGCTTAAACAACAGAAATTTATTCTCTTACAGCTGCGGATGCTACAAGTCCAAGATCAAGGTGTGGCAGGGTTGGGTTATCTGAGGCCTTTCTCCGTGGCTGGCAGGGGACTGCCTTCCTGCCATGTCCTTCCATTCATCCCTTCTCTGTGTAAGTGCCTCCCTGGTGTCTCTTCCTCTTCCTATAGAGACAGTAGTCCTATTAGGTTAGGGCTCTACACTTACGACTTCATGTAACCCTAATTACCTCTTTAAAGGCCCTATTTCCAAATATAGTTATATTGGGGGTTAACTAAGGCTTCTACACTTGGGTAAGGGCACAATTCAATCTATAACAACTTGTAATAGAATATCATTCAGCCTTAAGAGGAAGGAAGTCTGTTACCTGCAAAAATATGGATTAACCTTGAGGACATTATCACCAAGTCTACACCAAAGACTCCCATCATGTGATTTTTAAAAACTGTTGTTCCCTCTCCTGCCAGCCAGAGCACCCACCCCTTCTGCCTGCATCTTCCTGTCACATACCTCTGAGCCTTTGTACACTGCTATTTTCTCTCCTGGAATGTCTTCTCTTCGCTCCCCTCATCAGAGCAAATCTTGTTCACCCTTCTAAGCCCAGCCAAAGTGCTGTCTTTGAAGTTCCTATTCCTGAAGTAGAGCTCATGTCTCTTCTGTGTTCCTCCAGTTCTTTGTACAACATGCTAGATCACAACTCTCTCTCTTTCAGCCTCCTCCACCAAACCGTAAGCTCTCAAAGGCACAGAGTCTCTCCTCTCTCCTCATTCATGCCTTGTACAATGACCATACATGGTAGATACCAATGTTTGTTGAGTGAATGCAGGCGCAGGTAGGCAAACAATGGTAAGGGAATTAAGACTAGCATGGCTCAATCATATTTGGTTACCTTGTCCATTCAAAGTGTGGTGGCAAAGTGTGGTACGTGTATCAATAGTGGCCCACAGGATGACTTTAGGTAGCACCTGGATGAACCCATTTTTACATAGTTATGTAACCGCCCAATGTGTTAATTTTGCCTGCTGGTCAGGCAGAGCTGACTTATCAAGATGGGGGAATTGCATTAGAGTAAGAGTTTAATTCAAGAAGAGCCAGCTGAATGGGAGACTGGAATTTTATTACTCAAATCAGTCTCCCTGAACATGTGGAGACTAGGGTTTTTCAAGGATAGTTTGGCAGGCCAGAGAATGGGTGCTGTTGATTGGTTGAGGATGCCATCATAGGGGTGTGGAAAGTGATCCTCCTGCATGCTCAGTCTGCTTCTGAGTGGGACCACCGGACCCCTTGGTAGGTCCAGGTGGAGCCATCTGTCATCAGAAATGAAAAAACCTGAAAAGACATCTTAAGAGGCTAATCTTATGTTCTACAAGAGTGATTTATCTGCAGGAATAATTGGGAAAGTTGCAAATCTTGTGAACCCCAGCATAATGACTGGTAATCCTTTACATGTTAGCAGAATTCAGGCTCATGTCATCCTCCTGACCTGGTGGTCTTTCATTAGCCTTACAAAAGTGGTAGAGTTTCGGGGAAGGGATATTACCATTTGAAGTATAAACTAAATGTCTCCCAGAGTTAACTTGGACTAGGCCCAGGAATAATTAGGGCAGTTTGGAGGTTAAAGGCAAGATGGAAGTGAGTTAGATCAGATCTCATTCATTGTCATAATTTTCTCACTGTTATAATTTTTCCAAAGGTGGTTTCAGTTATAAGCTCACATTAACGTGTTCTAGAAAAGATATAACTACATCTGAAACCTGCAATTTCATGGATCTCATTGCTTCTTGAAGGAAATAAAGATATTTTACTCCAAAATCTATTTATTTGACATATTTTGAAATGGCTGCCACAGAGCCAACAGACAGAAGTGGCTTGCAAAGCTGTCTTTTGTGGGGGAAATTTGCATCTGTAGAGAATCTCCATGGATGCAGCCAGGCCTTCCGTTTCTAGGCCTTTCCTGGATCTATGGGAGATTGAGAGTCTGACCCTTTAAATGTCAGAAAAGGGACATTTACCATATGTTCTCTTTAGGGCTGCCACCCAAGAGGCTTACTCTACATAATGAGACCCCCTTTGGTAGCCAGGCCCCTTCCTCTCCCCTTCTCATAACCTGCCTTGGCACTAAACTTGATCTACCAACCTAACCTGTTTTGGGCCATGCTCTGAGCATGCATTATTTCTATAACCTCGAGATGCTATGCAAGCTTTGGAACCTAACCAGGGAATTACATCATCATTCTCAAGGTTCCTGTGTATACATATTACACACATTTGTCTGCCTTTTGTGAGTTGATTTTTCAGCAGAACTTCAGAGGGTCAAGGGGAAAGCTCTTCCTTGGCCCTCAGTTCTCATGAGGCTAAGTAAGAAGAAGTCAATTTAACTAAAACCGAGTAAGTAATGCTACAGGTGGCTCACAGGCATGGCAAAAATCTGAAATGTTGGAAGAAGGAGAAACATGGGGCTAGTCTTTAGTCTCATTTTTAGGCAGAAGTATAGACTGATGTTCCCAATGACATTTGGAGAATGGTATTTTCCATGATTCATTCTTCTTTTCAATCTTCACTAGCAGGAAGCAGTGGCGTGAGCTGGGGAGGGGAAGTAAAGGCGTCCTTAATCGTGTCTCCACCTGCCTTCCAAGATGCTGCCTTCGATTTTGTTTTGAGTAAGGGATGATAAGCCATCCTCTTAGAGAGCATCAGCTCATTCCTTTCATAGCCAAGCTCATCAGCATTTCTGGTGATTGTGTATTGTGGTATCTGCAAACAAGTGATGTATATTCTGCAGGCTTTTCAACCAGGATATTTGTAAGATACATGTTAAAAAGATGGGTCTTGGTTTGCTTCCAAGTCACAAAAATGTGAATCCTCTTTAAAAATGGTATTTGCACCTAAAGCTGACCTATGGAATGGAGTGGAGGTGGGCAGGTGGTAACCAGGAGGTGGCAAGGGGAGGAAGAGCCAGATGGGGGGAGGTGGTAGTAGTATTTTTTATATTACAGGAAGATGTTTTGCCTTACAAAAGGATTAATCACAGGGTTCCTTTTAAGCAGAAAGTTTCATGCATTTTAAAAGATGATTTGATTTACAAGAAACTTTTCAGGAACACAGCTGCTGGGCAAAGCAAGCTATTTACACTGACTTGAAATCCATTTTATGAGCCAGGAGTCTGGGGTGTCAGGGGGAGTGATAAAACTCCTTTAGGTTTTAATTGACAAGTGATATTGACTAGCACAGTTAGGAGCCCAGGTATTGGGCCTGGTCCAGCGTGTTCCCATAGTAAATATGCGTGAATGTGCTGAGTGCTTGAGTATTGATTCATTTATTTACCTGTTTGGCTGTTGCTGTGAAAGGCTTTGTATTTTGCAGCTTTGGAGCCAAGCTGCCTTTCACAGAAGGCTGTGTTAGAATGTACTAGATTGTTCAGCATGAATCATCTGGCTCGATGGCCTATGGGGAGGGAGCTTGGCCTCGTACATCACTGCAAGACAGAGACTCAAAGACATCTGTGGAGGGGAGGCACACAGGGGGTTAGGGAGCCACAGGAATGAGGAGATGAGATCTTTTTCTCAAAAACAAGCCTTAGGGTTGCTTTAAAGCCCCCTTTTCCCTTTTATTCAGACTGCTAATAGCTACCTCCCTCCCAATTGTCCCACCCCATTGAGTCTTTATTATCTCCTCTCTCTTGCAGAAATTCCACCGGAGCCCCAGGGTCCTTAAGTGATTCCCCATTTCCCTGCTCCCTGCTGCAGAGACACAATAACAAAGCATCAGGTTGAGAGCCTCCAGAAAGAGAGACCCTCCTACTGCTGAGCCTCAAATCTCTACCAGGCAAAGAAAACAACAACAGGCTTTTGTGCCACAGGTTCTAAGACCCACCCTGAACACCATCCTTGAGCCAGCAAAGTAAGGGTATCATACATAGAAAAGAGCTGCTTTTCCTCATAGGGTAAAGATGTTAGAAGCTCAATCATTGCCAATGGCAGATGTTTACTGAGTGTCAGAAAGAGAGGTGGGCATTTTTTGGGCATTGTAGTAGTGGAGTAGTACCCCCACTGAGTCCAAGCCCAGGGAGGGCACCGTGTCTGAGAGGCTGAAGAAAAGACCCAGAGACAGCGAGCAAGACATAAGTTTTATTGGGCAACTTAAACGTACAGGGAGTCCAGGAGTGGCTGGATGAATGGGGTAACCACTATGGTTTCTAAAAAGCACCCAGTTAATATAGCAATCTTTGCTTAGCAACCTCCACCTGGCCACCTCTTCCTGGCGACCTCTACCTGGCCACCTCCACCTAGCTCAAAACAAAGGGCCTTGGTTCCCCGCACATGCTGTTCCAAGAAATGGGCCAGGGGTTCACCTATGCTCCATAGATAAGGAGTAAACCTCTGGGTTGGCAGCTCCCAGATTCCTTAGTTCAGAGCTCAGAACCAACATTCTTGGACTACAGGATCATTCTCAGCTATACCTGAGTTATTGTCAGGCACACCTGTCATATGGTAGTTTGCACATAAGGAAAAAAACCCATGGAGATGGACTTTGGGTAGCTTACAATCTAAAAGGAGAGAAGGACAGAAAGCATGCCTGTTACTGTGCCTAGAGGGCTGTGGAACTGCTCTGATGACACCTGCTTCCCCTCCTTGGCCCATGTGACTCCCTTTCACCCAATGACACATGAAAAGCCTGATACGTTGTGTGCTTTGCTGGGCTTTCTCCTTTCCTTCCGGCAATGTCCAGGGGCTCTGTTCACTGGGCCCTGGAAGAGAACAACAAAGAGGACAGTGTCAATGGCGATGCAGGCACAAAGCCCCCAGCTCATCTGTGGTTCCTATATCGTGTAAGCAAGAGATAAACCTCTGTAGTTTTAAGCCCCAAGATTTTAGTGATGTTTGCTACCACAGCATACACTAGCCCCTGACTGATAAATTTCGGATCAGTTCTGAGTTGCTGCAGAGATTAACCTTAAATTGATCTTAGCTGACCAATGTTAACTTATCTTCATTTTAGAGTATCTGAAAAATACTTAGAAAATCAATATAAAAACATAGAATTTGGGGGAATGAAAGAACCTTTGAAATTTGTCCAACCTAGGCATTCTACTATTGACATTCTGCTGTATTTTCTTGTTCACATACATCTCCACCTGTCATCCCTCTGTTCTTCCATTAATCTACCTTGGATTGTGCATTTCAAATATGTTCCCATTGTAGCATTTAAAAATGATTATAATTCATATTACTGATTTTGGCCTGGGTTAGACAGTTGTTACTTACTGTTGATTTCATTAGTTGTAAAGCTCAAATGAGATGAGTATTTGAAAAGTTAAAAACAGCTCTCAAATATGATTATCTGATGAGTGTTTATTGAGAATGTTAGTGACTGGCAGTTTTTTGTAAGAGCTTGAGTCTGGACACAAAGATCAGTCACTGTCCTTGGATTGGACTTATATGGGCACTTCACTTTAGTGGCAAAGTTTAGGTTTCATTTTACCGATAACAGTAATTTTAATATAGCTGTCAAGATCACCAGTGACAATCATTATAATAGACATATTCACAGACACAAGGGTTCATGGACCTCAGCACAGTTGCTTGTGCCTGTGGGAAAATCACTTGAGCTCAGGAGTTGGAGGCTGCAGGGAGCTATGATCACGCCACTGCACTCCAGCCGGGGCGACAGAGTGAGACCCTGTTCCCCTGCACCCCCGCCCCCTGCCAAAAAAAAACCCACAAAACTCTTTAATTTGCCTCTTAGTTCTCTCCAGACCTCCAAGGCATTTAATCTTAAGTCGTAGAGTAGATACATACTTTCTAGAACAGCTGTTCTCACACACACAATCTCCCATTAGCATGAATACAGCTAACATGACGTGCAACAGAGACGGAAAAATGTAGTTTTGAAAAAGATGACATGGGATGGAGTGAGCTCTCCCCTGCTCTGAGTCCTCAAATGCCTTTTGTGCTTTTAGAACCAGTTTTGGGGAAGTGAGGAGAAAAACTCTGTCTGCCAGGGCTGAAGAGCACAGGCAGCCTCAGAACCAAGGGGCAGAAGAGATGTCATGCTGGTCGGTAGTATCCATGGCAACTCGAGTGTCTGGTGGAGTTAATCACCCCGTTTTTCAGATCTCTGCTGCTCTCCTTTGATAGGGGAAAAGGGCCGGGCTTGGCTCCTTTTTCATTTTCATGAATGCCCCAGTTGATGCATCGTGTCAGAGGCACCAGACCCTTCTGACTCAATGGGACGAGTCAGGCCTGAATGGGACCGGGCATCTGTGAGGGCTTTGGGCAGCCTGTGGGGTTTCCCACGAGACACAGAGCAGTGTTTGCTGCAGACAGCCTCCTCCTAACAGAAAGAAAACTATCTCCTCTTGCTACACCTCACATCAAGTTTGCCTTGGTGTTGCCGCATCTCCTCACCCCATCTTCCTTTCTTGGCATCTAAGTTGATGGCCATGAAATGCTCTGAGAGGTTTAGGCTCTGGGGTTGGACGATCTATACTGAAATTCCAGCTTGGCTGCTCAAAACTTATTTATTCTTCTTGTGCTCAGTTTCCTCACCTCTGAAAATACATTTTTTTCATTAAACACTTTTTTTTGGAGAGGTAGGGTCTTGCTGTGTTGCCCAGGCTGGTCTCAAACTCCTGGCCTGAAGTGATCCTCCTTCCTGGACCTCCCCAAATGCTAGGATTATAGTTGTGAACCACCATGCCCTGCCCAGTTTCCTCATCTCTAAAAATCACAGGAGTGCCAACCGGTTAAGACAAGCTGTGTTTAGAACGGCACCTGGGGTGTGTTTTAATGGTGCTGCACGTGCTGCTGCTAAGGGGTTCACTGAGGGCTGAGGCATGCCTGTGGTGGGGGGTGGCGAGGGCAGGGCTATGATCAATGCTGGGTGGTAGGTGAGGTTGACATAGGAAGATGAACCGATGATTCTGTGACTGGAAATAGCTCAAGCTTATCAATTCCTCCCTAATTCTGCCCCAGCCTGCAAACCCCGCTCATTTTCCAGGCTTCCCCATCTCAGCAAATGACAAAAATTGGGCTTCTGCTGTGATTATAGTTCTAGGCACTTGGATCAGTTAACGGAACAGTCAAAACATCCTCACCTCCATGAACCTAGAAGGGGAAGACAAGAAGAAAAACATAGCAAACAAGTAACGTACATAGGATTGTCAATGTTCTCCAGGCAAGGGCCACCAGGAGCACAGGTGCCGCTGCACGCTGCAATGACTGCAATGAGGGAGGCAGCCTCAGGTCCCCTGGTATGTGATCTCCTTCACTGCAACAGTGAGACCCTGTCCTCTCCACCCCCCCAACCCCCCCCCCCAAAAAAAACAACCCAGCTGCGTATGTGTTCCTGGTGGGTTTTGGCTAGAGGGCATGGACAATATGTTAGGAGATAAGGGTTATAGAAAAAGCAAAGCAAGATACAAAAAAGGGGGAGATTAGGAGTACCGTGGGGAGCAATTTTGAGTAAAAAGTAGGTGGTCATCGTAAGTCTCCCTGGGAAGGTAAAATCTGAGCAAAGATGTAAAGGTGATGAGGGAAGAAGAGAGAGCATTCCTTCTAGAGGCTCAGCCAGGGTGGAGCTGAATGGAGTCTTCCTACCTGGTGCAGTAAAGCCAAACGTCCACACTCAGGGTTTGCAGTGAGAGAAAGAGGGGCATTCATTTGCAAGACGCCAAGCAAGGATAATCAGGCAGCTCACACTTAAGACCTGACCTCCCTGATGGCTTGCATGCAAGGGTTTTTTCAGGCAGGGAAAAATTTCAGGAAAGCAGAAGTTACAGGTAAAATCATAAATCAGCACATGGGGGTTACACATTGGTGTGGCCTAAAAAGGTGGGATATCTGAAGTCATGGGGCTAAAAGGTCATAGGTGGGTTCAGACTCTGATTTGTGATTGGTTAAGGAAGCGAAGTTTTTTCTAAAATCTTGGGGTCGGCAGAAAGGAATGGTAAGATCTGACCCGTGGGCGTGACTTCCTCCAGGCCCCTCAGGAAGAAATTGAGAACAAAGATCAGGTGGTCAGAGCTTTGTCTTGGTTTCCCCTGGTCTGAGGTCTGTGTGCCAGCGGATCCATTTGGTGGGGATCTATCTGCATTTCTCCTCACTTCTCAGGTGGCTCCTTTACTCCTCAAGGCTAGCTGGGTGCCTGGACTCTCCCGTGAAAGAACTAAATATTTTTCCTTTATTTTCATACTTGGGCAGTGAGGGTGGGGGTGAGGGGTGCAGCAGGCCCTAAGAGGGGTCCCTGTTCCATCTCAGCCCTAAGCGGGAAGCCTGTCATTCCAGGAACAGCCAGGCCACTGTGGCTGGGGTCATCTCATTTAGTGGGGTGGTGAGTGGGGTTGCCTAAAATGAGCAGGGAGGTAATGGCCGGGTCACTCAGGGCCTTGTGAAAACTTCGGCTTTTATGCAGAGGTAAACAGGGAGCCATTGAAGGGTGCTGAGCAGAGGCGCGGTGTGATCCGATGGACGTTTTAACAGGATTGCTTTGCCTACAGAGTTGAGAGAAACTGTGGCGGGCCAAAGGACCAGCTGGGAGGTTACTGCATGGAACCTCCTGTCTCTCTTCATTTCCTCCCCCTCACAGCTGCCCAGGGCCCTCGGAATGAAAAACAAACCCCTTCACGCGGTGGGTGAGGTCCCGCCTGACCTGGCCCCATCTAAGCCCACGCTATTCTTTGTCCTCCTTTCTCTCCTGTCCCCAAGGCACGTTGTTCGTGCAGCCACACTGAATTTGTTTTGTAAACACATGGAGATGGCACATCCTCCCGGAACTCCCAAATCCAGTATTATCCCTGGGACATGCTGCCATCCTTCCGAAAACACCGCGGCCACCTTTCCATTGTGTGGTATATGGTCACTTATTCTCTTCACTTCCCCAACCCCAGCACACAAACGCACACACACACACAACCCCAGCACACACACCTCCAAGACACACACACAACCCCAACACACACACAACCCAACACACACCTCCAACACACACACACACCTCCAACGCACATACACAAACACAACACACACAACCCCAACACACACCTCCAACGTGCACACACACAACCCCAACACACGCACCTCCAACGCACACACACCTCCAACCCGCATAAACAACTCCAACACACACACCTCCAACGCGCACAAACACAACCCTGACACACACCTCCAACGCACACACACAACCCCAACACACACACACCTCCAATGCACACACACACAACTCCAACGCACACACCTCCAACGCACACACACAACCCCAACACACACACACCTCCAATGCGCACACACACAACCCCAACACACGCACCTCCAGTGCACACATGCACAACCCCAACACACACACACAACCCCAACACATGCACCTCCAACGCACACAATCCCAACACACACACCTCCAACGCACACACACCACCCCAACGCACACACCCCTCCAATGCACACACACACAACCCCAATACACATGCACCCCCCAACACACACACACAGAATCCCAACACACACACACTCAGCACACACACACCACCTTAACGTACACATGCCTCCAGTGCACACACACGCACAGCCCCAACACATACACACAACTCCAACACACACACACCTCCAGCACACACATACATCCAGCACACACACAACCCCAACACACGCAATCTTGACACACACATCCCAAAACACACACAACCTCAACACAAACCCAACATACACACACCACACACATACCCAACACACACACACACAACCATAACACACATACACATCCCAACACACACCACATACACCACACAGAATCCCAACATACACACAAACAAGCCCAGCACAATCTCAACACACACATACCCAGCACACACACACAACACACATGCACACCTCCAACAGAATTCCAACACACACACACCCAGCACACACATACCCAGCACACACACATCCAACACACACACACAACCCCAACATACACACACACAGAATTTCAACACAGACACACACACACACCCCTGACTGTAACTCTCTACAGTCTGCCTTGTTGAGTGTTGTAACTTAGTGCCAAGCACTATGCCTGGGGTATAATAGATGCTCACTAATTATTTTTAACTAATGAATGCATACAAGGCACCAGGCCAGCACTTTACACACTATTTCTAAATTTCACAAAAAACTTGGGAGACTTGTACATGATCCTTATGCTACAAAGGATGAGATGGATGCTGAGAGGCCTTGTCTGCAGTCAGTCATCAACCTCTGTGAGCTTCAGGCTCTTCCTTGGAGAGTCAGGATAGGGATGTCAACCTTCAAAGTGGGGCTGGAGGAAGCACCAGATGTGCTGGGCACATGGTTGTTTCTTCCCTGCCCTCCCTTCGTGTACCTTACTGGCCCCAGCCCAAGGAGGGCAACACAGAACTCTGGGACCCAGAATCAGCTGGGGACAATCCCCTGTTCTGAGAGGAGGCTGGCTCAGGAGCAGCCAGGGTGGCAGGTGTTAAAGATGGTGGGAGGAGCAGCGAGAGGCCCTGACCCCTGCAGGATGGGTCAAGATGCCCACCAGGGTGGTGGAGGATACAATCACATTCATGGGGAGCACGAGGTATGCCTGAGTCTGGAGCACAGCTTCCCAGCCCCAGGCCCACTTGGAGGTCCCTAGGGCCCAGTGGGCACTAGTGCACCTCTGGACCCATGAGCTTCTGTGTGTGTTGGGGTTGTGTGTGTGTGTGCGCGTGTTCAGAGGCCCCAGTGGGCTGGTGAGGCCGCTGCAGAATCCAGTCCAGCTGGTCTTTTATCTTGCCTGTTCTCCATTATGTGACCTCCTGACATACTGCCTCTGCGGGCAGGGCTACCCAAACACTAGGTGGACATTCTGCCTGTAGCTTTTCCCATGCTTATCGCTCACCTTGGCAAATCCCTTCCCCACAGTGCTCCACTCTACCAATAATAATCCACCCTACATGTGAAGAAACTTTGATATTTAAAACCCTACTCCTCCTTTAAGGCTGGGGCCTCTTTCTCATTTCCCCTTCTCCACCCAGGGGAGCTCATTGCTCCTCTCTCTGCATGCTCATCGCCTCTTTTTTGTGCTGTTTCACACTGCATTTGTGCTGCTCACTCAGCAGGTAAAGTCAATGAGTAAGGCAGCCTTGGTGTAAGGCAATAAGGAATGAAAGGGACTAGGGCAAACCGGAGAGCACACGCCCCACCCCAAAGCAGCAGCCAGTCATCTTGTCAGTTCCTACTGACCTTTGCCATGTAAGAATCTGGCCTCAATGCTGCCACATTTGATATATTTAGAAGAAACCGGAAACATGGCTTTGAATGTGAAATACTAGTCCTATCTTTTCAGTATTGGTAACAAATCCAATTCAGAAAAAAATATAGGGACCAAGCAAACTTGGTCTGTGACCCCCTTTTTATTTTTATCTTACCTAGATGGTAGACTTTTTGAGAGTGAGTCAAACAGGTAGGGCAGAAGTTGCAAATGATGACTTATTCCTCTTTGGAAAGGTTCTACTACCCAGAATTACCAGATGAGCCATGTGTCTCTCAAGAGACCAGGGTCCTACTATTTATTACCAGGTGGGTTTCCAGAAGGGGTCCATATGGGGCTTGAGGAAGCTAGTGCCTGGAGTGCTGAAATGTCCCAGGAATCTTCCAGTCATAACCTGTGACTGCACAGAGCAGTGCCTAATTAATGTCTATGGAATGAATGCACATTTTATGAGACAGCTCACTTATTCTGCAGCTGCAGGGAGATGGGCCATTTTGGCACTCTGATAGGGAGTCCTGGAGAACTGAGCCAAAATTTTAGTTTCTCCATTTGGGGGATGTGAACTTGGGCAAGTTATTTAACGTCTCTAATCCTGTTCCGTCACTTGAAAAATGGGGATAGTAAATAGATATCTTTCATTTTGTTGTGAGATGAGCGATAATATAGTTAAAGACTTGGCACATAGTAGTCAATAACAGCTATTAACATGGGGATCATGTAAGGATATACCCCTAGCCACAGAGGTTGGGTCCTGGATAGGCATGAGACACGGGTAGGGCCACTCAGAGACATGGCCATCCTTTGCTAAGATTTTTGCTGGAAATATTAGTAAAGCAAACCTCACTCTCCTGGGGAGGCTAAACTGGTAAGATGTAGGTAAGATGTTAAGATGTAGGTAATAAAATCGTTATATATACACACATATATATATATGTCCAGCTATACATATATATATATATGTCCAGCTATATATATATATGTCAGCTATATATATATATGTCAGCTATATATATATATGTCAGCTATATATATATATATCAGCTATTATATATATATATGTCAGCTATATATATATATATATGTCAGCTATATATATATATATATAGCTGGACAATGCGAGCTCAACAGAGTGAGATGGGGTCTCCCTTTGTTGCCCAGACTGGAGTACAGTGGTGCGATCATAGCTCACTGCAACCTGGAATGCCTGGGCTCAAGGCATTCTCCCATCTGCACCTCCTGAGTAGCTGGCACTACAGGCACACATCACCCATGACTGGCTAATTTATTTTTGTAGAGACAGGGTCTGGCCATCTTGCCCAGGCTGGTCTCAAACTCATGGCTCAAGCCATCCTTCCACCTTGGTCTCCCAAAGTGCTAGAATTATAGGCATGAACCCCCGCAGCTGGCTGGAAATATTTTTTTGACATTTGGATCCTGCTGTGCCCGAAGCTGAACTACCCCCAAGTGTCTCTATCATGGGAATAGTATGTCTTCTTTCATGCTTAGGTCAATTTCAGGTGGGTTTCTATCATCTGTACCCAAGAGTCTTGACCACTATAAACCTCTCTAAAGGGAAACAGGGGACCAGTGAAGTACAATGAGTTGTTTCTAAATGCCTATACATGGTGGGGATTTGGAGGAGTGATTTCTGTGTCAGCCAGAGGTCTGCATCTGTACAGCTGATAATTTATGGATGGAATACAGTGGCTTTCAAAAGATTCCTATTTATCTCATGTGGAGGGTTAACTGTATGATAGTACCGCCTTCCTGGTCACAACAGGGAAGCAGAGGCAGGGGAAACAGTGTGTTTGTGGAAGCTTGAAGTGAAATTGTTTTTTACAAATTCCTGACTCCAAGACCTTAGGAAGCAGGAGCGTCTCTGTTTTACAAGATTGATATCAAAACCAGAAACAACAAAGGAGCTATGACAATTTGGCAATAAGGTTTGGCAGCCACCTGCTGCCCTTGGCATCTCAGATCACTCTGAAGGACCTGACTCAAGGTAGATGGGTGTCCTTGTCTGTCCTTAGTTGCTCTGATTCCTGATCAGCATGCAGAGTTTCACAAGCCATGACTCAAAGTCAGCCACGAGGGCACAGCAGCCATAACCCTAGCGTCTAGCACCTGGTACAAACCGATGGCATCTCCCAGGCATTTCTGAACCATTTTCACGTGCCTCTACTCTCCGGCCGTCTCCACACCACCCTGTGTTCTGCCAAAGGGAGCTAAAATGAGCCCTGTTTTACCAAACCACTCAAGCACGGCTGACACAGTGTGTTGCTGCAGAAGGATCGGGGTGGGTGGGAGTAGGGACAGTGCAGAGAGAAAGAAAGGAGTGCATGCTACATCTCTCCCTCTCCAAGAGGACTTGGCAGAAAGCCCATGCATGTTTCAAGCTTGTTTTGACAGTTCCATGACAGGAGTCATAGGGCTGTAGCTGTAGAAAGCCCAAGAAACACATTTTTGTTATCCCATCAAAATCTTCCCGGGGAGCTACATTGTTGGGGCAAGTTATGTGTCATCACTGGCATCAAAAGAGAAAAAGAAATGAATGATCTGGCTCAGGTGCCAAGGCTCTCGTCCTGAGGAGGGAAATGACATTTATTGAGCCCCTGCAATAGCAACAACAAATTATTATTATTGGGCACTTTGCATGTGCCAGGCACTGGGATAAAACACAGGCATGGACTCAGCAATCCCGATGACTGTCCTTGGATACAGGCTGTGCTAATTATCCCCCTTTTAAAGACCAGGCAATGGAGGCGCAGAGGGGCCAGGTGATGTGCCCGAGGCTGCATGGCAGTAAGTGGCGAAGGTGGGATTTGAACTGGTTTGCCTCTCCCAGAGTCCAAATCCTTCCTTGCAACGCAGAGCTGCTCTGACTGTAAGGAGTGTGGGGTCTCTCCTCAGAGTCCCAGATACTCAGGATCTCATTTAATCTTCGCAACAACCCTGAGGCATAGGGGTTTTTAGATCTGCTTTACAGATGAAGAAACTGAGGTCCAGGGAGGCTTAGTGATGCCCAAAGCCACACCTCCAGAAGCAGCAGGATCTGCAGGCACAGCTGGGTGTCCTGGCCCTGGGTCAAGCGACTTTCCTACTGACTTCCACCCACAAGGGCTGCATGATGGTTAATACTGAGTAACAACTTGATCAGATTGAAGGATGCAAAGTATTGTTTCTGGGTGTGTCTTCGAGGGTGTTGCCAAAGGAGATTAATATTTGAGTCAGTGGGCTAGGGAAGGCAGACCCACCCTTAATCTGGTGGGCACAATCTAATCAGCTGCCAACGAATATAAAGCAGGCAGAAAAATGTGAAAAGGCGAGACTGGCTTAGCCTCCAGCCCATATCTTTCTCCCGTGCTGGATGCTTCCTGCCCTCGAACATCAGACTCCAAGTTCTTCAGTTTTGGGACTCTGCCTGGCTCTCCTTGCTCTTCAAGCCTGCAGATGGCCTATTGTGGGACCTTGTGATCATGTAAGTTAATACTTGATAAACTCCCTTATATATATGGATATATACATATATGGATATATATATGGATATATACATATATGGATATATATATGGATATATACATATATGGATATATATATATGGATATATACATATATGGATATATATGGATATATATGGATATATATGGATATATATGCATATATATATACACACATATATGTGTGTGGATATATATGATTATATATGTGTATATATACATACATATACATATGGATGTATATGTATATATGGATATGTATATATGTGTCATCACTGGCATATGTATATACATATACACATATGTATATACATATATGTATATATGTATATATGGATGTATACATATATATGGATATATCCTATTAGTTCTGTCCCTCTAGGGAACCCTGACTAACACAGGCAGCCAAAAGGACCAGCCGAATTTATATATAGACAATCAGGAAGTCTGTATTTTTTCTTTTTCTGTCTGATTTTGATCCTTTTCTTAGTGCAGAAAGGTATAGCAGGCTCTTTTGTAGTCATGGTGTGCTGAGAAGGGCACTCTCTCAGTTGGGGGCTTTGCTTTCAAGCAATGGTAGCACATTTGAGCTCAACTGAGTAAGAGGGATTCATTGGAAGGATATGGGCTTTATTATTTTTTCATTTAACAGCCATTTACTGAGCACCTAATATGTGCCAGGCACAATTCCAGGTGCTGAGATACTTCAGAGAACAAAACAAAGATCCTTGTGCATGTAGAACTTGGTTTCTTGTTCAGCAAGGGGGAGGGGAAGGGGAAGTGTGGGTGGACAGACAGTAAACAATAAAGAAAAAGCAAGTACAGCAGGTCCTCAGATAATGTAGTTTCATTATAACATTGATAAGAAAAAGAAATCAATTCCAGGCCGGGGCCCCTATCTTTGTGGAGTCTTCCACATTCTTTCCATTTCTGCATGGGTTTTCTCTGGGCACTCTGTTTCCTACCACATTCATAAGCTGTGCACATGGGATTCACTGGCGTGTCTAAATGGCCCCAGTCGAAATGAGTGTGTGTGGGGGTGAGTGTGCCCTGCGATGGGATGGTGTCCTGTCCACAGTGGGTGCCTGCCTTGTGCCCTGAGCTGCTGGGATGAGCTCTGGCCACCTGCGACTCTGAACTGGAATAAGTGAGTTGGGAAATGAATAAATGAATGAATGAATGAATGCAAATTATTGTAAAATAAAAATTGTGTAAGGTCAATGATAATCCCACAAATGCATGACACTAAATGATGTGGCATGAATGTGTTCCGTGAGCCTGCCATATTTGTGATTATTTGTGAACTTTGTGGTGGCTGGAGGTGCTCCTGAGGCATTTGCTTTGCAAACGTTTATTCCCTGGTTTAACCCACTATGACTATGACCACTGGGACTCACTGATTCACCACAAATTGGGTAAATAGAATGAATAGGATCTAGTATTTGGTAGTACAAAAGGGCAACTATAGTTAATAATTATTTATGGTATATTTAAAAATAACTAAAAGAGTGGGCTTGGGATATTCCTAACACCAAGAAATGGTAAATATCTGAGGTAATGGATACTCCAGTTACTCAGATCTGATCAGTAGGCATTGCATGCCTGCATCAAAACATCATGTGTCCCATAAATATGTACAACTCATATGCAGCCGTAATCCAAAAATTAAAAATTGGGTAAATAATGATCGTATTTGTTTTTGTTAATCATTCTTAAATGGATGTATAGATCACATTTATTTCAATGTTTAATATCAGAAGTGTTTTGGGTCCTTATTTAGGAGACTGGTGATGTTTCTGTGACCAGAAATATGCTGTAGGAACATCACTCTTGTTTATCTCAATTAGCCTATGGTAAAAATGGTTTCATTATATGTCATTTCGCCTAAAAGTTGCAGTTTCCAAGAACCTATGGATAGTGTTAAGTGGGGAATTACTGTAAGCTATGGGATATGTGAGAAAAACAAAAGCTGAGCAAGGGCAAAGGTATTAGGAGTGCCCGAGTGGTTGGACAGCCATCCAGGGAAGGGGAGACCTGAGTTGGTGAGGGGTTAGCCATGGGGTCTCTGGGTGAAGAGCTGTCAGCCAGAGCTCCCGAAGGCAGACACATGCTGGTGTGTTCTAGAAGCAGTAAGAAGGCCAATGTGCTGGTGCAGATTGAACTGGGAGAGTGGCAACAGGCCAGGTCAGAGAGGCAGAAAGGGGCCTGATATCACGTGGGCCCCTGAGGGCTGTGGCAGGCACTTTCAGTCTTACTCTGAATCAAATGAGGTGCCTGCAGGGTCTGAATGGAGGACTGACATGCTCTCATTTTCTTTTTTGAGACCGAGTCTCACTCCGTCACCCAGGCTGGAGTGCAGTGGCGCGATCTTGGCTCGCTGGAGTGCAGTGGCGCAATGTCAGCTCACTGCAGCTTCTGCCTCCCAGGCTCAAGTTATTCTCCTGCCTCAGCCTCCCGAGTAGCTGGCATTACAGGTGCACACCACCACACCTGCCTAATTTTTGTATTTTTAGTAGAGACGGGCTTTCACCATATTGCCCATGCTGGTCCCCAACTCCTGACCTCAAGTGATCTGCCTGCCCTGGCCTCCCAAAGTGCTGGGATTACAGGTGTGAGCCACCATGTCCAGCAGGCATGCTCTGATTTTTGTTTTGGAAGACGCACTCTTGTTTCTGGGGGGAGCAGACAGTAGGAAGTGATGGAAGAACCAGGAGGTAAATCCTGCAGGAGGTGATGGTGGCTGGGAGGTGAGAAAAGTTGGGTCCTGAATCAATTTTGAAGGAAGAGTCCACAGAATTTCCTGGCAGGTTGCATGTAGAACGTGAAAGCCCGAGTCAGGTGATTCCAAGGTTTCTGTCCGAGTAACTGCAAGAACAGAGTTGCCATCTGCTGATGGGGATGGCTGTGGCTAGAACAAGTTTGCAAGAGAGACCAAGGGTTAGATTAGGAGTTCGGGTGCCTGCTAAATATTTAAGTGGAGATGTCAAACAGGTCTTTGGAATGAGTCAAGGTGGAGACAGAAGCCTGGGTGGGAGCTATATTAGTTCACAGAATCAAAGGTAATTAGGAGGAAATAAATAACCCTACTGATTTTGGAAAGGACAGGAACCACAGCAATTTCTCAGTAGGAAGAACATCAGGGATTTTCCCCAAAGGAAAATCAGAATGTTCTGAGCAAAATAAGGGGAAAATGAGACAGGGCACAAGAAATAACCAGAGGCGTCCACTGCAGGGTCCTGTCCCGGGCGCTTCTGACACTTCTTTCCAGGTCTTCCTGCTGTTGCCAAAATGAGGGTAAGTGATGTTCCTGACAGCCTGCGTTCCCATCTGCCTAGAAAAATCTCTATGGCTAGGTGAAGAGTGATGGCACGTTTAGCCTATCTTATTAAACACTGCTTATCTACTAAAGGCAGTCAGCAGCATGTTTAATCAAAGTCAGGGCAGATGTGGTTTGCAGCATCCAAAAGTCATTTTTCATCCTGTTCTCTCTCCCTTAGAGAAGAACAACCTCCTGCCCTTGCCCTGAATCCTGAGGAAGGTGATGCACTCACAACAAGGGCATCCCAGTCCTGGGGAAGGGCAGGAAGGACCCACCCTCATCAGTCCCTGACAACTCCCACCCTTGTCCTTGGTCACCTTGGAAATGAAAAGGTAGGTGGGGAAACTAGAATAGAAGTCCAAGAAAGTCTGTAGTGATCTCATTTCTACACAGATGGGGAGTGGGGTCATTTAAGCCAAAGAAGAATCAAATCACTGCTTTTCCCATCTTGGCACTTCCCACTAGAGATCATCCAGTGTTGAATGGACAGGTTTCATTTTTCTTGGGTTTTCAAGAGATGATAGCTTTTTACTCTGGAAAAAAAGTTGTCCATGAGTCTGTGATCCTGTGTCTTCCATTCCTTCCCAGAAATGTCTGAGGAAATAAACTGTATCCTGCTGTTATGGGCTGTCCCCCCAAATTCATCTGTTGAAGTCCTAACCCCAGGTATCTCAGAATGTGACTGTATTTAAAGATAGGGTCTTTAAAGAGGTAGTTAAGTTAAAATAAAGTCATTAGAGTGGCTCCTAATCCAACACGACTGGTTCCTCACAAGAGAAGGAAATTTGGACACAGACATGTATGAGACAGGACTATGTGAAGACCCAGGGAGAAGGTGGCTATCTACAGAGCCAAGGACAGAGGTGTCAGAAGCCAACACTGTCCACACCTTGATCTCAGGCTTCCAGCCTCCAGAACTGTGAAAAAATAAATTTCTGTTGTTAAGCCACTCAGTCTATGGTAGTTTATTATGGCAGCCCCTGACTTGAGTGAAAGATTCTTTTAACCAAACTCTAAAGTTTAACTATTTTATTTTGCCTTTCCTTATCAGAGGTGAAAAGGAAGGGCAAAGATTTCAAATGGAGTCGTGAAATGAAGGGCACCCTTCATATCCGATTGTATTGGAAAGGAGAGGAAGGAAGGGCTTCCTTCCTCGAATTATTAGCAAACACTTGTGACTTAATGTTTAGATGTGGGGAAAAGCAAGAGAGATCAGATTGTTACTGTGTCTGTGTAGAAAGAAGTAGACATAGGAGACTCCATTTTGTTATGTACTAAGAAAAATTCTTCTGCCTTGAGATTCTGTTAATCTATAACCTTACCCCCAACCCCGTGCTCTCTGAAACGTGTGCTGTGTCAACTCAGAGTTGAATGGATTAAGGGCGGTGCAAGATGTGCTTTGTTAAACAGATGCTTGAAGGCAGCATGCTCCTTAAGAGTCATCACCACTCCCTAATCTCAAGTACCCAGGGACACAAAAACTGCGGAAGGCCGCAGGGACCTCTGCCTAGGAAAGCCAGGTATTGTCCAAGGTTTCTCCCCATGTGATAGTCTGAAATATGGCCTCGTGGGAAGGGAAAGACCTGACCGTCCCCCAGCCCAACACCCGTAAAGGGTCTGTGCTGAGGAGGATTAGTAAAAGAGGAAGGAATGCCTCTTGCAGTTGAGACAAGAGGAAGGCATCTGTCTCCTGCCTGTCCCTGGGCAATGGAATGTCTCGGTATAAAACCCGATTGTATGCTCCATCTACTGAGATAGGGAAAAACCGCCTTAGGGCTGGAGGTGGGACCTGTGGGCAGCAATACTGCTTTGTAAAGCATTGAGATGTTTATGTGTATGCATATCTAAAAGCACAGCACTTAATCCTTTACATTGTCTGTGATGCAAAGACCTTTGTTCACGTGTTTGTCTGCTGACCCTCTCCCCACAATTGTCTTGTGACCCTGACACATCCCCCTCTTTGAGAAACACCCACGGATGATCAATAAATACTAAGGGAACTCAGAGGCTGGCGGGATCCTCCATATGCTGAACGCTGGTTCCCCGGGTCCCCTTATTTCTTTCTCTATACTTTGTCTCTGTGTCTTTTTCTTTTCCAAATCTCTCGTCCCACCTTACGAGAAACACCCACAGGTGTGTAGGGGCAACCCACCCCTACATTTAGAAAGTGTTTTCAAGATAATTTTATCTTAATAGGCTAACTGCAGAAAATATTTATAGATATTCCCTGAGTGGGCAAGCCTGTGGGACATCTTTGGCAGTATTTAGACACCTCTGCAGCTTCACAGCAATGCTTCATTTTCTTCTGACAGTTGCCTCATCCACTTTTCTTTAGGAAATGTTTGCCAAGGGAAAAAAATTATTCCTCCTGAAACTAAATGATTTAGTGTCCGGGAAGCCAGCCAATTAAATGTGGCTCCAAGAATATATTTAACCTTGAAAATGTTTTCATTTCAAACAGAAATGCAGCCCTAGGGCAAGAGGGTAACTTAATGCCCCTGGGAATGCTGTGCTGGTCTATATACCTTGCTCATTCATTCATTCAATGAATATTTATTGAGTTCTTACCATGTATTATACCAGGCACTGTGTCAGGTGAGCAGTATTCAATGCCAGCTGACATGAAGTCTACTGGGAAAAGATAGACCACTGAACAGACAATTAGAATCTGCTGTGATAGGTGCTGTGCTAGAGACAGACACAGGGGCTGGGAGATTAGGGTCCTTGGAGGAAGTGGCATCTCAGCTGACTGTGAAGACTCGCAGAAGTTAGCAAGTTAATGGGGAACGGGAGATCATGGCAAACAAGGATGTGCAAACAAGGAGCACAGCTCAGGGGACTCAATATGGAGCAGTAGGGCCAAGCATGGCATTGCTTGGTAAGTCCAGTCCCATTCAGGAAGCCTATTGGTGAGTATTTCAAGTCCAAGGCCAAGTCTGAATTTCCAGTAAGCAGCCTCATGTACCTAAGGGAATAGCTGAGGCACTTATTTCCCTTTCTTCTAATTTTGTGAAGTCTTCCTTCCCTCTAGTCATTTTCTGTTTAGACCCGAGGTTCTTTGTTGTTTTCACTGTGCTGCTTTAGGTACAAACAGCTGCAAGTCACCATACACGCAGGATCAGTAATTGAGTCTATCTCAGAAAGATATACTTTCTCAAGATGGATGTGAGTTTCACTTCATTGTCTTCTGTTCATCCTTCACTTTGCAAGATTCATAAAAAAGGATGTTCCTTGCCAAGGAACTGCCTATTGTTAAGAATTCTCATCCTTTTCCTTCTTCCTTTCTCTGCCCGAGGCAGCTTCCTCTGAAAGTGTGAGCACAAAGGAAAATGGGCATTTTTCTGCCTGACTCAGAGGCTGTGGGTTTTATTCCTAACATTCAAAAGAACCGTGCACTGCTGGGCTCCCGAGAGTCAGCCATGGCTTTCCAAAAGCATCCAAGGGTAGAGGTACTGTGTGTTAATATTAATAGGCTATTGTTGGCTCTCTAGAGGAATTTTCAAAGGGCTCATTTTCCTGCCTCCTTTCTTCTCCCTAGACCGCATTGCTTTTTTTAAGTTTGGATTGCTTAAAGCAAATATAGAAAAAGCAAATTTGTTTCTGGGAGGATAGTTTGCCTTTCTCGAATCTTTCAAGTCCTCCTGCATAGGTGTTGCCACCAAGGCAAGCTTCAGCATTTCTTTTCTCTTCTCATTCTCTGTAGGAAGAGTCTGAGTGTGCAAGGGCTGGTAGAGCCAAGAAGTCAGTCTGTGCTTTTAAAGAGGAAGACAGGGCATTTTCCCTCAATGTCCTTTTGCAAAGTGGAAGGAGAGTGCCACTCCCACTCTTGAAGTGTAGATTTGATGTGGAAGACCTTTCAGAAATATGCAAGTATCTGCTGTTGGGGCCCTAATATTTGTGAGAATGCTGTGTGTGAATTGTTTATATTTTGATTCTTCTAAATTACTTAAGGCTAGAATATAGCTAATATGATGTGGTAAAACAAATCACAAAGGTACAAAGATTTCTTTGAAAAAATTTAGAGTGTTAAGAGATTTCTGTAGGGCAAGGCTCTTAGAGGACATCTAAATTGTACAAGATTGTCTCCACTTCCTGGAAGATAAGCATAGACATTCAACAAGTATTTATTGAACACCTATTTTGTGTAATAGTTTGCAGGTGATTTGATTGCCTACCTAGAAAATCCAAGAGAATAAACCAAATAACTATTAATTCTGATGAGTTTAATAATGTAGTAAAATACGAAAGTCACAAGTACAAATTGTTAGTTATCCTATATATCATTAATAACCAATTAGAAGACATAAAGGGGAAAGGCTCCATTCACAATAGCAAGAACAAACTTAATAAGATGCAAAAGACCTATGTAAAAGCAATACTAAAATTTGCTGATGGACATAAAAGATCTAAACAAGTAGAGATATATACTATATTCTTAGGTAATCTCATTAATTCTTTCCAATTAAACTATAAATTCTCAATTTTAAAATCTCAATTAAAACCACAGTAGGAAACTTAAACTATTCTGTCTATTGTAGAAGTTGAGCATCCCTAATCAAAAAATCTGAAATCCAAAATGCCCCAAAATCTAAAAATTTTTTAGCACTGACATGATAACAGAAGTGGAAAATCCCACACCTGACCTCATGTGATGAGTCACAGTCAAAACTTTGTTTCATGCACAAAATTATTAAAAATATTATATAAAATTACCTTCAGGCTATGTGTGTAAGGTGTATGGAACATAAATGAATTTTATGTTGAGACTTGGGTCCCATGCCCAAGATATCCCATTATGTATATGCAAATATTCCAAAATCTGAAAAAAAAAATTCGCAACACTCTGGTCCCAAGCATTTTGGATAAGGGATACTCAACCTGTATATGTGGAAGACATAAATGTCCAAATGGAGCCAAAAAACAATTTGAAGTGGCTTGCCATATAAGATAGCTAAATTGATGTTACAAGCCATTTTAAATAAATGCCATAGAGGCACCACAAATCAAAACCAATGGGAGGTGGCCAAAGTGGTACTCAGAGGAAAATATATAGCTTTAAGTGCATACAATGGAAAGCAGAGACATATTGAAAATTAATGAGCTCATCTTCAACACAGAAAACTAGAAAAGGTAACAAAACAAACCAAAGAAAGTAAAAAGGCTAAATAAAGTTAATAAAAATATATGTTAATAAAGTAGAAAATAAACTCATTAAATTTGATTGATAAAATCAAATTGACTAGAGTTTACGAAAATACTTGAGAAGACCAATAATCATGCAAGCAATTGAAGAGGCAATCAAAGATATAACCCTAGAAATTATTCATTCCTTAATGGTTTTATAGAACTCACTTATTAAATTAACCCTAGATCCAGTAATTTAATAAGTGAGTTCTATAAAGCCATTAAGGAATGGATAATTTCCATATTGTAAACATTATCTACCTACCTACTTACACATACACATACAATTTCTGGATTGTAGAAAACGATTAAAAGGCTCTAACCTATTGTATGAGTTTTTAATAATATTACTAAAATATGTCATGTAATATTACATAATATTACAAAGAAAGAGATATGTCAATATCCCTCATGAACATAAATGCAGAAAGTCTGAGTTGGAGATGTTGACTGGGAGAAATCAACACGAGAATGGTAACAGAACCCATCCCTCTACAAAATTAAGGATTGAATTAAAGGAATGTTACATCATCACCAAGTATGGTTTATGATGGCTCAGGATATCTCATTAACTCATTAAAAAATAAACACAATGTGATTATTTAAATCAATTCAGGAAAATAATGATTTACAAAATTAACACCTATTCCTTATTTTTAAAATGTCTTAGCTATGAATAGAAGGGAAATTCTCAGCTTGATAAATGTATACATTAGAAGTCACTAACATGCATCCTACTATTGGTGATATCAGAGGATTTCCAATAAAATTAGGAACAAGGTCAAGATGTCCAGTAACACTGTGGCTATTCACAGTGGAAGGAGGGGTGGAAAGTCAGGAGCAGGTGTGGGAGGTAAGAAGGTAAACTAGACAGAACCTATTGGATGTAGAGCTAAGCGGGGAACTAAGTAACTCCAGGAGGAGGCCAAGCTTCCTGGCCTTGGCACTGGCAAGGGTGGGGGCAGAAGTTGTTACTGAGATCAGGAGCACAGTAAGAACATGTGTAAGGGGTCTAAGAAGGTCAATATTGGACATGCTGACATGTTGACTTTGAGAGCCCCATTGAGATGGCATCCTGGAGCTTGAGAGAAGTCTGAGTTGGAGCTGTAAAATCAGGAGGTCAGCACAAAGATGATAAAGACAGCCATAGGAGGTGCTGAGATGGCCCAGAGAAGCAGAGGAACAAGGTACTGCACTCCACGCTCCAGCTAGAGTGAACAGTGAGTCTGTTCCAAGCCTATTGGCTCCTCTCTCATCTCAGTGCATTTACTTCTTCCATTGGAACTCCCCACAATCCTCTGCCCCCCATCCCACTCTCTCGGCCAACTCTTACTCATCCTTCATGACTCGGCTTAGTTATCAACACCGCCTTCTCACATCAACCCCTGTAAGGCTAGATCCCACTCTCTGTGCTCTCAGAGGGTCAGCAGTCCGACACAAAAAGTCAGGGTTCTGCTATAATGCTAATATAACAGAAAACTGACAATCTCAGTGTCTCACAACAACAAATATTTTATTTTTTTGCCCATCATGGGGCACGAGCTGGGGCAGCTCTGCTGCAGGCTGCAGCTGATGAGGTCTGTTCCTCATGTCTCTCATTCTAGGATGTGCTTCCATTCTAGGACATGCTCTTATTTTTGCAGGTGGTGGAAGTGCAAGAGGCCAAGCCTAGCTGTAAGCACATAGAAAGCCTCTGCTTTGTCACATCTGCTCACATTCTGTTGATCAAAGCAAGGAACCTGGCCAAGCTCAAAGTCAGAGGGGCAGGAAAGCAGACTCCGTAGTACAGATTCACAAGGCAGAGGTCATGGGCATGCAATTTCATCATAGGAAGGAAGTGAAGAATTGGGGACAACAATCCAACCCACTCCACTGCTGAGTACCACCTCTGAGTGTCAGGCTTTATGGCCTTGGCCTAGTTGCTTGTCTTCCCACTAGGTTCTCAGTGCCTTCAGGACAGGACCCTGGCCAACTTACTTATTACGGTATCTCCAGTTATGACCACAGTGCCTGCTCTAGTGAGTCATGGTGATCCATATACATCTACTGAATGAAAAATTGGATGTGAGGGGTCTCAGAGCCAAGATGGAAGAGTGTTTCAGAAAAAACAGGGAGTGATCAACACCCGAAGGACCTCAAGACTGGAGAGTACTGTTCAGATTGAATAACTTTATGTTCATTGTTAACCCTGGAAAATACAGCTTCAGGGAAGTGCCAGGGCTGGGGAGTCAGAAGTCAGACTGCAGTGGGATGGGCAGTGAATGAGTGGTGAGGAAGTACAGGTGGTGAGTGAAGACCACTTTTCCAACTCTTAGGGAATAGGTTATAAGTAATGTATGGTAAAGGAGGGATTTTAAAGATAAGAGAGGTTCAAACGAGTTTACAGGCTCAAGGGAACAGGCAAGTAAAGAGGGTACATTAGTCTGTTTTGTGTTGCTATGAAGGAATACCTGAGACTGGGTAATTTATAAAGAGGTTTATGTGCCTCACAGCTCTGTAGCCTGTGCAAGCATAAAACCATCATCTGCTCAGCTTCTGGTGATACTTCGGGAAGCTTTTACTCATGGCGGAAGGCTCCGGGGAGTAGGCGTGTCACATGGCGAGAGAGGGAGCAAGAGAGAGGCCAGGCTCTTTTAAACAAACAACTTTCACACGAACTAATAGAGCAAGAACTCACTCATTACTACCAGGGTAGCACCAAATCATTCATAAGGGATCCACCCCTATGACCCCAACACCTCCTGCCAGGCCCCACCTCCAACATTGGAAGTCATATTTCAACATGAAATTTGGAGAGGACAAACATTCAAACTGTATCAGAGGGAGACATTGAATATACCTGCGAGAGAGAGGATAACTGAGAGGGAGGTACGTTAGGTAGTGCAGCAGGGATGAAATGCAGCATAGGCAGGTGTGTGTGCGTGTGTGTGTTTGTGAACATTTGTCATGTTTGGGCTGTTAAGCATCCACCCAGCCCTCCTCGTTAGAGGAAATCCCCACTGAGTGTGGTCTTGCGAGGAGGCAGTGCCTGGCTACTAGCTGTGGGAGCTGAGGGGCTGTGCTTTCCTCTTCTGTCCCCTGGTAGCAACATACCAGCTTGTGACTTGAGCTCAGTCAGTCAAACACTCTCAACAGACTTTGAACACACCAATGGATAGTCAGTCAGGGCTCTTTCACGGTAGTGGTGGGTGCGCCCCACAGAAAACTCCTATGCTCCCTCTTTTTGGTCTTCAGAGGTCACTGTGTTGCCCTAGTTTCACACTTCCTCTTGGTTCTATGAGTCTTCAGTCCCCTTCCAGTGTGTTTTGTTTCTCTGTTTTGTTGTTGTTGTTGCTGCTATTTGGTGTTTTTGCTTATTGCTTGTTTTTTGTTATTCTATGGATGACAGAGTCTAGCTGATGGAGGATGGGGTCAACAAGCCAGGACAGGATGATGCCAGGCTCTCACTCCTGGCATCCCAGTCAATCTGTGCCATGTGGAGATGAACAGATTAACTGTACCCACAGAAAAGCTGCCATGTTTTCTGAATGTTGGTCATTGCTATAGCACCTTCCCAATGTTTTTCATGTCCACACAACAGCACCTTACATGGAGCTGCATTATGTGCTACTGCCTAATATTTTATTCCAGTTGACTAGATTTTTATTTAAAGACATTGATTTAAAAATCACCATTTCAAATGAAAACCCAGAATAATTTGCTTTAGTTAAAAAATATATACATATATAGAAAACAAAATAATGTTAAGTTCTGGACGAATACTATTACATGATGAGGGTTCTCATCCAAAGCTCTTTGTTAAAAGGGGAGATTAGCAAATGTTGTGGTTGTTAAAGACATGTTACTCCCAAGCTGAGACTTCCTTCTTGATTTAATCGGACACACTGAAGCAGAAGCAGAAGCAGAAGGGAGTGACTTTCTCACTTTGTGATTTAATGTTATTTAAGACTGAGTCAGCTCACCCTTAAATCATCTCAAATGTCAATGGGGTGCATTTCCTGCCATCTCTAGGCAGGGTGCAGCGATATGGGGCAGAGCATGGAAATTGCCAAAGGGAGGCACCAAAACATTTATGCTATTGGAGTTTCAGGGAAGGTTTTACGGAAGTGGGACTTGAATTCTGAAATACACACAGGAGAGCAGAGGCCATTTCAGTCATGGGAAACATAAAAATAAGGAGGTGAAAGTAAACAGCGGGGATATAGGATGGTATAGACCAGCTAGGCTAGAGGGCAGAGGTTGGACACAAGCTCAGAAAGGGTCCTATCCCTTCCCCCCGACCATGGGTCTTCCCCAACTTTACCCTTTGTGGGCAGTGCCTTTGCTTTGCCATCACCTGTTATATCTTGTGTCTTTAGCCTGTCCTTGCCCCTGGGATGGGAGCCATGCATGGCCAGTTGTGAATTATTGTGCAGTAGCCATTGTTTCCTATTGACTTGCTATGAGACGGGGTGGGTCTGGGTGTCCTGCTGGGTACTCCACTGGCTTCTATGCCAGTGCTTAGCCGACTCCACCAATTGGGTTGGCACAGCAGGTACCAAACTCTTGTGAATCAGATGCCATGCTTTTTGCCATTGCCATGTTAGACATATACTACTCCTTAATAACTACTCAATAATGAAAGCAACTCATTGTTTAAAGGTGTAAATAAATCGACTTTAAAAAGACATTTCATATTACTATCATAAATGCAAATCCAGCATCAGTTGCTGTAAACATGAGACAATAATTTAAAATAAATGCATAACTATCAAAATAATGCTTTTCAAGTACCATATAAAATACCTGCTGATATTTTACCTCACTGCAAGAAAATACTAGGCTAGAGAAATGAAGCAGGTCCATTTTTGGTAGAAAGGGGAAAATCTTAGAGCCTCAGAGCTGGATGGAGCCCCAGTAAATGTCTAGGTCATGGATTGCAAGCTGTTTTCCCCCACCAATAATGGTCATCCTTCCTCTTTCTTTCTCTCTGTCTCTTTTTTTTTTTTCCCTGGGAACGATGCATAAAGTAGCAAAACGTAGGGCTGAACCCTTTAATGGGCTATCTGTTTCTCTGGAGAAACCCAAAGAAACCCATTCTGCAAACCTCAACCTTCATCCCTTCCTCCCTCTTGTGCCATGCTTGCCCCCATACACAGAGAAGTAGCATCAGTGCCCTCCACCACCCACATCAGCAGCTAGGGGGAGACAGAAGCAAGTCAATGGCCAAGGAGTGGAGGGTGGGCTGGGAGAGTTCACTTAGCTTTGTGACACCAGTGCACCCCCACATTGGATAGCACCCAAGGCCCTCATCAAACATTGAGTGCCATGCTTGTTGAAGCCTGCAAATAATACCCCACGAGCCGCCAACTTCCTTTCCGAGGCACATCTGCCTGGACCTCTGTTCTGTTTGGTGCCAAGGCACTAGGGAGGCTTTAAGGAGCAGGCCGTTGCCTTTCTCTACATGTGCTTCAGGCCTGTCTTACCCTCCCCATGGTCTCCGTCATACTCCTTTCCTGAATATCATTTCTTTCCCTTTCTCCTGCACACAAAAGCTCAACACGGAGTTCATTCTGTGAGCCTAACCTTTTGCTTCCCGCACTTGGGCTGGCTCAAACGCCACTTGCAAAAATGGTAATCTCAGCAGGGCTGAGCTCAGTTCCTGCTGCCCCTTTCCAAGTTTTTGTTTCGTTGCAGAGCTCTAAACCAGTGTCTCCCTCTGTGCTTGGGAGTAAGAGCAGCATCAGACCATTGCAAACCTACTGGATTGGCTGATACTCATTGACTGGATGGAGATTTCAGAGGCAAACCTAGGCTTCTCCAGAGGAAAGTAAGACTTCAATCCCAGTCCTGCCATTTCCTATGAAACCACTTGTAATCTTGGGTTTCTCTTCGTTGTAAAGATAAGAAACGATCTGAATTTCCAAGCTTGGAGTATTGTGGTGAGGACCAATCAGGGAACGCGCATGAGAGTGCCTTGTAAACCTGCCCTGCTGCAGCAATGAGGGCATGGCTTCTGCCAGGCACCTGTAAGCCCTTCCTAAGGGAGTTGAGCAGTTCCCTTAGGGAAAATGTCTTAAATGTTGACTGAATTCTCCCCTCTTCCCAGATCTCCAAATGCCAGTAACTGATTTTGTGGAGGTGGTAGGTAAAGAAATGTTTATGCAAATTGGGCCCTGATTAGATGCAAAAAAAAAAAAAATGTTGACTGCTTTTCGAGGGTGTTCATTGTTATCTGAGAGTTTTGTTTGCACATGAGATGCATACAATGTGATTCACATCATTGGCCTCACCCTGTCTTATTTGCCTTAATGTAATTGTCTGTTCAGATCCACTGATGGTGAAAATTACATTTGTCCTTATCAGTGGAGATACTCTAAAAATGAGAAGTTCAAAGAAGGCAGAGGCTTTAATACAGAGAAAATGTGTTTATTTTCTTAGCTCCTTTGAAACAGTTTTATCCCCTGGAATGGGGTAATTTCTTTGCAGAACAACAAAATGGATGGCTCATGGTAACCCCTCATCAGGGAAAGTGCTAAAAAAAAAGTGGCCTGATTCAGAACATCATCAGTTCAGCAGTGTGTGCTTGAGTAACCTTGGAAGATTTGGAGATTTTCTGAGAAATCCACAATGTGTGCTTGAATGCAAAGGTCATTCCAAGCTCTTCCTATACTGAAATGCTCATGCTAGGAATTGTCCCTCAGCTGGGGAGAATATATAGGAAGACAGAGTTTAGATGTGGAGGAAAAGAGTGAAGTTTTCACCTAGTGGAACAGATTCTTTTTTTTGGTCAAAGTTTATTATTGAAACTCCCTATCTATAGGATTTTTTCAGGTCGGAGTGCAGGGGCACGATCATGGCTCACTGTAGCCTCAATCTCCTGGGCTTAAGTGATCTTCCCACCTCAGCCTCCCACGTAGCTGGACTACAGGGATGTGCCACCATACCCAGCTCATTAAACAATTTTTTTTGTAGATACAGGATCTCACTATGTTGACCAGGCTTGTCTTGAACTCCTGGGCTCAAGTGATCCTCCTGCCTTAGCCTCCCAATGTGCTGGGATGACAGGCATGAGCCACCATACCCAGCCTCGGATTTATAAGGTTTTTGTATTTTTTTTTCTGTCCAGTACAAAACGTTTGGTTACATGCTCCCTTTCAACCTTATTTACCTTCATGAGGCTGTAGCTTTATGTGGAGTCTTCGGCTATCAGATAAGTATAGGTTTCCCAGACTACATAAAATAAAAATAATAGCTAGCATTCTTTGGATGTCCATACGCCAGACACTGTGTTAAAGGCCCAACACATATCATGCCATTTAATCCTCAAAACATCCCTCTGAGCTGGGCTCTATTGCTATTATCCCCTGTGTTTTGAAGAGGGTAAATAACTTTACCCCAGGTGACACAGCTGGTGACTGGGGAGCTGGGACTTGAGCCCAGGTGTGTCCCCGCCTCTATGGCAGTGATCTAATTAACAACGAGGCCAGAACTTCCTGAGCATATGGTGTGGATCAGGCTCACCCAGGAAAGGTTTTGGAAATACAGCAGGTCCTTAAATAATGTCATTTTGTTCAATGCCATTTTGTTATAATATTGATAAGGAAAAGAAATTGATTCCCGTCAGGGGCCACTGTTTGTGTGGAGTCTGCAAGTTCTTCCAATACCTGTGTGATTTTTTCTGGATACTCTGGTTTCCTTCCACATCCCAGTCGTGCACGGGAGGCTCACTAGTGCGTCTCCTTGTCCCATTTGGAGTGAGTGCGGGTGTGTGTGCTTTGCCATGGGACGGCCTCTTAGCCAGGTCAGTTCCTTCCTTGTGCTCTGAGCTGCTGGGATGGGCTCCTGAAATCCTTAACTGGAATAATTGGGTAAATAATTATCTTACTTGTTTTTAATTAATCTTTCTTAATGTATGGATAGTTCAATTTATTTCAGTGTTTAATATCAGAAGTGTTTTGGGTTTTTTTCTAGAGGTTTGGTGATGTTTCTGTGACCAGAAACATAGGAGCTTAACTCTTACTTCTATCAATTAGCCTATGGTAAAATCGGTTTCGTTATATATTGTTTTGCTTAAAGTTGCAGCATCCAAGAACATATTGGCGACGTGAAGTGAGGATTTGCTGTACAGTGAAATAATGATGAAGTGTCGCTGGAGGCGAAGCCTGGGAGTGTGTGCTCTGAGATGGTCCTGCCCAGCTTTGGTTAAGACCATGCCCCGGGCCATGCAGGCTGGCATTCCATAAACTTGCCTGGCTCCTAGAATAACCCAGAGGCATTTGCTGTAATACATAATACGTAGGTTCCTAGGCTCCACTTCAGAGCTCCTGAGTCAGAAAAACCCCAAAAGCACCCGGGACATTTATTTGAATAAAGCACTTGTCTAAGGCACTTACCCAAGGACCATTCATCCAAAGGTGCTCAGCACAAATATATTGAATAAACTAGACCATTCATATGGAAGGTCACTTTTGAATTTGTTGTGGAAAGTGCTTTGGACTAAGACCTGGCTTCCCCTTCTGTTCTGCCCTAATCTGCTGAGCAGCCTCTGGCAAGTCACTTCCTCTCTTTGGACCTCAGTTTTCCCACTGGTAAAATGAGAATGGCTGAGGTGACCCTTTCTGGCTCTCACGCCTTTGAATAGCATGAATATTTATTGAGTGCACCTTTATAAGAAACATCCAAACACAGGGCTGCAGGCTTTGATTTGGATCTCCCAGCACTAATGTTTGAGGCAAAACACCTTAATTTGCTGTGAAACAGTGAATCTTTGTGGACAGGAGTCCTTTTTATCTAACGATTGATAAAGCAGGCATCTCCTCCTTCTGGGTAAACACTGAAGACATTACCTAACCACTTCATCCTGTGTGATCCCAAGATGCAATTGTTCCCCTCCACATGGGAAAGGCCAAAGGGACAGACAAGGCAAGTAATAAACATGCCTTAACTTGAAGAGTCCTTCAGTTTCCCAACTCCTTCCACACCTGTGGCCTCATCTGACTTCAACACACAACTGTAAGGTGGGCAAGTCAGGAGCGTTACCCTCATCTGGTCAAGGAGGCGCCCCAGCTCTTTCAAGTCAAGCTGGAGCTGCATTCTCAACTTCTCCAATGTGGGTGTGTGTTCCCCTGAAGAAGTTGTTTGTGAATGAGAGAAGGGAGCTTGTTGGTTCACCCTCAGCACCTAGAACCATGCCTGGCATTCAGCACTAGTAATTACCTGCTGAATGAATGAATGAGTCTGGTCCTCATTCCCTGATTATGACCTCTCAGGAAGTTTAAAGAGGTGCAAGGTGGTCTGTGGGTGTTTAGAGAATCACTTTTATTGCCACAGTCATTTTTATTGTTCTCATGTCTACCGTTAAACTCTACATTTTAGGATGCTGTTGAAAGGCTGTTGAGAACAGAATTTCCTAGTGTGAAAGTTATTAGAGAAATAAGATCAAATGGCTGCTATTCACCCTTGAGAAATTTCTATCTCTGTATGGTAGGTGGGAAAAGAGGGGGAAAACATTGTCTCTCTAGAGGCCCTGATCTAAGGCAGCCACTTCTGATAAGGCTCACCTGAAAGAGGTGGCATCATCATAAAACTATCAGGTGGATCGTCAGAAAAGATGACAGCTGGGAGACCCTAGTATCACAAACTAGCTGTGATGCCTTCAGCAAAGTCCTTCACCTTGAATTCTACCTCTCGGGTGGGACAACTCTGAGATGTGTTCTCTGCAGTAATCTCACTCAGAAAATGAGTTCTTCCCTGGGATGTGATGAAGGGCTTGTGAGGTGGCAGCTGGAAGGCCCTTTCAAGAAAGGAACAACTGCATTACCAACACTGAGCAATGGCATCAGGATCTCTTATATCAGAAGCTACAAACTGGGACCAGCACATGAGCTTGTGTAGCCTGCAGTGTTTTAAAATTTTTCAATTTGCTACCAAGACATTTGAAAATCTAGGGATTTCTAATACAATTTAGATTTATAGTTTCTCTCGAATAATGGGTCCACATTCTTGCATGGCCAACAATTGGTTGAAGCCAAGTAGCTTCTTCAGCTTCTCACTGACACAGAGGCTATCACCTTTCTCCCAGTAGAGAAACAGTTTTCTGCACCCATGGCAGGCACTGTTGGTGCCTAGCCCTCCTCCCCTGGCACCTCCAATCTCCATGCACACCAGCCAGGTGGCTTCTGACTGCAATTCCCTCTACTTCTTTCCCTGGGAGGTTTCTTTGGACAGCTGAGTATTCTCAGCCTAACCGCAGGATGGACCAGAAACGTCAAGGAGCTGCCCCTGGGAGCAAGCCTCAAGATGTGATGGATGGGAGGTGGTGAAGAAGTACCTGGACTCTGAGGCACACTCTACATTGTCCCCTGGAGGTCCTGAGCAGGGTTGAACCCTGAATGCCTCCAGCAAGAGCCTACTCATGAACATGCTGTGTTGGCTTCCCTTTCCTCCTGGTTTCCTGGAATCGCCTACCAAATAAGCAACTTGCACTTAAATAGTTGCCTCAGGGTTTGCTTCTAGGGACCCCAACCTAAGACAGTAAGCTGGACTCCTTTCAAAAAGGAAAATGAAAAAAAGACCTTGCAGCTGACCTTGCCCTGCCTAGCATTTTCTATTCTAGTGCCCTATGAGATGACATTTCAGCTGATACTTGAGACGACAGGTGACAAACCACTCTTTCCAGTGCAGAGGTGGCCTTGGGCATCACTGAATTGCATGTGGCTTGTCTTCAGGGTTCTTGTACCTTGAAATTATCTCTCTTAATTCCCAGGTTCTCAGAAGGCAGTCACATCTGGACAGCATTCCTTGACTACGCATCAATATTCCATCATGTCATTGCCGGCTGTGAGGAGGAAAGTGACCTCCTAAACAAATCCGTGCACGTGTAAATGACAGCTGCTGGTTTGAATCTGTTTCTTCTCCCACCACTTCCTCTTCTGATCAAAGAGCCCACCTTTTCATTTGGAGGAACCATTTCTCAACTGGTCTCATTCTGTGAGGTTTAGAGGTAGGAATTGAACTTAGCTCTGTCTAGAGCCAAATCTACTCCAAAAGTGTTCTTAACCACTACTGTGGGGTGGCTGACAGTACAGGCTCTGGAGTGACATCTGCCACAGTTCAAATCTCAGCCATACCTCATACTAGCTAGGAGGCTGGGGTAAATGCCGCTCACCTTTCTAGCCTTAATTCCTTTATCTCTCTCATGAGCTTATTGTGAGAATTTAAAAGATATAATAACCAGAAAGCACTTAGTATAGTTCTTGGCTCATTAAAGTGCTCAACAAATAATAACTATTAATGTTTAAATTATTAAGACTCTAGTTGGCTGAAGAAAAGTGATAGGAAAGCTAGAGGCTCTGGTCTTTACTCTGGGAGCTTCTAGAGAACTCAGACTTTGGTTATTTCTCTCCTGTCCCTGAGTCCTACCCACATTGTAAGAGTGAGTGAGTGAGTGATGATGGTGTGTTTGTAGAATTCACAAACCCATTGAATATTCTTCCTGAAGCTTAGCTAAGTGAGCTCCCTGCCAGGAACTTATGTGTGGACAGCCACGAATCGTGGCATCAAATAATATTTAATTTCACTTCTTCCTAAATATTACTGAATTCCATTCCCAGTAACTTTCCCTTTTGAAGTTCTCTTTTTGAGGCAGTTCAAGTGGAAAAAGAAATAACCTAGAAGCAAGTAAAACAACCTTATTCAAAAACAACAAAAATCCTTCAGGTAAGTGCAAGGAACTGGGCCCTTTTGTGTTTTTTTGTGTAAATTATTTAGTATACTGATTATCCAACATGTCCTTTATTATTTTAGAGACTGCTTCTTCCATCCCCTAGGGAGAGTGTTTTTAGCTCCATGGAGCATGAATTTTTTCACTTATCTAGTGATGATTAGGTATAAAAATCCTTTTTGGTAAGAGATTCCACTTTTAATGGTCTCTTCAATGAACAGTTTTCTGTAAATATTGTATAAGTCTATTCAGGGAAAAAGAATGCCCTTGCCTCTGGATTCTTTATAACTCCACTCTGATGAGGGCATCTGCTGAGTCCCAGCTTGTGGATCTGCGAGGTTGATGTGGACTCTAGTTCTGGAATCCTCTTCTGTTTGGACTTCCTTTTTCCTTGTTATTTTTTTTGCTTTGATGGCATTTGCATTTCTACATGGCCCTGGAGCCAGACTGTGACACTTGGTAGCTGTGTGACCTTAAACAAGCTATTTAACTTATCTCATGCTCATTTTCCTTACTATAGTCTGAAGATAATATCAGCATCTACTTTTTAAGGCTTCAGTACAGATTAAATAAATATCACAGCACTTACCGTGTGCTGGGCACTGCACTGTACTGCCCAGCACATGGTTAGTACTTCATATATCAGCTCATCATCATCACTGTCATCATCATCGTCGTCATCATCGTTGTCGTCATCATCAATGTCATCACCACCATTGTCATCATCATCATTGTTGTTGTCATAATCATCAAGGTCATCATCATCATCAAGGTCATCATCATCATGCAAGTGGTTTCTTTACTTTCAACATACACAGGCTGCCAAGGGGATAGCCCTAAATATAATTGCCCTCATACAGAATCTCTCTCTGACAACCCAAGGCCCAGCAGGCTGACTTCATTAGTCTGCTCACCTATAAAAGGGGTAATAATAGTATCTACTTCACAGTGTCATGAGGATTAGATGAGTTAATAAATGTAAGGTGATTAACATAGTGCCTCACACATAATGGGTATTCAATAAACAATAAGTCTTGTTGGAGTTCTTGCAGCTTAGCTCTTTGAGGGCTAAATATGCAAAGCAAAAACCCAATAAATTTATTTTCTCATTCTTAAAGAAATATTGAGTGCCTTCTGTGTGCCTGGCACTGTTCTAGCCTCAGGCAAAGATAAAGTAGTCATAGTGAGTACGACTAGCAAGTGACAAGGTTCTCACCCCATTTACTCTCATGGGAGATGACTGACAACTACTATATAGCTATGTTGTATAATAATACATGCTAATGGAAAAAAATAAAGCATAAACATAGCAAGGGAATAGGGAATAAAGAGAGTCAGAATAGGAGATGGGGTTGTTAAAATAGATAGAATGGGCATGGTGGCTCATGCTTATAATCCCAACACTTTGGGAGGCCGAGATGGGAGGATTGCTTGAGTCTAGGAGTTTGAGACCAGCCTGGGCAACATAGTGAGACCCCCCCCATCTCTATAAAATTTTTTAAAAAAATAGCCAGGGATGGTGACATGTGCCTGTGTAGTCCCAACTACTCAGGAGATAGAGGTAGGAGAATTTCTTGAGCCCAGGAAGTGGAGGTTGCAAGTGAGCCATGATTGCGTCATTGCACTCCACCCTGGGAAACATAGCAAGACCTGTCTCAAAAAAAAAAAGAAAACTCATTAGCAAACTCCCCGAGCCACCTGTTGGCCAGGACATTCACCTTTAGAGGACATAACACTTCCCAATCGAGCTTCCCATGTAGTTCAGAGAGTAGACAACTGCAGTCTCTAAACTACTGATACGGCACATCAGCTAATTAAATTACTGCACACTGCTGATTGCAAGGCTAAAGCCAGTGGAGTGATTTGTTATTATCCTCTTGAAGAACAATCGATGGGCAAAATATTATTAGATTTGATTTTTCTAAAAAGCTGGGAGTAAAGGTATTTAATTAAGATTGTGTCAAAGCTTGGCTCTGGTTTTCCCCTTTGGCCCTTTTCTTTTCATTTCAACTATGAAAGTGTTCCTCTTAGAAAAATGTGAAGAAACTAGTTTATCTCCATTATTGCCAAAGTACAAGTTGTATTTTGTCAACTTACTCCCAATCCATATTTTAAGTTGCTATCAGGGCTCTTTGTGCAGGAAAAATCTAATCCAATACAACCCATGCTAGAGTGTGGTTGAGCTTCATTTCATGCCGAGAATCCCAAGGAGGGACTATAGTCTGGGTAGAGACTTTGGCTATAGCTCTCCATTTATTCATTCAACTCACTCATTCACTATGAATTAATTCAGCTCCTCATTTGTGCAAGATACTGTGTTAGCAGCAGAGCATACAATTGAAGAAAAGACAAAATTTTGATGTTTCTTCCTCAAAACCCTTGAACAAACAATGGGAGACTACCTGTAAAAGAGAAATGACTTGATGCCACCAAATTTTATTTGTTTCTCCCTAGGAATGGCCCCTCTTTCCCACTTGTTCAAAAGTAATCTGTCCTTTAAACTCTTGCTTGGTTGAGGACTCTTCCATGAGGCCTTCCCTGAATACTCCATTTCTTACTTGGAATTCCCCACCCCCATATTTTTCCAACTGAGTTTCCTTTGAACAATCTGTGCCATATAATTTTTAATCAAATGTGTATTGTTATTTCTATTTTGTCTTATTTCCAAATTAGATTGCAACTTTTTTGAGGGCATGGACAACATCTTCTCCTTCTTTGCCTCAAAACATCTACCTCGTTTAAAATAATCCATTATATGAAAAAGATACTTGCACATGCATGTCTATAGCAGCAAAATTTGCAATTGCAAAAACGTGGAACCAACCCAAATGCCCATCAATCAATGAGAAAGAAACTGTGATATATATATATATATATGAATGAATGATGGAATACTACTCAGCCATAAAAAGAAATGAATTAATGGCATTCACAGTGACCTGAATGAGACTGGAGACTATTATTCTAAGTGAAGTAACTCAGGAATGGAAAACCAAACATCATATGTTCTCACTAATAAGTGGGAGATAAGCCATGAGGATGCAAAGGCATAAGAGTGACACAATGGACTTTGGGCACTCAGGGAGAAAGGGTGGGAAGGGGATGAGGGATAAAAGACTACAAATAAGGTGCAGTATATACTGCTCGGGGGATAGGTGCACCAAAATCTCACAAATCCCCACTAAACAACTTACTCATGTAACCAAACACCACCTGTTCCCCAATAACCTATGGAAATAAAAAAATTTAAAAAAACAAAAAACAGAAACAAAAATCCATCTACTTCCTTGATCTCTTGCATAGAACAGGCACCCGTTTAATTGGAAATGAGCAAACTTGTTGCTGATGTTCCTCAGATGATTTGGTTTGACTCCAAGAGACTATTCACATCCACCATCCATTCATCCATCTATCCACCATTCATCTTATCCATTTCTTCATTCACCCACCATTCATCCCTCTGTTCACCATCCAGCCAGCCATCTATCACCCATTCATCTATCCCTCTACCATCCATTCCTTCCTTCATTCACCCAGTAAAAGTTCAATTGTGGGAAAACCTATAGTTTTTAAATCCTTTTATTTTATGACTGATATTAATTGCTATATCCAAAATGTCAAGAGAGAATCAGCACAGAAAGTGAATGTTAGAAATGGAATCAGATGCAGATGACTGGTCTTGGTATCTGCCATTTCCTCCCACCCAGATGCCCTTTTGTTCTTAGAAGCCAAAGACAGTCATCTTAGAAACTTTCGGGCAACAAAATTCGTGCAGCCTTTGGAACTAAGAATTACTAGTCTCTACTTTCTAATGGTTTAGTAGTCAATGGATATATATAATTTAAGCCATTTAATTTGCTTTCACATGTGATGTTTTAGAAGCAAACAATTTGTGCTAATACAATTGTTATATTAAAAATCTTACTAATTTAAGCTTTCTAAGAATACAAATGTACAGCTTATAACTGTTCTGTTACCATTAGTCACACACAAGAGAACATGACACAAGGTAGGTATTGTGTCTCTTGGAAAGAAAAACAGCTTGAAAGAACAAAAGCTTGCATATCAATTCCCTGCCAGCCAAAGGGAGTGAGTCCTGTAAAGCATCCAAGATAAAAGGAAGATGGGAGAGAAGGAGACAGAGACAGAGGAGGTGGGAAGGTGAGAGAAAGGGGAAGGAGTGAAGGAGAAGACTTTCTTAATGGTAAAGGAAACAGAAGGGAAGAGAAAGAGAAAGAAACCTCTGAGGAGGAGGGAGTGTGCTGTGATCTCATGAGGGAGACCTGATCTGCTGGCTGGGAGGAAGAATCCCACTGAGCTGAGCCAGCTCCTTTTGGCTGCCTTGCCTTCTCTGCATCATCATTCAATTCACACCTGGGCCTCTTGGCCGGTGGGCTCTCTTTCACTGCTTTCCCCATAAAACCATCTAATCCTCTTTCTCCCTCTCTGAGACTCTTTCCTCAGAATCAAGCTTGCAATCCTCTGCTGCTTCACAAAACACAAGTCCTGCAGCATCCAAACACAATTAATTGACTTAATGCCTTCATCCACGGCCAAGCAGGTCTGGATAATAAAAGAGCCATAAATAAGCAACGTGGCTATCAAACGCACAGAAAATAGGACCATTGGCATTTACTGGTAGAAGCTGTTGGCTTGAATTGCATCAACAATGACTCCAGATCTTCCTTCTAAAATAAAATAAGAAAATGATCCATTTGTTGTTTGGGAAGAGAATTCTATTCATATATTTATTTGGGAGGAAAAAGAAGATGTTGGTGGTTTAAGACCAGAAGCCAAAAAGAAAAAAAAAGCCCGGTTTTATTCTTGAAAGATCTGATTACCAGCCTTTGCAATGTTTCAGGAAAATATTTCAGGACACACTGATAATTTGCATGAGTTTGAGAGGTGTTTTTGCAGCTTTTCCAAAACAGAAAAGAAATAAAAAGAGAGGATGGTTTGTTATTCCAAGAGGTAGAAATGCAAAAGGAGTCAGAATATCTTGAAAAAGAAGAAAATGTTTTGGCTTTCTGGCTTGTTGCTGTGTAATTATTTTAAAATATTTCAAATGACTACTTTGCTAAATTTTCTTTTCCTATAGCAACTTGAGATAAACATGTGAAAGTGATTGTTCTGACTCTTGTTCCCCAATTCATGTTTATTTATTTATTTTGCTAAATATAACTGTATTTAGAGAAAACCCAGGATTCTCTTTGAAGTTCCAGCCAGAACCTTAAAGCCTCTGAAAAGGCATCAAGGGAAAAACAAAAACAAAAACAAAAACAAAACTCAGCCTTGGTGATGGCCACACCCAAAATGATGCCTACCTTCTCTCTTCCCAGAAAAAAAAGTTTATTTGGATAAAGCTCTTAAGCTATTTCTTTCTTGTTCTAGTGAGAACCTGTAGCTAGTCCTCCTTAAACTCCCTTTCTCCTAAGCCAAATGGATAGACACCTGTAAAAAGTAGAGTCAAATAGCAACAACTCTGGAACTGAGACAGGAATCCTAGATCTGATTTGCTGTGTGATCTTGGATAAGATAGTTAACCTCTCTGTGCCATAATTTCCTCATCTACAAAATAAGGGTTATAAATGTACATACTCCGTAGAGCTCACTGAGTGTTCACAAAAATCCCACCTACTTACAAAAAGTCACTTATTAGTTATGTACCTGGCATATAACTAATACTTGATAAATGCTAACAATTATTGGTTTCCTATATGCAGCCTCCTACCTCTAAATGCAATACCTCTTCTAGGATACAGATTTTGTAGTAAACTCTGTAAATTTCCTATTTCCAAAGTTGTTTATATTTTTAAATTATTCACATTAGGAATATTTTGTTTATTTTCACATCACAATTTTTTTGCAGGCATTGCTTGAGAACCAATTTATTCTTGATCATCTTTTTTGATGTGATGCTTATCAGTAATCCCTGAAGAAATCTAATTTAAAAAAAAGCTTCAACATCTATAGCTGTCTATGTTGGATTTATTTGCATTAGCTATTTAGATGAGTCTCTCTAGCTTGGCATTTGTCACCTTTTTTTAACTTTTTTCTTCCCAGGAGATCAACATCTTTGCATCCTTCTATCAGTACTTTGAATCTTGTATTTCACTTGAATGCCCAGCCCCGCGTCAGCGATGAGATATTGATTTCTTCTTGTTGTCATTTAACATTCTCATGGAGACCCTGGCGGACCAATTTACAAATGATTGCTAAAGTGCTTTGGCAAATCGTGGTGTTTTTGACAGAGAAAGAAAAATACAGACTATGAAAATTTTGTACCTTTCAATGGGGTTCACTTAATGCCATGCAGCCTTTCTCCTCATGAGCATTTTCGGTCACCACTAAAGATCCTGTTTGGCTTCTTTGATCCTGCGATGCACAGGGCTCCCTCCTCCAGGCAGGATGTCTCATCTCCGGACTTTGTGGACTGGGGTTGATTCTTTCACGCCCAGGGGGCCTCACCTCCGGGCCTGCTCCTTTCTTAGAGGTTAGTCTTTGCGTGAGCAGGCACACTTGTTCTGAAACCACCACCATGGGGTTAATTTGCAGATCCTCAACCCACCAGGCAGACTCCACTTTCTGACCCCATCTGTCAGACGCTGAAATTCATGGTCCTTCCCAGGGCAGAAGCCACGAGCCACAGAGCAAAGCTGCCATCACTTTGTATATTTCAGGGTTATTTATTAGGCCTTGGCTTGGAAGTCTAGCCAGGAGGTTTTCACTCAGGGTCTGTTTGCCTTACGCAGTCTGTCTCTGAAGTGCAATTTGGAGATACAGAGACGTCAGGGTAATTTTCCATCCTCTGGTGACAGTGTTATTATTGAGAAGGAAGGATGAGGGCCGCTTGCTGTGCTAATGACTGCTTCTCATTTCATAGGCTCCAGGAGACCCAGGCTGTAAACGACTGCACATAGTCAGGTTCCCCCAGAGCCTCACATGGAGTTCCTCGCCCTGGGGAAGTGATGTTAATGGTTTTCTTTGCAAATCCCTCTCCCACCCACTTTCCTGACAGGATTATAGAATCCCTGTGTCTAGACACCCTGGGAGCTCTGAGGATTTCCTGAGCCTGTTTTCACTCACTCATTGTGATATCTCCTATGGAGGCTGAGTCAACACCCAGTATTGTGAGTATTGGGGGCGTAAAGGAGATGTTAGGATCATAACCTAAAAGTCCCTGCCTCCCACCCGCAGCCCCCTCCCTGACCCTGTGACCCATCACGCTAGCCTTCTGCACCCTTTGATTCTGTGCTTTTCAGAGCCCCGAGAAAGCTCCGAGCCTAGAATGCTGCTCCTTTCCCCTCTTCATCTCCTCAATGTCCACCCATCCTGTGTCACCAGTCATCAGAGAAGCCTCTGTGCCTCCACCCCAGAAGAGGTCAGGCTGGAAAGCTCTTAGAACCTCTAGTTTGCTTCCTTCAGTGCCTTTCTTCTATTTCATATTTGCGTGAGAATGTGCCTGGCCTCTTCCACCCGAGGAACCTGAGAGGCTCCTGTGAGCTAGGGCAGGCTTGAGGCTCTGCTCACCAGCGCATTCAGCAGGGAGGAGAGGCTGGCACATGCAAATTCCTTTCTTTAGTCATCTTTATTGTATGAATGGCTGCGAGGGAGTAGCCTCGGGGTATTCAGTGGGGAACTGTGAGTCAGTAGAGGGGTATATAATAGGTACTCACCTGAAAATGGTCTTTTGTCTTTCAGTTTACCCCTGGGAAAGGGTGAAAAAAAGGAGCTGCTACATGGTGGGTTACTTGAGTGTAGGAAGGAGAACAGGCATAGGATCCATTCACGTTTACTCTTCTTGACGTGATATATGCATGTGAATAGCCTTTAGGAGCAAACTCAACACTCAGCTAAATTGTAGTGCATGTCATTTCCAACAGACCCTTAGACTATTAGAAAGGGCAAGATGATTGTCTGTTTCAGCGTTGACATGTGTGTGCACACAGAACTCTTTATGTAGAAGAGATAATGTATCAAGTGGGGTAAAAAATGGAATCACTGAAAAAAAATTATGTTTTTCCATGGAAGGGTAATTATTGCCCAAAATAGAGCACAGATCAAAACATCTTAATTCTTTGCCATTCTCTTTTGGATTGTAAAAATCCCTGTACTCTCTATATTTGCCATGTCAATGACCCAAACGCCCAGGCATTGCAGGAATGTGGCAGAGTTTGAGTTGAGTCTTACGTATTCATTTAGAAAATACTTACCAGGCAGTGGCCACGTGCTGGGTACTCTGATCATGTTTCAGGGTCATGCAAGACACAGTTCCTGTCCTCAGATGGCATGGGGTGATGTGAAGAGCCTGGGGTTTGGAATCACACCACTTTAAATTGGAATTACAAATCTACCATTTACCAGCAGCATAAACTGGGACAAGATGTTTAATCTCCCTCATTCCCACTTCCTACATCTGTAAAGTGAGGTTAATGCTGCTTATCTCATAAGATAGTTTTGAAGACTAAATAAGACACAACCATGTATAAAGAAAGTCAGATCGCCGCATGCCCTCAGTCAAAACCCTTCAAAGGGTTGTTAGGAAATTGGGAATAGAGTTTGAAATTCTTTGTGCTGCTACACGATCTGACCTTTGTCTGCCTCTCTGTCCATCTGTCTGGTTTTTGCTGCCTTGCTCTGTGTGCTCCCAGTGTGCTGGCCTCCTCCCTGCATCTCCAGCCTCCCAAGCATCTTCCTGCCTCAGGACCTTTGTGCTGGCTGCTTCCTCTGGCTGGAACAGTTTTGCTTCCAATAATCACAAGCCTTTTGCTCACATTAATCAAGTCTCTCCTCCAGAGGCATCTCCGCAAGAGTTCTTTCCTGCCCTCCAGCCTGAAATATCTCCCATCACTCCGAATTCTTTAACCTACTTTCTTTCTCTTTATAGCCATAATTCCTATCTGACGTTACGTGATATGTCTATTTGCTTCCTGTCTGTCTGAAAACTCTGATGAAGGCGGGGCACAGTGGCTTGTACCTGTAATCCCAGCACTTTGAGAGGTCAAGGAGGGAGAATCATTTGAAGACAGGTGTTTTGAGACCAGTCTGGACACCATAAAGAAACCTCATCTCTATGAAAAAAAAAAAAAGGCGAGACATGCGATTGTGCCTGTAGTCCCAGCTACTCGGGAGGCTGAGATGGGAGGATCATTTGAGTCTAAGAGTTTGAGGCTGCAGTGATCCATGATTGCTCTACTGCACTCCAGTCTGGGTGACCCTGTCTTAAAAACAAACAAGCAACAACAACAAAACTCCATGATAACAGGAGTTATTATTTTTCCATTGCTGTCTCCCCAGTTCCTGGAACAGTGCCTGGTACCCAAGTATTTCCTGAATGAATAAATGATGAAGATTTCTTTGCCGAGTGCTTGGAGTATAGTAGGAACTCAATTAATGTCAGTTATCTTGCTTCACGTTTCTCAGCAAGGAGCTTAAACTTTAGAGCTGAAGATAAGACAGTGTGAGATGGATTTTTTTTTTTTGGATTTAGTTAAGCCACATGGATCTTTTTATATCCCAATAACGACACAGTGCAGAGCCTAAGAGAAAGTGAATTTTCACTTTATGTTTTAACCAATTTGTTCCACATAAAGTATGTCTGGGGTGATAAGAGCAAGAGTTAGGAAAAAAATAAAGCACTAGAACAATTCATGGAATTTGCTTATTAGTTCTTGTCCTCTCTAGCAGGGCTTGCCTTGAAAGAAGGAGCTGACTAGAGAGAAAGAGCTACATTGACTCTGCAGGAGTAAACACCACAATTAAAAGTTTCCTTTAATGAATCCTGTGTGAATCTCCCTATTGAAAGATGCATGAATGGAAGCTATTTCTGTCCCTTGCTTTATGAATGAATTGTATGGAGATGTTTCTTTGCTATAGTGAAAGGCATCCCACATAGAGCACATGCTTCGTGTCTGCACCTCACTAATTGACTCATGAGTTTATGGGGTGCCGATTATGTGCCCGGGGTGGTGGGTGGAGAATGGGGAACTGGGGAAGAAACACCTTGGCAGGTGCTCTGAGAGTGCATTAGGGGAACCTGGATCAGATACGAAGGGGATAGGTTAGGGAAGACTTGTCAGAAAGTATGTTTGAGCTGAGATTTCAAAATTAATAGACATTAACTCGGCAGAGGGTGGTATTGGGACAGTGGTTCAGAATGAAAGGCATTCTAGGCAGAGGAAAATTTGAGAAAGTGGATCCTGGGTTCATAACCTGTCTCTTCCACTATGGAGACCCATCTCTCTCTGTGCCTCAGTGTCTCCAAACGTAATAAGAAGGGTTGGATTAAATGGTTTTTGAAAAGTTCTATACAGATGGGAATTCTGTTTGATCATACAGGGCACTATTTTCCTTTTCCTCTACCTTCCTGTGCCCTTCCTTTCCTACTATGTGCATTTTCCCTTTCCTTCCTTCTTTGACCCTTCTCTGCCCCCTCCCTTTTATTTTTAGTTATGTGGCCAATCACCAAGGGCAACAGGGAATATTATTTAATGTCTTTGAGAACACTTTGGGCAGAAGGAGTGGCAGATTGCTTCATTAACATTTATTCTCAAATTTGAATAGGGAGAATAAAAATTTTAGAGACAGAATAGTAAGTGGGCACACTAAATCTTAGGGTGGTAGAAAGGAAAATTGAGTTCCATAGTAGCAACATTTGGGTAAAGAGGAGATTCTTTTATTGGGTGAATAATCACTCTGTAATTAATCACTCTGTTAGTATAATCATTAACACTGCAAAGGGGTTCAGAGTATGCAACCCCCAAATATGCCACTTGAGCATGAAGATTATTTTGAGCTGAAGGCAATTCAAAAACAGCAGATGCAAACAAAGCTCTCTATCCTCCTCCTTTCTGCCTACATGCAGGGCATAAATTTCCATTTGTGAAGGTGTCCCCCACATTTCTCCCATACCAAAAATAGAAGACTCTTATCATGGGAGATGGCACTGACTTGAATCTGCACAAACAAACCTTACTGAAATAATCCTTTTCTTCCTTTAGTTTTCCCTGTATAATGACCTTTCCAGAATTTACCACCCCTAAAAACCCAAACTCTTTTCCTTTGTCCAGTCACTTCTCCACACATTTATCACTCTTTGTTAAAATGGTATGTAAGCTCTCAGGCCTAACTACATCTTTGGATTATCACTTCCTTTTCTATGAGAGGTACCTATAAACATAAAAATATTAATATCAATATAATCCACCTACTTTTTCTCTTGCTAATCTGTCTTTTGTTAGTTTAATGTGCGTGGTCTCAGTTATTGAGCCTAACTATAACTAGTTGAACTATTCCTATATTACCCATAGAATTATCACAACAAGTATCAATTAATAACCCCAATTTGTAGGTGGGAAAACTGAGGCTCTAAGAGGATACTCAGCTAGCAAGTAGTAGAACCAGGCTGGGATTCCTGGTAGCCAGCCCTCAGAGTTCATGTATCTCCACCTCACATTGGCTGACCCTAGATCTGCTGCATGCTGACTATGTGACCTTGGCTTAGCTGCCTTTTCTCTGGGCCTCGGTTTCCCCAACTGATCTCTGCATTGCTTTCATTAGTGCTTTCTGATTTGGTCACAAACCCCTGTTCTTTCCCTGCATCTGAAGTCACCATTAGACAAAGGAGGAGAAAACAGCAGGAGACTTGTGAGCTCTGTGGCAAATACTTTGAACTCATTCATTCAAGGACTGGAAATATATTTAACCCAAGGGCAAAGTAAAGGACAGGATGAGTTTTGGTATACTAGAATAGATAGAGAAGAGAGTAAATTTGGAGTGCATGACAATTTCTTGAGTGGCAAAGAGAATAATAAAAATCAGATGTTGCAGTGGGGAAAAGAAACCTCCCATTCCATCTGGGCCGGATTTACACTTGGGGAGTAATTTTGGCAGGGGTAGAGCCTTGGTTTGTTAAATATTAAACAAAAAATATTAATAATCTGGCTCCTTCTTCATGTCTGTCTCTGATGGTACAACAACTCCTAATTCGCTTTACCTCTTCATTCTCTCTTAGTTAGGCTGATATTTCATTCTAGCAGAATTTATTTTGTAGCCAGTGGTAAGCCTCCAAAAGGTTTGCCAAAAGCTAGACTTGTAAGAACTCTTCCTCCTTTCCCTGAGAATTCACGAGAAGGGGATGGGACAGAGAACAAGAGACTCTGAAATATTTCTTGGCCATAACAGCAGAAATACCATGTAGCCCTTCTCTCCCCTTTGCCTTGGTCTTCCCCCATGAAAAAGAACATGCTATCAAAAAGAGAAGACAGGCAGGTGGACCAGATTCGAGGGTATAATTGTGCATATAAAATCCAAATATTCTGGGGCTGGCTTCTCAGAGGAAGGAGAAATACGCTGCATTACCCTGAAGTCCTACAAGATCAAAGTGAGGGAGTGAAGGAGGTAATGCGAAGTGTCTGAATTGCTTGAAGAAATAAAGGCATAAGAAAGATGGCTAGGAGAACAGATATGAAAGATAATGAAGTTTAGCTTGAATTATGGTGTAAGAGTGTGGCTAAAAGTTTCTGAAAGCGTGAGATTAGGGCAGCATAAATAATCTATAAAGACATTAGTGCCTGTCTTACTTATTTCTCATCCATATTTAAAATACACCAACCTCCTCCATTGTTTCATCGAGCACCATTTATAAAATGGGGACAGCACACCCAGAGTGTTCACTGTCCCTCCGGATGTAATTTTACTGAATTCGCAGTCACATTTTGTTTTCCATTTCTTATAGAAATGCTTGAAAAAAATCCCTAAACAAAGAAATACTTAGCTGACATTTTAAAACACAAACTGTATGCCAAATAAAAGGGCAGGTTGCTAGAAGCTCTTTAGTAAATGATTACGCTTTAAAGGTCTAAATGTACACACTCATTTTCAAGTACATTTTATAAAATAATTTACTCCCAGTCTGTTCTGAATAATCGTACAAAAATGGTTCGTAAGCATAATAAATCTTTCACATACCATCTTTTTGCATGCTGTTCTTGAAAGTCTCAATTTGAAGATTATACTTAATGGAATTGTCTGTCGATTTCAATCATTATCATCTGGGGCAGATGGTTCTTTGATTGTGCATTTAATATGCAGGAAAATACTGCGCTGCTTCTGCTTTGGAGTTAGCCTTCCGACAATTCACATTGTGAAGGGTACCTTTTTGCTTAGAGAATTGTTTCTTTTAAACACCAGACTTTATGTATCATTACAAATAAATATATTCAGAGATGAATTTTCATCATTAATTTGTTCACCTCATGTATTCACATTTGAAATGGAGCTCATTTGGGATTTATTACATAAATGATGAATTTGAGAGGAATACGTGCCAAGCTGCCATGGAAGCTGGAAGCACCAAGGCAGCTGATGGCTCATGAGGACAAGTTTGTCTAAAGCAGGGCCAAATGCACAGGGCCTGAGTTCAAGAAGCCATATCATTCCTCGGGCCTTGCTCTTGGAATAATGGATTTTCTCTGAGAAGGTAGTGTCCCCAATGGTTAACTTTTTGGCATAACCCCCCAGCTCTTGCGGAATGAGTTTTTCTCTCGAAATTCTGCCTATATCATTATTTCCATCTTAATCTACCATGTCTCCAGGATGAGTGGAAGAAAAGGAGCATAGAGAACATAGGTCATAAATCTCACTTGTGATGGGCACTAGGTCAGATAGAAGAATTCAGTGAAGAAATTTTTCTAACATTTTAATATGCCCTGAGCATCAACTAACACAGCCACTACTGTACACATCAGTGCCCCCTTCTCCCTGGGGGATTCGTTCCAAGACCCTCAGTAGTGGATGCCTGAAACCACAGCTAGAACTACCAAGGTAGCTGATGAATAATTGCACAGGCCGGGCGTGGTGTCTGAGGCCTGTAATCCCAGACCTCTGGGAGGCCAATGTGGGGTGGGTGGATCACCTGGGGTCAGGAGTTTGAGACCAGCCTGGCCAACATGATGAAACCCCGTCTCTACTAAAAAATACGAAAATTAGTGGGGCGTGGTGGCACTTGCCTGTAATCCTAGCTACTCGGGAGGCTGAGGCTGGAGAATAGCTTGAACCTTGGAGGTGGAGGTTGCAGTGAGCTGAGATTGCGCCACTGCATTCCAGCCTGGGTGACAGAGTGAGACTCTATCTCAAATAATAAGAATAATAATTGTACAAAAATAGTTCATAAGCACAATAAATCTTTAACATACTGTCTTCTTGCATGCTATTCCTGAAAACCTCAATTTGAAGATTACACTTAATGGAATAATCTGTCAATTTCAATCATTATCATCTGGGGCACGGGATAGTACTGAACCCTACATAGCTTGTGTTTTTCCCATACAATCACATTGTATAAGGTGGGTAGCTTACATGGTGTGGATATCCTGGACAAAGGGATGGTACTTATCCCAGGTGGGGCTGAGTGGCATGGTGCTAGATTTTATCACGCTACCCAGAACACTGAGCAATTTGAAACTGATGAATTGTTTATATCTGAAATTTGCCATTTAATATTTTCAGACTGTGGCTGAGCATGGGTTACTGTGGAAAGCGAAATCACAGATAAAGGGGCACTACTGTCTATCCGTATAAGCAGATAAAAGTGTATAATATCATTTGTGAAGCTTGTGTAACTCTATGACATAGCAGCAAAAACATAGGTTTTGGAATCATAGGACTCAGGTTTGGATTTTAATTCCTCCTCCTGGAAAGGAGTGTAGAGTTAAGGCAAAGTGGGTGGCTGTGGTAGTTGTGTGACCCCAGGCAATTCACTTAGCCTCTCAGCCTTAGGTTTCCCAGTTATGAAAATGAAAATAATAGTATGCCTACCTCATAGGACAGTTGTGATGACATACTACCAGCAGAGCAGGTAGCCTATTTGTGATTATTAATACATTTAGCAATTACTTACACACTACTAACAACTTGTGCTTTCCCAGAGCTTGTGCTGCATGGCTCCAGCACAAGGAGCCCTCCCTTGTCCACCTATTTACCTATGGGCCATCGGCCACCTGGCAGTGGGGAGGGAAGTACAGGGGAACTGTCTGCCGAGGCCCTGACCAACAGAAACTGTGATTCTCTAACTATCGTGTGAGTCCAGAAGAAAGCAGCATTTGATTCACAAAAATTAAATTTGCATGCGATGTTTTCCTATTGCATGAAACCATCTGCACAGTGTTCATCTGAGTAGCAACGCCCTGTGTGTGAACCACACATTATGTCGCAGATGCATCTTCATTAGCGACCAGAGTGGTATTCAAAATGGGTAAATTGGATCATTTAATATCGCTGCTCTTACCGCCGGAAAAAATGAAATTGAGGTTTTTTTTCCCCATTAGAGTTAATAAGACTTCAAAGGCTAGATTTTCATTAGGAAGGCAAAAGCATTCTTATAAATCCTGTCTCTCTGAAGAAGAGCTGAGGATGAAGAAGCCAGAAACCTGGGGCCACTGTCACTATCTTCCCACAGTGAGACTGTGACACTGTGGACTCAGCTTTTTTGCTCTTTAGGAATCACAGCCCAGAAGGACTTTTCTCATACCTCTCCTCTGAAATGCAATTGAGAGCTCACTTCCTCCAGGAAGCCTCTTGGTTTATCCACCCGGGTCACAGCTCTGTGACCCCACTTCCTCAGGCCACTTTGGAACTCAGCATCCAGTTTTTCCCCAGAAGCAGAGCCTAAGGCAAGAC